>NC_000011.10:77722362-78025392 GCF_000001405.40 Homo sapiens
CAGAAGTTAGGAGATGACCTTATTACTCAAAATATGGTCCTCTAACCAGCAGTATCAGCATTACATAGGTCCTTGTTAAAATAGCCAATCAGCAGACAGCCAAGACCCACTCCACCAGATTCTGTACTTTAAAAAACTCCCGAAGTGAACACCCAGCATATTAAAGTTTGAGAAGTACTACTCTAGACCACTTTAAGAGCATAGGGTATAGAAGGATCAGGCTTCAAATCTAGACTCTGACACTTAATTATGTATATGACCTGAGGCAACATTATAAATGTTCCAATTTCCTCATCTGTAAAATTAAAATAATAATAGTAGTTACCTCAAAGAGTTGCTATGAGGATTAAATGAAAATCCATATGCAGCATTTGGTAGACTGCAAAGAAAACAGGATGTGCCCAATAAATGTTAGCTGTTGTTATTGTTGAAATCCCCCATTATCTACTATAAGGCCCCACAAAGAAATTTCAGCATTAACTATTAGGAATAGCTTACCTAGAAAAAGTTTGTTCTGTTTTTCTTTCTACTTTAAACTACACAATTAGTCTCCCTTCAAGATCAGTGTCAATTTTGAGGTCTTGTATTAGAAATAATTGCCTCTTAAATTTCTATTATTCTGACCTTGGTTTCCAATTCACATTTTCTCTGGCTTTGATTTTAATTGTGTATGGGAATAAGAAAATATGTGAATGAATGACCAAAATGAACAAGTAACATTAAGTTTAAACCTAGAACTAATCCTTGGAAAATACTACTAAAAAAGAATAGAAATTCAACAGGAGGCTCAGACTACTTTTAAATTATTATGCGTGGCTGGGCACAGTGACTCATTCCTATAATCCCAGCACTTTGGGAAGCCAAGGCAGGAGGGTCGCCTGAGGCCAAGTCAAGACCAGCCTGGGCAACAGAGCAAGATCCCATCTCTACAAAAAATAAAAAATGAAAACTAGCTGGGCCTGATGGCACATGCCTGTAGTCTTATCTACTCAGGAAAGGCTGAAGGGCTGGGATCACTTGAGCCCAAGAGTTCTAAGCTGCAGTGAGCAATGACTGCACCACTGTACTTCAGCCTGGGCGACAGAGAGAGATCCTGTCTCAAAGGGGAAAAAAAAGGCTTTCCTAAAGTAGTCTGTAAGTTTAATTTTAACATATGAAAAATAATTTTTCAAAGCAGAAATTGGGCTTAGAAATAAAACCACCACAGACATTTGAAATAAAACCACATAAGCAATGAAGGACGGTAATCAACATTTCGGCTAAAAGCAATGCTTAATACATAGGAACATTATTATATACTACACGGAAAGGCATAATTCCTTGTTTACAAGCAATGCTTGCAGATATGGAATGCTTTCTATAAATGGTTTCCTGAGAGCAGCAAATAAAGGAATAACATTATTTTTAGGTTCTAATCAAAACTAGCAGAAGCAAACTAAAAGCAAAGAAAACATAATAAGGAAAGCAAATTCCTTCCCTTGTCATTAAAAGGTTATCAATAACAAATATTAACTAAAAAGATGTTGGTCAAAATTTCAGTTGGTTTCTTTCCTTTTGAAGAGCTCAGGACTTGGCTCTGTCTTCCTAGAATGGTTAGAATTTGATCTGCCTAGTTAAGCAAATTAGAAAACTCAATCAGAAATCAGGTTTAACAATTACAATTATCATAGACTTAAGAGTTTTCAAAGCATAACAAAAAAATAAACAACCCAAAGAAAAAATGGACAAAAAACTTGAATAAACATTTTTCCAAAGAAGATATACAAATGGCCAATAAACACTTGAAAAGATAGATGCTTAACATCACTTGTCATTAGGAACTAATAATTACAATGAGATGCTGTTATAAAAAAACAAACAGAAACAAGTGTTGGTGAGGATGGGAAGCAACTAGAGTCCTTGGGCACTACTGGAAGGAATGTAAAATGATGCAACTGCTGTGGAAAACAGTATGTGCTTCCTCAAAAAATTAAACACAGAATTACCATATATGATCCAGCAATTCCACTTCTGGATTAAAAGAAGGGAAAGCAGGGACTCAAGAGATATCTGTACACCCAGTTCATGGCAGCATTATTCACAACGTCCAAAAGGTGGAAGAAATTCAAGTGCCCACTGATGGATGAATTGATAAACAAAATGTGGTATATACATACAATGGACAATTATTCAATAACTTATTATTATTAAAAGGAAGAAAATTCTGACATACACTACAACAGTGGTTCCCAACCTTTTGGCACCAGGAAACAGTTTCGTGGAAGACAATTTTTCTATAGGAGGTGGGCTGGGGGGATGGTTTTGGGATGAAACTGTTCCACCTCAGATCATCAAGCAGTAGATTCTCATGAGGAGTGTGCAACCTAGATCCCTTGCATAAGTGGTTCACAATAGGGTTTGTGCTCCCATGAGAATTTAACACCGCCATTGATCTGACAGGAGGTGGAGCTTGGGCGGTAATGCTCACTGGAGTGGTAATGCTCACTCGTCCCTGCTCACCTCCTGCTGTGCAATCTGGTTCCTAACAGGTTACAGACTGGTACTACTCCTTGGCCTGGGGGTTGGGGACCCCTGTAACATGGATGAACTTTGAAGACACTATGCTATGTGAAATAAGCCTGTCACAAAAGTGCAAGCATTATGATTCCTCGGATATGAATGATCAAATTCATAAGAGACAGATAGCAGAATGAGAGATGCCAGGGGCTGAGGGGAAGGAAAAATGCAGAGTTTAGTGTTTAAAACATACAGAGCTTTAACTGAGAAAGATCAAAAAAGTTCTGGAGATGGATGGTGGTGATGGGTGCATCACAACAATATGAATGTACTTAATGCCACAGAACTGTATGGTTAAAAATGGTTAAAATGGTAAATTTTATGTTATATTTTGCCACAATAAAAAAGTTCATTAAATGTCTTCACATTCCTTAGTAAAAAATATTATGTTTTGATGATCTGAACATTTTTTACTAAGATATTTTTAAATGTTCTACATAAAAGAGCAACATATTTAATATTTTTGGCCTCATTTTCTTTAAATTAAGGAAAAATCAACCTCCTTTTATAAGAAGGCTCCCAATTCAAATTGAGATAGAAATTCAGAATTATATAGTTGGGAAGAGGAGTGGAAGAATATGGAAGAGATTACAAAACAAAGCAAAACAAAACACACAAAAAAAAACCTTGTTTAGGTGTTTCTTCCTCTTTTTTAGTCTCCTCATCCTCTAAGCTGGGACTTTCCCGAGAAGAGTTGTCTTGTTGGCTAGAGTTTTTCAATAGTACAGGATCAATTTGTGCTTTCAGGAGTGCAAGAGTCTCAGCCAACTCGTTTCGATTTCTAAACAAGGAAAAAAATAAGACAGCATAAAAACCTTTTTCCTGTTCTAGAGAACTTTCTGAATAATACCAATAGAAATTAAAATAAAAAAAGAAAAATACATTAAGAACATCAAAAACACTGGTACAGCTAGCCCTAATTAACCCTGAATTTTAAAAGCACTAAGAAAAACACATTAAAATATACTGTTCTTCAGAGAAGAATATTAGATTTTCCTCTCTACTGATTGGAATGACAATGAATATCTCTTGGGTTGAAAAGAAAAGTAGGAACAAAATTACACAAAAATCAACGTTTGATAACTTTAAAAATAGTATGTAATCTCTAAGGAGATGAAATCAATGTAAAACTTGATTGCAAAAGTATTTTTTTGTTTTGTTCTTGATTCATTTGGAAATAATTCTTTTCTACCTTCAGAGATAATAGCATTTGACACTGCTACAAAATTAAGATCCAGAACTTTCTGATTACAGCAAAACATCAGTTCCAATAACACAATTTAAAAACATAAAAAATTTTGGTAGCTGATTTTATTTTGTTAATAATGGTTTATAACTGATTCCACAATACCAGAAAATTCCAAATAAATAAAAGTCTAACCTATAAATTCTACTTAAAAAAGAGACATGGTCTCACTTTGTCATCCAGGCTGGAATGCAGTGACCTGATCACGGCTCACGGTAACCTCAAATTCCCAGGCTCAAGACCCTCCTACCTCAGCCTCCCAAGTAGCTAGGACTACAGTTGTATATCCCTGTATCTGGCAAATAAAATCCTATATTTTTACTAGCAAAAACAAAGGTGTGGTATGGTTAATTTAAATGCCACTTACAACTGAGAAAACTCACTTGGATATTTTTCTTGCTCAGACAAGCAAGAAATGCTGTCAGACAGTGCATAATGCTGAAGATAAAAAGCAGGCCCTGGACTAAGAGTTGGGAAACTGAGTTCTAGATATGCCACTAGATTATTAATTAGCACCAAGATCCTCCCATCTGTGTTCTCAATGTGCGATGTAAATACCCCTGATTCAAAGTGAAAACTGTTAAGATGAAATGACTCGTTTTCTTATCTGTCATGTCACATATGGCTCCTACCCTCCTTTCCCTTTCCAATTCCATGCCAGCTAGATTCTACTGCTTTAGAGTAGGAACTCTGCATTCCAAAGAGCCCCTGGACAAGTTGTATATCCTCATTAGGCCTCAGCTTTCTTATTTATAAAATAAAAGAACAGATTCTCTTGAGTATTACTAAATTGGTCTTCTAAATAAAGCAGTAAAATTGCCACTGATAAAAATCAGAAATTAAAATGACAATCAATTATACATGAGAATAAAACATACATGTTCATACATATCATATGAGCATATATAATAACCAGTCTAGAATTTTAATTATCTAATATCAAAAGGTAAGACTAGATGTTTTCTCAAAGTCTTGTCTGGTCCTGCCTCCATTTTACAGGAAGGAAAATTAAGACTCAGAGACTTTATTTATTTTTGGCAAAGATCCAGTCCCCTAATTTCATTACAACCTGCTTCTAACTTAAGGATCTATGCTTTATTACTACTCATATTCCATTGAGAATTCCATATGTTAAAAAAAGGAAAAAGAGAATTCCATATGCAACGAATGGCTCGATCTATTTATTTCTGAAAGTCATGGTGGGAACTGAAGAGTATACTGAAGTTATGCACCATAACAATTTTAAAAAGCTTCAAAACGTAAGAGAGCTAATATTGCTAGGAAAATCTATTTCAATTACTTCCACTACTTTTTTTTTTTTTTTTTTTTGAGATGGAGTTTCACTCTTGTCACCCAGGCTGGAGTGCAATGGCAGGATCTTGGCTCACTGCAACCTCCTCCTCCTGGGTTCAAGCGATTTTCCTGCCTCAGACTCCCGAGTAGCTGGGATTACAGGCACCCATCACCACGCCTGGCTAATTTCTTTTGTAATTTTAGTAGAGATGAGGTTTCACCATGTTGGTCAGGCTAGTCTCGAACTCCTGACCTCAAGTGATCTGCCTGCCTTGGCCTCCCAAACTGTTGGGATTACAAGCGTGAGCCACTGCACCCAGCCTACTTCCACTACTTTAAGCAAAAAGGGAATTTAGCATTAAAATTTATTAAAGAACAACTCCCTAAAAGGCTTTTAATCTGTTTAATGTGTTTAAACACAAGCCTAAGGTAGTCGTTATTATATGAAAACAAAACTACCCATCTTTGGGTTTTTCCTATTTTTGAACAATTTAAAAAATCCTAAATCTGAGTTAGTCAGAGGAAATTTTTATGAATTCCCTCAAATCACATCCAAATTTCTTAACACTATGTACAGAATATTTTAGACTATGGACCCTAACAACAATCCAGTTGTTTTGCTACCCCTCCCTCACTTGTTCTCTGTTCTCCAAACCATTTCTTCTTTCAGGTATGTTAAATCAGATATATCCCTCCAAAATACCAGGCTTTCTTAGGATATCGGGTGACTGACTGCACTTCTGCTCTCTTAGCCTGGAATGTGTTCCCCATGGCTAATTCCAATTACTCTCTCAAAGACAAGTATAGAATGAATAAACAAAATCTAGTATATCTACATATGGAAATACTACTCAGCCATAAAAAGGAATAAAGTTCTGATTTATATTACACGGATAAACTTTGTAAAGATTACTCTACTTGAAAGTGGCCACAAATGGCTGGGCGTGGTGGCTCACACCTGTAATCCCAGCACTTTGGAGGGCGAGGCAGGCAGATCACCTGAGGTCGGGAGATGGAGACCAGCCTGACCAACATGGAGAAACAGGAAAGGAAAGGAAAGGAAAGGGGAAAGGAAAGGGGAAAGGGAAGAGGAAAGGGAAGGGGAAAAGGAAGAGGAAAGGGAAGGGAAGGAAAAAGGGAAGGGAAGGGAAGGGAGAAGGGAGACGGGAGAAGGGAAGGGAAGGAAAGGAAAGGGAAAGAAAGAGGCCACACACAGAAAGTCACTTATTATATAATTCTATGTATACAAAATGTTGAGAATAGACAAATTATAGACACAGAAAGATTGGTGGTTGTTAAGGGCTAGGAAAAGGGAGAATGAAGAATAACTGCTAATGGGTACAGGGTTTTCTTTTTAGGGTGAGAAAAATATCCCGGTGTTAGATAGTGGTACCAGATGCATAACTTGTAAAAAAAAAAAACTGCTCAATTATATATATTTTACAAAAAAGAGATGGTGGCTTGGACAAGAATGCAGCTATGAAGGAGAAGTGATCAAATTCTAGATACAATCATGCATGAAGAGCTGATTGGATTTGCTGTTAGGGTAGATGTGGAGTGAGAGAAAAAGCAGTTACGGATGTGCTCCAAGGTTTTGGGCCTTAGGGTTTACACTTGGTATAAAAGCACTCTCTGTAGTCCCACTCTGTTCCTGAAGAAGCACCTGATGGAATCTGGTATAAGGTCTCTATTTGCTAAATTTCTCTCATCATTAATAACCAAACACTAACACTTGGTTATTATATTTACATCTCTGCTTATCTTTTTCATTCCTAAAGAAATTCTATTGACACATTCCATAGGGTTGAGCCAAGGAAAGGATGTAGCTGCTATTAACAGAGATGGGACGTTCAGATTAGGGTAGAAAGGTTCAAAGTTTAGTTTTGGGCAGACTGGTTACTGACTTTGACTTAACCAGATTCTAAACTGTTATATTTTCCTATATGTACCTTAAGTTAATCTAGACTTCAATGAAATGGAACACGTCATCCTAACCATTATTATTGTGAAATATGATTTCTCCCAGCCTAGGAGTTGTTCAGAGTTTGAATTAGTGGTAGGTGCTAAACATTTCAGAAGCAATGAAGAAAAAAAAAATAACAAAAATAAACAGACGCCCCTGAACCCCAACCCCACAAAAAAAAAAAAGTCAAGTATAGGCATTATCTTCTGCCAAGTATGAGCCAAGTATCTGGTTCTTCCACAGCACCCTTGATAATCTCCATCACAGACTTTGTGACTCTGTATTATGTAATATCTCCCTGTACCTTTCTCCCATAACAAAAACTCCTTAACAAATGGGACCAGGTCTTCACATCTACAGAGCATAAAACAGTATAAATATAACAAGCCTTTTGTAAATATTTTAAATATATGATTCCAGAGTTGAGAAACAATATTCCAACTTTTTGGTATAAATGCCAAATTATTCAGTAGGCAAAAAAAAAAAAAAAAAAAAAAAAAAAATTGTGGAGGCCAAGAAAACTGAAGAGGCATTAATTAGTAATATCAATAGCAGTACTATTAATCTAAGATGTTAACATTAGTGAATGAGCACTATGTTCCAAGCATTAATTATTCCAAGAGTTTTATATTAATTAGTTCATATAATTCCAATATAACCCAATTAAGTAGGTATTAAATTATTCCCATTTTATGACTGAGGAAACTGAGGACACATAGAGAGGTATGGTAATTTGCCTAAGGTAAGTTAGTACAATTTAGCAAGACTGAATTTTGAAGTCTGACTTTAGAGCCCTTCTTAATCACTGTGCTATATTAGCAGGTTTTAGATATATATATATGGTTTAGAAATGCATTCATACAGTTTGTAATTATGGGTACATGAAAACTGTATATACTATTTCAAATTCAACTTTCTGAAAATGACTGTCAAACCATTATCAATTTTGAAAATATTTTTAACGAGGTATAATTCACATACTGTAAAATAAACATATTTTAAGCACTCAGTTCATCAGTTCTGACAAATGCATACATTGTGTAATCTACACCATAATCAACATAAGGAATATCACTATTCCCACAAAAATTCCCTCCTGTCCTTTCCTACTCAATTCCTTTTCCCCACCAAAGCAAGAAGAATCACAGTTTTTATTATGATAACCATAGATGATACAGTTTGGCTGTGTCTCCACCCAAATCTCATCTTGAATTGTAACTCCCACAATTCCCACGTGTTGTGGGAGGAACCCAGTGGGAGGTGATTGAATTATGGGATGTGTCTTTCCTGTTCTGTTCTCGTGATAGTGAATGAGTCTCACGAGATCTGATGGTTTTGAAAACAGGAGTTTCCTGCACAAGCTTTCTTTTCCTGCCGCCATTGATGTAAGACATGACTTGCTCCTCCTTGCCTTCTGCCATGATTTTGATGCCTCCCCAGCCATGTGGAACTGTGAGTCCAATTAACCTCTTTCTTTTGTAAATTGCCAAGTCTTGTCTTTATCAGCAGCATGAAAACGGACTAATATAGTAAATTGGTATCAGGAGTGGGGCGTTGCTGAAAAGGTACCTGAAAATGTGGAAGTGGCTTAAAAAATGGGTAAAAGGCAGAGGTTGGAAGAGTTTGGAGGGCTCAGAAGAAGATATGAAAATGTGGGAAAGTTTGGAACTTCCTAGAGACTTGTTGAATGGTTTTGACAAAAATGCTGACAGCAATATGAACAATAAGGCCCAGGCTGAGGTAGTCTCAGAATGAGATGAGGAACTTGTTCCCCAACAGGAGTAAGGGTGAGTTTTGTTACGTTTTAGCAGAGACTGGTGGCCTTTTCCCCTGCCCTAGAGATTTGTGGAACTTTGAACATGAAGGAGATGATTTAGGGTATGTGGAGGAAGAAATTTCTAAGCAGCAAAGCATTCAAGAGGTGACCTGAGTGCTGTTAAAGTCATTCAGTTTTATAAGGGAAGCAGAGTATAAAAGTTTAGAAAATTTGCAGCCTGGCAATGTGACAGAAAAGAAAATCCCATTTTCTGAGGAGAAATTCAAGCTGGCTTCAGAAATTTGCATAAGAAACAAGAAGCCAAATGTTATCCCTGAGACAATGGGGAAAATGTCTCCAGGCATGTCAGAGGTCTTCACGGCAGCCCCTCCTATCACAGGCCTGGAGGCCTAGGAGGAAAACATGGTTTCATGGATCAGGCCCAGGGTCCATGTGCTGTGTGCAGCCTAGGGACTTGGTGCCCTGCATCTCAGCCACTCCAGTCATGGCTGAAAGCTGCCAATGCAGAGCTCAGGCTGTGGCTTCAGAGGGTGCAAGTCCCAAGCTTTGGCAGCTTCCATGTGGTGCTGAACCTGTGAATGCACAGAAGAACTGGAGTTTGGGAACCTCTGCCTAGATTTCAGAAGATGTATGGAAACACCTGGATGCCCAGGCAGAAGTTTCCTGCAGGGGTTGGGGGCCCTCATGGAGAACCTCTGCTAGGGCAGTGTGGAAGGGAAATGTGGGATCAGAGCCACACAGAGTCCCTACTGGGGCACCACCTAGTGGAGCTGTGAGAAGAGGACCACTGTCCTCTAGACCCCAGAATGGTAGATCCACTGATAGCTTGCACCGTGTGCTTGGAAAAGCCGCAGATACTCAAGGCCAGCCCATGAAAACAGCCAGGAGGGAGGCTGTACAGGGGCGCAGCTGCCCAAGACCATGGGAACCCACCACTTGCATCAGCATGACCCAGATGTGAGACAGTCAAAAGAGATGATTTTGGGGCTTTAAGATATGACTGCCCTGCTGGATTTCGGACTTGCATGGGGCCTACAGCCCCTTTGTTTTGGCCAACTTATCTCATTTGGAATGGCTGTGTTTACCCAATGCCTGTACCCCCATTGTATCTAGGAAGCAATTAACTTGCTTTTGATTTTACAGTCTCACAGGAAGAAGGGACTTGCCTTGTCTCAGATGAGATGTTGGACTGTGGACTTTTGAGTTAATGCTGAAATGAGTCAATACTTTGGGGGACTGTTGGGAAGGCATGATTGGTTTTGAACTATGAGGACATGAGATTTAGGAGGGGCCGGGGCAGAAAAATATGGTTTGGCTCTGTCCCCACCCAATTCTCATCTTAAATTGTAACTGCCACAATTCCCATCTGCTGTGGGAGGAATCCGGTGGAAGGCGATTGAATTAAGGGTGCAGGTTCATTTCCTGTGAGTGAATGAGTCTCACGAGATCTGATGGTTTTAAAAACAGGAGTTCCCTGCACAAGCTCCTTCTTTGCCTGCCGCCATCAATGAAAGGCATGACTTGCTCCTTCTTGCCTTCTGCCATAATTCTGAGGCCTGCCCAGCCACATGGAACTGTAAGTCCAATTAAACCTCTTTCTTTTGCAAATTGCCCAGTCTTGGGTATGTCTTTATCAGCAGCATGAAAACGGACTAATACAATAGATTTTTAATTTTATTAATTCTAGAACTTATCACAAATGGAATCAAACAGTATGTGCTTCTTTCACATACAAGGAATTTTGAGACAAATCCATATAGTTTCATAGGTCATCCCTTTTTATTGCTTAGTAATAATTCATTGTATGAGTAATGTTAAGAATAAAGATGCTATGAACATTCTTATACAAGGCTTTTTGTAAACATGTTTTCATTTCTCTAATATAAATACCCAGAAATGAAATTTATAGGTTATGGGATAATAGTTTGTTAACATTTGAAGAAACTGCAAAACTTTCCCAAAGTGGTTGTATCATTTTACATATACAAGAAGGTGTTTCAGTTGGTTCATATCCTTGTTAACATTTGGTGCTGTAAGCCATTTTCGTTTTACTAATTCTAATGGAAGTAAGGTAATACCTCATTGTGGTTTTAATTGGAAATTCTACAATGAATAATGATGCTAAGCACTTTTTCATATGAATACTGGCTATATATATATATATTCTTTATGAAGTAACTGCTTAATAGTCTGCATATAACTTTATCTTCCTTAGTATACTTGGTACAAAAGTACTTTCTGTAGTCCCACTAAGATCCTGAAGAAGCTTGTGATGGAATCTGGTCTATGGTCTTTATTTGCTAAAATTCTCTAATCATTAATAACCAAACACTACCACCTTGTTATGTTTACATCTTTGATTTTTTTTTTTTTTTTTTTTGAGACACAGGGTCTCACTCTGTTGCCCAGGCTAGAGTGCAGTGGTACAATCACAGTTCACTGCAGCCTCAAGCTCCTGTGCTCAAGCAATCCTCCCACCTCAGCCTCTCAAGTCACTGAGACTACAGGCAAGTGCCACCACACCTTGCTGATTTTTGTATTTGTTGTAGAGACAGGGTTTCATCAAGTTGCCTAGGCAGGTCTCCAACTGCTGGGTTCAAGCAAACTGCTCACCTGGGCCTCCCAAAGTGCTGAGGTTATAGGTGTGAGCCATCATGCTGAGCCCATCTTTTTCATTCCTAAACAAATTCTATTGACATACCCCATGGAGTGAATAAAATCACTTATTACATCATATTTGATTAGATGTAAAATTTTTTTTTCTGTACTTTTATCTTCTTTCATTGAGGCCTAAAGATGAAATAATGCTTTTGTGGCAATTCTGTTTTAAACATTAACTGGAATAAGTAGGACACTGGCTGGAGCTTAAACATTTTTGCTATTGAAACCTGTTATAATACTTGATTGAGCCATATGAAATCACCATTTTTATAGGTCAAAATGTTCAAATGTTAACAATTTCATATGGTTTAATGAAACTTAACTACTTCTATTGTTTTGTAAATCACATACTAAATCTTGTTTCAACTTAAAGTATAATTATATATAAGTTAATTGCTTCCTATCTATTCATCTAATACATATATTTATATTATTATTATTACTTTTTTTGGGGGGGGGTACCAAATTTCTTCATCTGAAGGAATGGCACAAATCAAAGAACTTAGGTGGATGTTTTGGTACAACTTATAGAAAAGGTAAAGGAAACCCCAACATGCATGCACTGCCTTGGTGACCAGGGAAGTCACCCCACGGCTACGGGGAAATTAGCCGAGGCTTAGCTTTCATTATCACTGTCTCCCAGGGTGTGCTTGTCAAAGAGATATTCTGCCAAGCCAGATTCGAGTGCTCCCATCTTGTGCAAGTTGGTCACATGGTCATCCAATTCTTTGATGGCTTTCACCTGCTCATTCAGGTAATGTGTCTCAATGAAGTCACACAAATGGGGGTCATTTTTGTCAGTGGCCAATTTGTGCAGTTCCAGTAGTGACTGATTCACATTTTTTTCCAAATGTAATGCACACTCCATCACATTCAGCCCGCTCTCCCAGTCATCACAGTCTGGTTTTTTGATATCCTGAAGGAAGATTCGGCCACCTCGTTGGTTCTGCAGCTTCATCAGTTTCTCAGCATGCTCCCTCTCCTCATGAGATTGGTGAAGAAAGTATTTGGCAAAGTTCTTCAAAGCCACATCATCACGGTCAAAGCAGTAAGACATGGACAGGTAAACGTAGGAGGCACAGAGCTCTAGGTTGATCTGGCGGTTGATGGCGGCCTCTGAGTCCTGGTGGTAGTTCTGGCGCACCTGTGAGGTGGACGTGGTCCTCATGGCGGCGACTAAGGAGAGGTGGCGGCGGTGGCAGTGGCTGCGTGGCGCTGGGGCGGCGGCAGGGGCCTTGGGGCGGTCTGAGGGTGCCGTGAAGAGGTGAGGGAGGGCTGGCTATGGGCGGCCGGCTGGGGTGGGGGACGAGCACCGGGTTCCGTCCAAGCACTGTTGAAGCAGGAAACCCCGACGACTCTCGGCAAAGAACGTCTCTATATTTATATTATTAATTTTGCAACTTGCAGAAATGGAAGTTGCTACGTAACAGTACAAGTTTTAAGACTGTGGTGATGTCATGGTATGAAATTTTCAGTAGATCAACTATGTAAAATTATCCCTTTTTGGTGGATTCTCATTTTTTAAAAATTCCATTTGATGTTTAATTTGCAAAGTTCAGTTATATTTCTAAATTTATCAATCATTAAGAAGGCTGACTTATTAGCTTTAGAAAACGGAACCCTAAAGACTAGATAACTTTTGTTATATAATCCTCTTTTAAGAATTAGGTAGAAACACGTTTCCAACACCAGCCGATCACCAAGAAAATAATACTGTTACTTTAAAGAAATTGTTTTAAGAAAAAACAAGAAGCTTTTAATTTACTAGTAAAAAATAATACTTACTAGCTAAGAAAAGCACCTAAATGCAACCTATTAAATGAAAAAGTCAAAGTCAAAATCTCATTTGCTTTACTTGTTCTTCCCTTATCACTTAATTTTCTTTTTTCTTCTTTTTTGAGATGGAGGCCGCTCTGTTGTCGCCAGGCTGGAGTGCAGTGGCGCAATCTTGGCTCACTGCAACCTCTGCCTACTGGGTTCAAGTGATTCCCCTGCCTCAGCCTTCCGAGTAGCTGGGACTACAGGCACACGCCACAATGCCAGCTAATTTTTGTATTTTTAGTAGAGACGGAGTTTCACCATGTTGGCCAGGATGGTCTCGATATCTTGACCTCATGATCCGCCCGCCTTGGCCTCCCAAAGTGCTGGGATTACAGGTGTGAGCCGCCGCACCCGGCCATCACTTGATTTTCTAAAGAAATCTCTTGCTAAAAAGATTACTGCCTCTTACAAAACTCCACTTCACATAAACTTGCACGTTTAATTGAAAAATGTGTGACAACATCTATCAGTCTTAAGACAATCACTCCCCTGCAATGTAAAAGGAAAAACAAACGTTCTTGCTCCTGTCAAATTCAGTTCTGCTTCCCCATAATTTGAATCCAGTGATCCTGGCTCAGCCTTTGAGATATTCTTCTACAAATCAATCCTTTAAATGTTTGAAGACATTTATGTCTGAGTAAATTTCTGCTAGATAAAGCATTTTCAGTATTCAATCATCTTCTTTGTGGTTGTTCCCATAATGGACTTTACTATATTAATGTTTCTTTCAGAGTCTGCCATTCAAACAGAAATACCATGCTCCAGGTATGATCTCATCCAAGTCAAATGAGATGATGCCCCACATTATTTTAGGCACTAAATATATATTAGTGACAACTAAGATCTTATCTTTATGAGGAGGCAAAAATTATTACAATGTTTTCTACATTCAACCTTTGCAACAATGAGAGACCTATGTGGACAAGACAGTTTACTATATTTGTCAGTAAGAGTTCCACTGTGTTGGGTTAAAGCTAATTGGAATGTCATGTCATAGAACATCTCACTTATAATATGCATAAACACACCCAACTGAAAATTTGACATAAATTACCATCCGTCCCCAGAAAATACGCATATAATATTCACCTAAAATCTATTCTTTACAAGTTGAGGCCTTTCACAGGTGCCTGCAGCCCCTCTTAGAGATCTTAGAGCCATACTATTCACTATTACATCACCAATTGTTTAGCATAGTACCTATTACACAAGGATGTATGTAATAGAATTTATAAATTTAATGAAATAAAGGAATGTTAGTATGACAATCAGCTGTTTAAAAATTGAATTTCATTACACAAAATCAGAGAGTCAATAAACCAAATGATTTCTGAATGCTCCCAAATATTTCTGCGTTATTTGGGCAATGTTCCCTGGCTCATTGTAAATAGAAACATATGTATTCACAGATGTCATCAAAATGGCTAAAAATAACCTGGCACCATTTTCTAAAGAAATTTGTGGTTGTGAAAATGAGAAAACTATGCGATGGGTATGGTGGTTCACACCTGTAATCCCAGCACTTTGGGAGGCCACAGCAAGTGAATAGCTTGTGCTCGGGAGTTCGATACCAGCATGGTCAACATGGCAAAACTCTGTCTCTACTAAAAGTACAAAAATTATCCAGGTGTGGTGGTTCACACCTGTAATCCCAGCTACTCAGGAGGCTGAGGCAGAAGAACGGCTTGAACCCGGGAGGCAGAATTTGCAGGGAGCTGAGATCGCACCACTGCACTCCACACTGCAGCCTGGGCAACAAAGCGAGATCCTGTCTCAAAAAAAAAAAACCAAAAAACAACAACAACAACAACAAAAAAACGGAAAACTGCGTGCAGGCATTAATCTACACAAGCATTTCCTTCTGAACAATTGCCACATACACCATTTTGTTTATCAAAAACAAATTTTAACAAATGGAAAGAAGTTTTATGTGTTTTGGGGGGTGTGTGTGTGTGTGTGTGTGTGTGTGTGTGTGTGTGTGTGTGTGTTTAAAAAGAGCAGAAGCCCAAGGAACAAAACATGGAGAAATGGTCAAGCATGAGAAGAGGTGAAAGCAGAAAGCAACACCAGGGGAATTTTCTGACCTTTCTGCTGATAAATATTTCTTTAGTGAATAAACTAAATTTCAGTCTTTGGAGTTAGAAAGGTTGTAAGAAAAGCGAATAGCTGGCCAGGCACGGTGGCTCACGCCTGTAATCCCAGCACTTTGGGAGGCTGAGGCGGGCAGATCACGAGGTCAGGAGATCAAGACCATCTTGGCTATCACAGAGAAACCCCATCTCTACTAAAACTACAAAAAATTAGCCAGGTATGGTGGCGGGTGCCTGTAGTCCCAGCTACTTGGGAGGCTGAGGCAGAAGAATGGCGTGAACCCGGAAGGCGGAGCTTGCAGTGAGCCAAGATCGCGCCACTGCACTCCCGCCTGGGCGACAGAGTGAGACTCCGTCTCTAAAAACAAAAAACAAAAGAAAAGCGAATAGTTAAAAAGGTGGAAATAAAAAGAGAAAAGGTTTATTGAGCATGTATTACAGTGTCAGTACCATTTCTCATATATTCCTCACAACAACTTTTTGAGGAAGTATTATCACTTTCATTTTAAAGTACAGGAATGTAACTCTCAGAAAAATTAAGTACATTAGCCCCCCCATATCCACAGATCAAAATATTTAGAAAAAAATGAACTAAAGTTAATACAATAAAAATACAAATTAAAACTACAGTATAACAATTCTATACCTAGCATTTACAATGCATTAAGTATTATAAGTATATGGGAGGACGTGCATAGGTTATACACAAATATTATGTAAAGGGCTTAAGCATTTACACATTTTGTTATCCATGAGGGTCTGGAACCAGTGCCCCATGGATACCAAGGGACAAAAGTAATGTGTCTACAGATGGTAAGTGGATGAACCCAGATTCAAACATAACTGTTAACTCTAAAATTTCACATCATGCATTAAGGTATAATCTATTTAAAACAGTATACATTAGACATTTTTTTTTCTTTTTTTTGGAGACGGAGCCTCGCTGTGTTGCCCAGGCTGGAGAACAGTGGCGTGATCTTGGCTCACTGCAACCTCCACCTGCTGGTTCAAGCGATTCTCCAGCCACAGCCTCCCGAGTAGCTGGGATTACAGGTGTGTGCCACCAAACCCAGCTAATTTTTTTTTTTTATTTTAGTAGAGATGGGGTTTCACCATGTTGGCCAGGATGGTCTTGATCTCCTGACCGCATAATCTGCCCACCTCAGCCCCCAAAGTGCTGGGATTACAGGCGTGACCCACCGTGCCCAGCCTTCCAGTTCTTTTTATCTTGAACTCCTCTCATAAATTACACCTCTGCCTCCCGGGTTCAAGCAATTCTCCTGCCTCAGCCTCCCGAGTAGCTGGGAGTACAGGCATGCACCACCATGCCCGGCTAATGTTTTGTATTTTTAGTAGAGATGGGGTTTCACCATGCTAGCCAGGCTGGTCTCAAACTCCTGACCTCGTGATCCTCCCGCCTCGGCTTCCCAAAGTGCTGAGATTACAGGTGTGAACCACCGCACCCAGCCCATTAGACATTATTTTAAACAACTATGACTGATCAATAGTAATCGTTATTTCACTGTCATATTTTCTTCATCTACAAAGAAGAAAAGAATGTTTTAAACAACTACGCCAAGTTAATATGGGAAATAACAGAAACAGTGGTATAATGTCATGAATAGATCATATTTGTCTTTGTATTTAAAGGAGAAATGGTAAATAAATTTTAGTTTAGGACTACTTTGTTCACCTCCGTTTAGCAAATTAATTACAAGGAAAATAATGTAATGATACATGCTTATGAAACAATCTCCCATGAGATTAATCAGTACACATTTATTCTTAGGGAATGAAAATTGAGCTTTTCTACGGGTTATTTTTTCAAAGCATTAATAAATAATCACTAAGAGAAATCTGCTGAAATTCAAAATGGGGCAAAAAACAGATATGAGTTAATGTCAGGAAAGTTTTTCATAAGCTAGCGGTTAGATAGCTATGAGTTTTCCCTATTTAATAGGACCCCGATATCTTCCAAATTAATATAATTTGTGGAATATTTCTAAATAGTAAAGTTACAGTGACAGAAAACTAAAGACACAAAGATTCTGTAATAACGGTTCTAGTATTACTCATAGGGTTTAGGTTATATTTCATGGTTATATATTAAATGTTTCTGTTCAAATATATTTGTCAACACAAATAAAAAATCAAGATTTTTAAAAAGAGAACTATGACAAAAAAGTGCAATGTTCCCAAGATTTCCTCAGAACTCCAATAAAGAAATGTATGCACAGCAAATAGAATATATACTGTGTCAAGATGAACTGAATAAATTAAAATAATTAGAACTAGTTAATGCTGAATAGAAAACTATAGCTAAAGGCTGGGCCTGGTGGCCAACGCCTGTAATCCCAGCACTTTGGGAGGCCGAGGCGGGTAGATCACCTGAGGTCAGGAGTTCAAGACCAGCCTGACCAACACGGAGAAACCTCATCTCTATTAAAAATACAAAATTAGCTGGGCATGGTGGCACACGCCTGTAATCCCAGCTACTTGGGAGGCTGAGGCAGGAGAATTGCTTGAACCTGGGAGATGGAGGTTACAGTGAGCCGAGATTGCGCCATTGCACTCCAGCCTGGGCAACAAGAGCGAAACTCCGTTTAAAAAAGAAAAGAAAACTATAGCTAAATAAGAACCAAACAATGCTTTTCTTGTGCTTTTGTCTAACAATGTATTTTTCTGTCCATATTATTTATAATTATTCAGATTCTGGCTTCCTGATGTATAAGGTATGTGTATATAATATGGACTGAACTACTGAATATACTCATTTACTTGACGAATAAAAAACTAAGTGCATACTATGGGTATTACGCTGGATACTAGGTGAGGCCTTGACAACTCCCAAAACTCACACACAAAAAACCACTTCTGTCTGATAGATAACATCCTAGTTTTGAAACGAGATCAATGTACAAAACACACAAATAAGTGTAAAAAGGTTCCAATAAAAGATACCTGACAATGCATTTCCATGAAGAGCCATCTTGATCATCTTGTTCTTCTATGTACATTCTGACATTGTGATCTTGATCCAATTGGTACCAGTACATGAGGCCATCTTTGTCTCGACCAATTGGCTGGAGACGCATAGTATCGGCATCCTCCTCATTAATAATATTCTTGAATTTGAGATTGTCATCAAACTGACACTCACAGAGGTACTGAAAAATAGTCATAACATGACTTAAAATACCTCACAAATATTTCTCCATCACAGTAAATATGATACAACCGTAGAATTGATTCAGGGAAAGCAGTGGACAGAACACAAATACTGTATTCCTTCTTTCACTATCCTCTTCCCACTTTCATACAAACTGTTTAGAATAGCCAATATTTTAAGATAACATTTTATATTAACACCATACCAATTTATAGGTTTAACACAACCACTGACACACAAATCAAGTTTTATTTCAAAAGGAATGAGCCCGTTTGCACTAAAAACTCCCAAATCATCTCATGGTATAAGATTTTCTGTTTTAGGCCAGGCACAGTGGCTGACACCTGTAATCCCAGCACTTTGGGAGGCCGAGGCAGGAGGATCGCTTGAGTCCAGGAGTTAAAGGCTAGCCTGGGCAACATGGTGAAACCCTGTCTCTACAAAAAATACAAAAATTGGCCAGGTATGGTGGTGCACGCCTACAGTCCCAGCTATTTAGGGGGCTGGGCTGGGAGGTTGAGGATGCGGTGAGCTGTGATCTCGCCACTGCACTCTGGCTTGGGCAACAGAGCAAGACCCTGTCTCAAAAAAAAATTTCTATTAAAAATGTTTCATTTTTTTTTTACATTTTCTTTATTTAAAATGACAAATAAAAATTGCATATATTTATGGTATACACCATGGTATTCTGATATATGTGTATAGTGTGGAATGGCTAAACCAAGCTAATAAACACATCTACTACCTAAGAATTTTTGGTGGTGAGAACATTTAAAATCTAGCCTCTTAGCAATTTTCAAATATATTATATATTGTTATTATCTATAGTCACCATGTTATACAACTGATCTCCTGAACTAATTCCTCCTGTCTGACTTTTTGTAGCTTGGGCCAATATCTCCCCAGTCTACCCTCACCTCCCTAATCCCTGGTAATCACCAATCTACTGTGATTCTATGAGTCTGACTCTTTTAGATTCCACATTAAGTAATATCATGGGGTATTTCTTTCAGTGCGTTGCTTATTTTACTTAACATAATGACCTCCAGGTTCAACCGTGTTGTCACGAAAGCAGGAATTTCCTTCTTTTCATTTTACATTCTTCTGTTGACGGACATTTAGAATGATCCTGTATCTTGGTTATTGTGATTAATGCTGCAGTGAACACAGGAGTGCAGATACCACTTCAAGAAACAAATTCTTCTTCCGTTGGATATATATCCAGCAGTAGGATGCTGAATCATATGGTAGTTCTATTTTGAATTTTTTGAGGAGCCTCCATGTTATTTTCCATAATAGCCGAACTAATTTACATTCTCACAATCAGCGTGCAAGGGTTCCCTTTTCTTTTTTCTTTTTTAAGACAGAGTTTCATTCTGTCACCAGGCTGGAGTGCAGTGGCGCGATCTCGGCTCACTGTAACCTCCGCCTCCTGGGTTCAAGAGATTCTCTTGCCTCAGCCTCCTGAGTAGCTGGGACTACAGGGGCGTGCCACCATGCCCAGCTAATTTTTGTATTTTTAGTAGAGACAGGGTTTCATCATGTTGGTCAGGATGGTCTTGATCTCTTAACCTCGTGATCCGCCTGCCTTGGCCTCCCAAAGTGCTGGGATTACAGGCATGAGCCACTGCACCTGGCCTCAAGGGTTCCCTTTTCTGTACATCTTTACCAAACTTGTTATCTCTTGTCTTGTCTTTTTGATAACAGCCATCCTAACAAGCATGAAGTGATACTCCACTGTGGTTTTAAAATGCATTACCCTGATAATTAGTGATATTGAGCATTTATTCATATTATCTGTTGGCCATTTCCTACGTCTTTTTCTGAGAAATGTCTACTGAAGTCCTTTGCCCATTTTTAAATCAGATTGTTTTCTTGCTGTTGCTTGAGTTCTTTATATGGTTTGAATATTGAACTCTTTTAGTAGTTTTATACTTTCGGGTCTATATGTAAGTCTTTAATCCACTAAGATAATTTGTGTATGGTGTAAGATAAGGGTCTAATTTCATTCTCCTGCATGTGGATGACCAGTTTTCCCAGCACCATTTATTGAATAGACTGTCCTTTGCACAGTGTGTAATCCTGATACCACCGTCAAAAAGCAACTGACCATCAATACATGAGTTTGTTTCTGGGCTTTCTATCCTGTTCCAGTGGTCGATATATCTGCTTTTTACCAGTACCATGTTGTTCTGATTACTATAACTCAGTAGATTTTTGAGATCAGGTAGTATGATGCCTCCAGTTTTGTTCTTCTGGCTCAAGACTGCTTTAGTTACTCAGGTTCCTGTGGTTCCATATGAATTTTAGGGTTGTGTTTTATTTCTGTGAACAATGCCATTGGAATTTGATAGGGACTGCGTTGAATCTGTAGATCACTTTGGGTAGTACGGACATCTTAACAAGATTAATTCTTTTAATCCATGAACACAGGACATCTTTTCATTTGTCTTTTCTTTCATAATGTTTTGTAGTTTTCAGTATAGAGATCTTTTACCTCTTTGGTCAAATTTACTCCTAAATATTTTATTTTTTGATGCTATTGTAATGAATTGGTTTTTATAATTTCTTTTTTGGATTGTCTGTGATTTATGAGTAGAAACACTTCTAATTTTTGTATATTGATTTTATATCTCGCAATTTTACTGAATTCATTTATTAGTTCTAATAGTCTGTTGGTAGAGTCTTTAGGATTTTTTATACATAAAATCATGTCATCTGCAAACAGTCACAATTTAACTTCTTCCTTTCCAATTCAGATGACTTATTTCTTTTTGTACCTAACTGTTCTGGCTACGACTTCCAGTACTATGTTGAATGTAAGTGGCAAGTGGGTGTCCTTGTCTTGCTCCTGATGTTAAAGGAAAAGCTTTCAGTTTTTCACTGTTGGGTACATGTAAGCTGAGGGGTTGTATTATATGGCCTTTACTGCACTGATACATATTCTTTTCACACCTAATTTGTTGAGAGTTTTTATCATGAAAGCAAAGTTGAATTTTCTCAAATGTTTTTTCTGCATATACTCATATGATCATATAATATTTGTCCTTCATTCTCTTAATGTGGAGCATCACAACTTTATTTAGTTAATTAATTAATTAATTTTTTGAGACAGAGTCTTGCTCTGTCACCCAGGCTAGAGTGCAGTGGTGTGGTCACAGCTCACTGCAACCTCTGCCTCCCGAGCTCAAGCAATTCTCTTGCCTCAGCCTCCCTAGTAGTTGGAATTACAGATATGTGCCACTATGCCCAGCTGATTTTTGTACTTTTAGTAGAGATGTGGTTTCACCATGTTGGCCAGGCTGGTCCTGAACTCCTGACCTCTACTGATCCATCCGCCTCAGCCTCCCAAAGTGCTGGGATTACAGGCGTGAGCCACCCCGCCTGGCTTATTTATTTTTTAAAGACAAGAGTCTCACTCTGTTACCCAGGCTGAAGTGCAGTGGCACGATCACAGCTCAAGCAATCCTCTGCCTCAATCTCCCCAGCAGCTAGGTCTACAGGTACACGCCACAACACCCAGCTAGCTAGCTTTTTAAAATATTTTACAGAGAAGTGATCTCGCTATGTTGCCCAGGCTGGTGTTGAACTCCTGGGCTAAAGTGATTCTCTTGCCTCAGCTTCCCAAAGTGCTGGGATTACAGGTGTGAGCCACTGTACCTGGCCATGTATCACATTTATTGATTTGCATAGGATGAACAATCCTTGCATTCTGGGATAAATCCCACTTGATCATGGTGAATGATCTCATTTATGTGCTATTAAATTTGGCTGCTAGTATTTTGTTAAGGATTTTTGCATCTGTGTTCATTGGGAATATTACTTTTCTTATAGTGTTTGTGTCCAGTTTTGGGATCAGTATAATGCTGGCCTTCTAAAATTAGTCTGGAAGTATTTTCTCCTCTTCAGCTTTTTAGAAGACATTGAGAAGGACTACTATTAGTTATTCTTTAAATGTTTGGTAGAATTCAGCTGTGAAGCCATCATACCCTGGGCTTTTCTCTGATGGGACATTTTTTACTACTGGTTCAATTTTCTTACTTGTTATTAGTCTGTTCAGATTTTCTATTTCTTCGTAATTCAGTCTTAGTAAGATACATGCTTCTAGTATATATCCATTTTTTTCTATATAATCCAAACAATTGTTCATAGTTGTTTCTATGATCCTTTGTATTTCTGTGGTATTGGTTATAATGTCTCCACTTTAATTTCTGATTTAAGTCTTCTCTCTTTCTTAGCCTAGCTAAAGGTTGTCAGTTTTGTTTATCTTCTCAAAAACCAACTCTTAGTTTTGTTTATCTTTTCTACTGTTTTTTTCTAGTCTCTATTTCATTTAATTTTACTCATATCTTGGTTATCTTCTTCCTTCTACTGAGTTTGGGTTTAGTTCGTTCTTCTAGTTTCTTGCAGTGTAACATTAGGTTGTTATTTGAGATCTTTCTTCTTTTTTAATATGGCCATCGATTGCTATGAACTTCCCTCTTAGATTTGCTTTTGCTGCATTTTGTAAGTTCTGGCATGTTGACTTTCCATTTTCATTTCTCTCAAGAGTTTTAAAATTTCCTTTTGGATTTTTTTTTAACATGTTGGTTATTCAGTAGTCATGGTATAAAACTTTCAATAATTCTTTCTCTCTTCCAGGTTTTAGGTGAACATTATTCTTAAAGGACTATCTATTTTTGAAAGCCTGAGACATATGCAGTTTTCAAGGAAGGTAGATTTTCATTGATAGCTGGCTCTGGAGAATTCTCTTAATAAAAAGATATTCACATACTAGATTGGAAGAACTAACTAACTTTTTGTTATGTATTTTGTATGATTAGGGTATAAGTCAGATTTCTTCCTATCTCTGCCCGGGCAGACAACACATTAAGTTACTTCCTATTATAGCCCTTATGCCTTTGCCTATGTCAGCTATCCCAATGGTCTCTAAACATTTTTGATCAAGCATCCTTACTACTAAAAAAATTTGTAACACACCCTGAAAAGTTATATGTATTATATCCACTTTCTTATGTATTTACATAATAAATACATAGTATACACACTAATATATAATGTATGTAATACTAAAGTATTACATACTTTTCAGTAGCATCCCCCTAACCTAGAGGTCAGTATGTATACTAAAGTATTACATACATTATAGGAATGCACAAAAAGGTATTTCAAAAATTGGGATTAATAAAAGTTATGAGTATAATTTCTATAACTTTGACTCGCAAGGAATCACAATTACCCCCTTGGGACCACAAGCTGGTCTAGAGACAGATGAACCTGCATGATTGTACACCCTGAAATCTGAGCTTACTATGACATTTGGTTTTCTGAGACAGGTATCTTTTGGATCTTGAAGACTTCTGTGTAGGCTCCAACAGCAATCAACATCTAACAGCAAAATAACACCTACTCTATAGTCTTATCTAGCTCCAAAATAGTAATATGTATATTGACATTATATTTTAAGGTTCATCATAAAATCTTGAGGTCTTTTGAATAAGAAGCCTACTTACAAAACATTATAAATTTTAGAAGTAGCAAAAACTTCATTAATGTTTTCACAAAGAATATTTTTTCTCCTCTACTATGCTGGCCACTTTGCTACTAATTAGGGCCAACAGTAGGAAGTGGGCAGGAAAAGAAAGGAAAACTCAAACTTGTAAAAAAGCCTACTTTGAGATGACCCATTTAAATCAAGTTGGTTTGGTTATGTGAGGGTTTTAAGTACGAAATGACATGCTCCTAGTCATCCAGAAAACAGTATCAAATTGCTAATTTAGTAAATCGGTAAAAAATTATCCACAGTTTACAGTATATAGTAATGATTGTGAAGGCTGAAAACAATGAATAAAACTAATTTGGAGCAACTGCTTGCCCATGTTATTACTGTCCCTACAAGAAGAGATAATTAAACCTAGATATATTTATGCATCAAAAAACAGCACTTTAAAGAATAGATTGTCACTAAAAAATAGACTCCATTGTCCTCTTCTGCTAATAATAAAAATGTCTACTTTTTGTTTATTTTCCAATTTAACCAGGAGTCAAAAGTTAAATTTTAAATTAAAATAACTGTAACAAATAATAGATTTATTACCTTTAAGAGTGCTAGTTTGCATTCAACACTCATTTCAAGATAGCCCTTCTTCTCCATCTCCCATGCCCAGGTACTGTTAAACTCTTGGCATATCTGTCAGATAAAGTTAATATCTTAATACATGAAAGCAATTTTTATTTATGTTTGCAGGCTTGTACAACTATGCTGTTCTTGTTAATACATGTTTATAAAGGAAAGAGGTTACACTAAACAGTCCAATCCAACTGCACCCTAAAATGCATACTACTTAAAATGATAAAAAATATTTACTATTGTTTGATAACTGAATTTAAGGTAAGAAGGGATCTCTGTAGCTCTCTCCTCTGCTATCAAGAACTTTATACATACTTTATAGACACATTTTCCCGCATGAGAGTAATTGTTTGATTCCATCTCTCCAAATGGCTGGAAGTTCCTTTAGGGCAATGACAAAAATTTATTCATCTTTTTGCCTAGGACAGAATTAGTTCAAAAAACATGCCAAATTCTACACATACTTTTAACCACGCCTCTCTTGAACTCATTGTTCTACTATTTAGGAGTAAAGTTAAAATTCCATTCTTGGCATATGAAAACTTATGTAACTTGGCTTTAAGATAAATGTCTAGGCTTCTCTTTCTACACAAGCATTTCAGGCAAACCAGAGCCACTGTAACAGACCAAAGAAAGAAGATCTGAATAACCACTGCATTTCAAAGCCAGTGCAAGAAACTTTCTCTCATTTCAGCAGCATCACCCTAAACTAGAGGTCAGAGGAAGCCAGTAAGGGAGGTTAACACAGTGAAATGCAAATGGGTTCTATGACCTCTGTGAGCTAGTTTTTTCAGCAATAAAACTGGAACATTAATAATATTATCTTAAAGGCCAAAGAGTAGGCAAAAAATGATACAAAATGCCAGCAATTTCACGTATTTCTTGCAATTCAAGGAGCAAAGAGCATAACGAGGGCCAAAGGAGAAGAACCAACACAAGGCAAGAGATTAACCTGGAGTACAGGGAATGGGGTAGACAGGAGAAAAACAAGCCAGCTCTCTCAGGTGGGTTACCCTTTTCCTAGCCTGCACTAGTGTCATAGTGTCATCTCTTTTCATCGATTTGTGCAATAAAATAATAGATTAGTATTAATATAGAAAAAGAATACAAAACAAGCAGTATGGCCAGGAACAATATAATAGAGGATCTTTTTTTTTTTTCTTTTTTTTTTTTTGGAGATAGGTCTCACTCTGTTACCCAGGGTAGAGTACAGGGACACGATCACAGCTCACTGCAACCTTGACCCCCTGGGCTCAGGTGATCCTCCCACCTCAGCCACCCGAGAAGCTGGGGCTATAGCCGTGTGCCACCACACCTGGCTGATTTTTGTACTTTTTGTAGAGACGGGGTTTCTTCATGTTGCCAAGATGGACAATGGACAGTTTAAAGACTCACAGGAAGCATGAGTTTCCCATTCCCTAGAATATATTACTTCCTCTGGCTGACAGTGTTACGTTTTTCAGAGAGAAAAAAAAGGATATACAGAAAAAGGGAAAAATATAAATATTACATGAGGAAGACCCTAAAGTGATTATATCAAAAGCTAAAATGTCAGAATCTGAATAGACATTTTACCACAATGAGAAAGATAATAATAAATGTTGGTTGACGATACGGAAAAATTTGAATGCTCACAGGTTGTTACTGGGAATGTAAAATGGTGCAGTTGCCTTGGAAAACAGCTTGGCAATTCCTAAAATGTTAATATTTAGCTACCATATGACTTAGCCATTACACTCCTAAGTATTTACACAAGAAAGAGGAAAACGTACGTCTACACAAAAACTTGTATACAAATGTTCCTCGCAGTATTATTCACAACTGCCAAAAGGTGGAAGCAACCCAAATGTCCACTAACAGGTGAATGGATAAACTGTGGCACACCACACAATGGAATTTTATGTAAGCATAAAAAGAAATGAGGTAATAATATACTATAGCATAGACAAGGCTTGAAAACATGTTAAGTGAAAGAAACCAGACACAAAAGGCCACATATTGCATGATTCCATGTATATGAAGTGTCCAGAATAGTCAAATCCATACAGATAAAAGTAGATTAGCAGTTCCCAGTGGGTAGGGGAAGGAAGGAATGGGAAGTGACTGCTGATGGGTAGGCAATTTCTTTTTAGAGTAATAAAAGTGTTCTCAAATTAAGATAATGATGATGGTTGTATATTCCCTGTAAATATGTTAATAAACACTAAATTGTTTAAACGGTAAATTTTCTGGTATGTGAATATCTCAAATTTAAAAAAAAGAAAGACAGAGAGACAATCAACAATGCAGAGTCCAGCTATGACCTGAATGAAGCACTTATTGAGTGCTCGGTTGAGTACCAAGTCCCTAGAAGAAGATAACGTTGGCTGACTATCCCAGAGGCTAATGCCAAGTATGGGGAAGCTCATCCTTAGTATCTGAGAGGTGAAAAACGACATAGCTCCAAAGTTTGGCCAACAAACCAGATATGGAAGCACAGCCAATGGCTCACAGTGTCACAAATTCCAAAAACAACAACTACTGATTCGCATCTATGTGTAAAAGGGGAGGATAAAAAAAGAGAAATGGATATAAAGATGATAAAAATCCTTTGCCCCCACACTGTTTAACTTAAATTTACTGACCTTTATTTATAACATTTAGGGTACATTTGTTTTGCAGATTTCAAAGATAAATTTACTACTCATTTTGTATTTCTGAGACGGAGTCTCACTCTGTCGCCCAGGCTGGAGTGCAGTGGTGCGATCTCGGCTCACTGCAACCTCTGCCTCCCAGGTTCAAGAGATTCTCCTGCCTCAGCCTCCCGAGTAGCTGAGACTACAGGCGCCCACCACCATGCCTGGCTAATTTTTGTATTTTTGGTAGAGACGAGGTTTCACCATATTGGCCAGGCTGGTCTCGAATTCCTGACCTTGCGATTCGCCTGGCTTGGCATCCCCAAGTGCTGGGATTACAGGTGTGAGCCACATGCCCGGCCCATTTTGTATTTCTTTAAGGGCAATTTAGACATACTGCTGTGCCATTTGATGTTAAAAAAAAAAAAATCCACTAATTAGCTATGCACAAAACAGCTATAACCTACTGTTACCACAAAATGAACACTGCAAATAAAACTTGCAAATAAAAAGATTATTCAAAAAGACATCTAAATAATTCTTATGCAAAACTATTTAATCTACACCCGGGGTAAGCAAGTTTTTCCTCAAGGCCCAAACAAGAAATAATTTAGGCACTATAGGCCATAGAGTCTCTCTTGTATCTATTCAAACCTACTATCATGGTGCAAAATCAGCCATAGAATATACATAAATGAACAGGCATGGCTGTATTCCCGTAACACTTTGTTTATGGATAATGAAATTTGAATTTCATAGAATTTTTACATGTCACCAAATATTATTCTTCTTTTGAGTTTTTCTCCCAATCATCTAAATATGTAAAAACCATTCTTAGCTTTTTGAGACAGGTACCAGGCAGGATGTGGCTCATGAGCTATAATCTGCCTAGGGAGCCAGAAATTAGCTGTGTCTATCAGAGACTGTCTATAACGGTGAATTCTTGGGTCCTGGAAGCAACCAGATCCTAATTACATTGGTAATTCATATTAATTCCCCATGCTCCAACTTGTTTCTGACCAAGAAGCGTTATAATTATAATTTGGTTTTACATGCAATTTCTCTTGAGGGAGAGAATGTTCTAATATCTAAAACATGAACAATTTGACATAACATTCGTACCTATTATCACCATAAATCATTATTCTATAATACTTGTTCTTTGTTTGATTATCTATAAATCTAGCTGATAGGTCAGGTCCTATTGCGTTCTCCTGCTTGGTGCCTGAGGGACAACCATTCTCCTGACACAACACCAGAATCAATGTTTGGTGCCTGCAAGGGTGAAAGTCAAATATTTGGCCAGGGAGGCATCCTGGCCACCAGTCTACTGCCATTCCAATACCCCTTACATCTTTTCCTCCTAACCTCTACATACAGGTAAACAAAGTGGAGGATGAGGATGGAAAATGTTGGGCAGAGGAAAGGAAGGGAGCTTTTTTAAAGGTTCCGTATCAGCTCAATATATATAGGAAAGGTGACTTCACATGCCTACAGAGCAAATACATAGACTTTATCTCAGTGGGATCATTAACTTATTTATCTTGGATTTACATAAACAATCAAAGTAACAATAATTCTTTTGGATAACTCATAAGAAATTTAAAAAGAGGGTGTGAAATGGCTTCTAAGAGCCTAAGATCTCATCCCTGGGGGCAGCTAGCCCCACTTAAGTTCCAGTCTGGAAAAACCCAAGGCTCTCAAAGGAATTTACTTCTGATTCCAGCCAACATCTGAAGACAGGTCGCAGACCTCCCCTTCCCATTTATTAAACAAATTTAAAATTGTAAATCCTTCTTCTGTCCCCTTGAGATGCATATGTATTTCCTAAGACCCAGAATATCTTTCTGAAGGACCTGAAGGCCATTCCTTTGAAATATAACCAACAGACAGGGCCTCGGTCTACCAGTCTCTGTGAGAGGGCAGATGCCTAATTTCCATTAATGCTACTTAGAAGACAGAAATGACATAATCACAGAAGGTCAACAACGCTCTTAGCTTCTTTTTAAATTTTTCACTTCCATAACTTGACTAAAGCTCCCCCATTCCTCCCACTCCTCTCCCTATTCCCTCTTTCTCCTTTATAAACACCCAGTCACCTCTGCACAAATTCGAACACAGCACAGCTCCTTCCTGTACTGCGATAGTTACTGAATAAAATCTGTCTTTATCAGCTTTAACTAGTGTCAGGCTTTATCTTTCACAAGAGGAATCCTTGGAGATCATTTAGATCCAAATCCTTATTTTACAATTGAGAAACATAAAGTTGAAAGAGATTCACTTAACCAGTGACTCCACAAATATTACTATGTGCAGACTATATGGCAGTAACTAGTCTAGGAGCTCAGATACCATGGTGAAAAAGACAACCCATTCAAACTGATACAGGAGATAGAAAGAAATTATTTAGACAGACAGCGAGGGCAAAAGTCCTCAGCAGAACTTCCCTTCTAACAAAAAGCAGCCCAAGAAGTTATTTATTTTTCTAATAAAGAGCAGCCTGAAAAATCGAGCTGCAAACATAAATATGGAAGCTGAAAGGTTGCAAGGTGGAATGCTGGCAGCTGTGCCAATAGAAAAGGGCTACCTGGGGGCCAGGCATGTCCACCATGGACACTCCATCTTCCCTTTTTTGTTAGCACGTATACGGTAAGAAAGAAAGGGGGAACATGGCACAGCTCAGGCTGAAAATCCGCCTGCATAATAAAAGACTAAGGTGGGGGATGCCAGAAATTCGCTCCTATGCGAACGGCACACCTATTCTTAACTGTTTTTTCACGCCCGCCCTATGTAGATTAGACACCACCTCCCCATCAATTCATCTATAAAACCCCTTGCATTTCACCATGGAATGGCAATCCATTTTTCTGGGACCCCTCTCTGTAGCTGAGAGCTATTCTCTCTTTTGCCTATTAAACTTCCACTCTTAACCTCACTCTCTGTGTATCTGAGTCCTTGATGTCCCTGGCTGTGAGACAATAAACCTTGGATGTCGCCCCAGATGAGGTCGCAAACTGTCAGAGGTACTGAACCAGGGCAGCTTCATCTTGAATAGGGGCTGAGTAACATAAGACTGAGACCTACTGGGCTGCATTCCCAGGAGGTTAAAGCATTCTAAGTCACAGGATGAGATAGGAAGTCGGCACAAGATAAAGGTCATAAAGACCTTGCTGATAAAACAGGTTGCAGTAAAGAAGCCACCCCAAACCCCCCAAAACCAGGATGGCCACAAGAATGACCTATGGTTGTCCTCACTGCTACATTCCCACCAGCACCAAAACAGTCTACAAATGCGATGGCAACACCAGGAACAATTTTTACCCTATATGGTCTAAAAATGAGAGGCATGAATAATCCACCCTTTGTTTAGCATATAATCAAGAAATAACCATAAAAATGGGCAAGCAGCAGCCCTCAAGGCTGCTCTGCCTATGGAGTAGCCATTCTTTTATTCCTTTATTTCTTAATAAACTTGCTTTCATTTTACCTTATAGATTTGCCTCGAATTCTTTCTTGTGCAAGCTCCAAGAACACTCTCTTGGGGTCTGGATTGGGACCTCTTTCTGGTAACAAAATCGCCTTTGCAAAAATTATACTAGCGAAAAAATTATGACAATGGGGGAGATCTAATCTAGCCAACTCCCATCTTGCCTTTAATCTGCCCTTAATTATTCCTGGGCTTAAACTTTGGGAGACATTTAGTTTACAATTTAAATGACAATGGCCCTTCCCCAAAACTCAACTGCCTTTGTAAAGCTAATGAGACACCACTAGGCTAGGAGGATAGAGGAGCCTGAACTGGCTAAGGTGTGCAAACTTGTCCAACGCGTGGCCCACAACAGGACGGTTTTAAATGAGGCCCAATACAAATCTGTAAACTTTCTTAAAACATGAGAATTTTTGTGATTTTTAAAAGCACATCAGCTATCATTCATGTTAGTGTATTTTATGTGTGCCCCAAGGTAACTCCTCTTCTTCCAATGTGGCCCACAGAAGCCAAAAGATTGGACTCCCCTGGTAGAGGTAAAGGATTGCCAGCCATTATTCAGAAGGTAACAAGACATGCAACTTCTCCAATTATTCCTGCAGATAACATCACTATTGTACAACCTAAGATTGGCCTTTTAAGAGGTCTTTCCAGGTTTGTTGTATGTCTGATAACCAGTGGCTCCACGTGGACCTGCCAATCTGTGGCCCCACCCAGCAACGACCAAGTATGCAGGAAGACCATTTCTCTTGCACCCCCAACCAATAAGCAGTAAGCACCCATTGCCTAGCCACCCAACTCCTTCCCCTAAACTGTGTTTGAAAAACCCTAGCCCCCAAATGCTAGAGGAGACTAATTTGAATAATAATTATGACTCTGGTCTTCCCTTTAGATGATTCTATCTTGGTAAAACTCTTCCACTATTGCAATTCAGCTGCTCTACATGGGCAGGGGGCATTGATTGGGTAGTTCTACCATCATGATGGAGGTTATATCCTATGAGGCAGTCAAACAGGAAAACTAGTAAGAAAATATCAAGCACTAAAAATAATATGCTGAAAATAAAAAAGAGTAATGTGATACAGAAAGTTTAAGTACTACTCTGGATCGGGTGCTTACTGACAGCCTCAATAAAAAGTTGACATTTGAGACTGGGGTAGGTGACTCATGCCTGTAATCCCAACACTTTGGGAGGCTGAGGTAGGAGGATCACTTGAACCCAGGAGTTTGAGACCAGCCTGGGTAATGTAGGGAGACTCTGTGTCTACTAAAAATTTTAAAAATTAGGGCTTGGTATGTGGTGATTCACTCCTGTAATCCCAGCACACTGAGAGACCAAGGCAGGAGGATTGCTTGAGCCCAGGAGTTTGAGACCAGCCTGGGCAACATGGCAAAACCCTGTCTCTACAAAAAATTAGCCAGGCATGGTGGTGCAGGCCTGTAGTCCCAGCTAAGGTTGTGGGGTGGGGGTGAGGGGGTGGGGCTGAGGCAGAAGCCAGGGAGATGGTGGCTGCAGTGAGCTGAGGTCACACCACTGCACTCCAGTCTAGGTGACAGTGAGACCCTGTGTCGAAAAAAAAGAAAACCCCCAAAAAACAAAAACTAAAACTAACAGAATTAGCCAGGTATGGTGGCTCATGTGTGTAGTCCCAGCCTGGTATAGCGGTACACATCTATAATCCTAGCTACTAGGGAGGCTGAGGCAGGAGGATTGCTTGAGCCCAGGAAGTCAAGGTTGCAGTGATCCAAGATCTTGCCACTGCACTCCAGCCTGGTTGCCACAGTGAGACCCTGTCTCAAAAAACAAAAAAGACCAGTGTAAATTAACTAGACTAAGGAGGAAAGTGGCAAAAGATATGGTAAAATAGGTAACCAAAGGCCAAATTATGTAGGTTAGGGTAAGGAATTAAGATTCTATTTCAAATATGATGGGATATCACTAAAGGATTTTAAATAAGGGGAAAATAGTATGATCTGATTAATGCTTCATTTGAAATCATGGCTGCTATGTAGAAAATGGATTGCAGAGGAGCAAGAAGGGGAAACTAGGAAACCAACCTGAAGGCCAATGGTGGCATGCATTATGAGGGTAGTGGGGATCAGAGAGAAGTAAGCTGTGGTTTGGAGGTAGAATTATCAGGACAGCTGATGGAACAGATGTGGAGGGTGAATGGAAAGAAAAATCAAGGGTGACCCCTGGATTTATCAAGGTTCCTTGGCTTGAACAAACAGGAAAAATGCTTTTAACTAAGGTATTAAAATTGGGAGAAGGAAGTTAATGAGAGATTTGTTTGTACATAAAGATGATGGTATGTATCAGACATCTAAGAAATGTGTTGCTGAAAGTCATTCAGAGATCTTCTGACTGGGTCACATTGTCTTTACTCAAACCTTTCAAATCTGAATCAAGAAGATTTTTTTTTTTTTGAGATAGAGTCTTGCTCTGTTGCCCAGGCTGGAGTGCCATGGAGTGATCTCAGCTCACTGCAACCTCTGCCCCCCAGGTTCAAGCAATTCTTCTGCCTCAGCCTCCCGAGTAGCTGGGACTACAGGTACGCGCCACCATGCCTGGCTAATTTTTGTATTTTTAGTAGAGATGGGGTTTCACCATGTTGGCCAGGCTAGTCTTGAACTCCTGACCTCGTGATCCGCCTGCCCTGGCCTCTGAAAGTGCTGGGATTACCGGTGTGAAGAAGAACTTAATAGCTGAGCTCTGGGAAGTGAAGAGCTGCATCTTACTCATATTCATATCCCTTGACAAAGTTTGAGACAAAGAGCAAGTACAAAACAAACATGATGAGTATATGAAAGACATACAAAGGTATTGTTTTTATCTTAATTAAACAAAAATTATCTTAACAATAATTTCTTTAGGTAACATAACACATCCTAAAGAAACTTTTCAGGCCAGGCGTGGTGGCTCACACCTGTAATCCCAGCACTTTGGGAGTGCAAGGCGGGCAGATCACCTGAGGTTGGGAGTTTGAGACCAGCCTGACCAACACGGAGAAACCCTGTCTCAGCTAAAAATACAAAATTAGCTGGGCATGGTGGCACATGCTTGTAATCCCCAGCTACTAGGGAGGCTGAGGCAGGAGAGTCCCTTGAACCCAGGAGGCAGAGGTTGCAGTGAGCTGAGATCATGCCATTGCACTCCAGCTTGGGCAACAAGAGCAAAACTCTGTCTCAAAAAAAAAAAAAAAAAAGAAAAACTTTTCAATTCTTACTACAATAATAACATTTTTTGCATATTTACTATGTGCCAAATACTATTTTAAGTACTTTAAAATATTAACTCAGTAAATTCTCATAACAACCTTTTCAGTAATTCCACAAACATTTACTATGTGCCGACTATGTGGCCGGAACTAGACAAACGCTCGGATACCATGGTGAAGAAGACAACCTGTCATCATGGAGGTAGTAAAATGGGTAAACTAGTAAGAAAATATCAAGAGGTGAAAATGCTACACTGAAAATAAAATAATAACATGATAAAGAAAATTCTCTAACAACCCTTAGATTGAAAGTAATGTTAACCTCAGGAGGAAAGTACGGCAAAGTGGGTATGTGCTTTACTTAAAGAATGAGAGAAATAGCAATTGCAGTAATTATTCTGGAGGACTGAAACATTTATGGAACAGAGCTATGAGACATATCCCGCTTTAAATATTGGAAGGGCAAAGATGGATTAAAAGACAGTCTCTGCTCCAAGAATTTCAGAATCCAGAGAGGAAGAGACAATCGTAAACAAATAATTATCAGGGGAAAAGCAGTCAGTGAGTTATCTACAAAGTGAGTAACTGACACAGCTATGAAGTACTATGAAAACAGAGAGGAAACACTAACTCAAGCCAAGGGGTGAAGGGAAACCAAGGAAACTTTTCTTCAGGTGGTGACATCTGTGCTAGGACCAGAAGGATGAATGAGGTTTTAGTGGATAAGGAGGTAAAGCTCATTTGAGAAAGAAAAAAACTATGTTTTTTAAAGGAGAGATGTGAATGATTATGGCATGTTCTGTCAAGGTGGAGTTGAATACAGTTCTTTATGCTAGAGCCCTAGCATAAAGGCTAGCATAAAGCCCTGGCATAAAGGTTTTTGGGATTGGCAATGGACAGAGACAAGACCATGAAGGAAGACAGTGAGCAGGTCTGTGAAAGTGGGTCATGGCTAGTAAATATGGCGACCCAATGAGGCTCTGGAGGCACTAACAGCAAATAGTCTTGGGGCCAAGCACGGTGGCTCACACCTGTAATCCCAGCACTTTGGGAGGCCAAGGCGGGTGGATCACGAGGTCAGGAGATCGAGACCATCCTGGCCAACATGGTGAAACCCCGTCTCTACTAAAAATACAAAAATTGGTTGGGCGAGGTGGTGCATGCCTGTAATCCCAGCTACTTGGGAGGCCAAGGCAGGAGAATCGCTTGAACCCGGGAAGCGGAGGTTGCAGTGAGCCAAGACTGTGCCACTGCACTCCAACCTGGCGACAGAGCGAAACTCCGTCTCAAAAAAAGAAGAAAAAAAAAGAAAAAAGAAAACAGTCCTGCTGGCACTGCAGGACAGATAGGAGCACAGATTCTAATGTCAAGGAGAACAACTAAAGCCAGTTGTAATAATTCAAAGGAAAGGTAATGAAGCTTGAGCTACGCTGTGGCAGAGGATATTCAAGAGAAGTCAGATTCAGGCTAAGCGTGGTGGCTCATGCTTGTAATCTCAGCACTCTGGAAGGCTGGGAGATTACTTGAGCTCAGGAGTTCAAGATCAGCCTGGACAACATAGTGAGACACTGTCTCTAAAATTAAAAATTAAAAAATTAGCCAGGTGTGGTAGCGTGAGTCTGTAGTTCCGGCTACTGGGGAGGCTGAAGTAAGTGGAAGGATCACTCAGACCAGGGGACCAAGGCTGCAGTGAGCTGTGACTGCGCCACTGCACTCTAGACTGGGCGACAGAGGGAGATCCAGTCTCAGAAGAAAAAAAAAAAAAAAAGAAGGTAGATTCAGATTGTACATGTATCTTAGGAAAGCAATAACAAGTCTACATGGTTTTACCACTCACAAAAGAACTTTCACATATTCCATTTTTAAGCGGATATCCAGTAAAACCACAAGACTTCTGAAAAAAGTCCAATTCATCTTTCTTTTATATTATACATAAGATTTCTGTTCAATGCAAAATCCATCCATCTGTTGATGAACACAGGTTGTTTCTACCTTTTGGCTACAGTGAATAATGCTGCAATAAACACTGGCATACAAAGATCTGCTTGAGTCCCTGCTCTGGAGTAATTATATATGTAGAAGTGGAATTGCTAGGTCATATGGCAATTCTGATGAGCTTTATGAGGAACTGCCAAACTCCCTTCCATAGCAGCTGTACCATATTACACTCTCACGAAGAATTTAGGAGAGTTCCAATTTCTCCACAAATTCACCACACTTACTTTCCTTTTTAAAAAAAATAGCCATCCTGTTAGGTATAAAGTGGTATTTTACGGTTTTGAATCACATTTCCCCAAGGACAAATGATGATGAACTTCTTCTCATATGCTTTTTGATCTTTGTGTATCTTCTTTGAAGAAATGTCTATTAAAAATTTTGCCATTTGGGTTGTCTTTATGTTGTTGAGTTTTAGGAGCTCCTTATATGTATTCCAAATATTAAATGCTTATCAGTTATATGATTTGCAATACGTGCAATTTGCAATATAACTTCTTCCATTCTGTAGGCTGTCTTTTCACTTTCTTCATAATGTCCTTTGATGTACAAATGTTTTAAAATTTGACAAAGTCTAACTAATCTATTTTTTATGTTGTTGCTCAGTCTTCTGGTTTTCTATCTAAGAATCCATTGCCAGATCCAAGGTCATGAAGATTTCCCTTTATTTTTTTCTAAGAGTTTCATGATTTAGCCCTTATATTTAGGTTGTTGATCTATTTTCAGTGAATTTTTCTATATGATATGAAACAGTGTATCCACTGTATTTTGCAAGCTGTCATAGTTCAACAAATAAGTATTTTATACTATAGGCAACAGTCAAAAGATATTTGTAAAATACCACAAACCAGGTGCAGTGGCTCACACCTGTAATCCCAACACTTTGGGAGGCCAAGGCAGGAGGATCACTTGAGCCCAGGAGTTTGAGATCGGCCTGGGCAATGTGGCGAGATGCCACCTCTACAAAAAATAAAAAATTTTAGCTTGGCATTGTAAAAGTTTTATGAAAATGCTAAGGCTGGGCGTAGCGGCTCACACCTGTAATCCCAGCATTTTGGGAGGCCAAGGCGGGCAGATCACGAGGTCAAGAGATCTCTCGAGACCATCCTGCCCAACATGGTGAAACCCCGTCTTTACTAAAAATACAAAAATTAGCCAGGCATGGTGGCGTGTGCCTGTAATCCCAACTACTCAGGAGGCTGAGGCAGGAGAATCGCTTAAATCCAGGAGGCGGAGGTTGCAGTGAGCCGAGATTGTGCCACTGCACTCACTCCAGCCTGGCGAAAAAGCAAGACTCCATCTCAAAAAGAAAAAGAAAATCCTTTGCAATATATAAAGCATTAAGCATTCATGCTCTATCAGACAAGCCTGTGTTCAATCCTTGCTTCACCATCTGGTGTCTATGTGACTTTGGGAGTAATTCACCATTCTATGATCCAGGTTGTGGTGAGAATTAAATGGTGATGCATGTTAAAAAAAAAAAAAAAAAAGCATAGCACTGAGTTTATAATAAGCTGTCAAATGTTATCTATTATCATTATTATTAAAAAGTTATAAAGAAACTGGAAACCTCATAAATTGCTATGAATACAACATAAATTGCTATGGTACAGCCGCTATGGAAAACAGTTTGGCAGGTCCTTAAAAAGTTAAACACAGAATTACCATATGACCTAACAATTCTACTCCTAGTTATATACAGGAGAGAAGTGAAAATACGTGTTCACAGAAAAACTTGTACACAAATGTCCATAGCAGCATTATTCCTAATAGACAACAAAGTGGGAAACAAGCAAATGTCCATCAACTGATGATGGATACATAAAAGATGCTATTATCCATATAATGGATGAGTATTTGGCAATAAAAAGGAATGAGATGATACATGATACAATGTACATAAACCTGGAAATCATTATACTAATACTAAGTGAAAGAAAATACAAAAGACCACATATTTTATGATTCCATTTATAAGAAATGTCCAGAGTAGGCAAATCCATACAGATGGATACAGGGGAAAAGGTGGGTGTGATTGATACTGATTGATAACAGATACAAGGCTTCTTACTGAGATGTTAGAAAAGTTCTGGAATTAGTGGTTATGTTTGCACAACATAGTGAATACACTAAAAACCAATGAACTGTACACTTCAAAATGGTGAATTTTATCTTATGTGAATTATATCTCAATAAAAAACACAAAATACTAACAATGCATATAAAAATTAAGAGTGTTAATCTTAATTTACTTTTGAGAAATACAACAGTAAAGGAACATCTAGTTCTTGTCAAAATACAACCTAATTATCAAATGACAAAAGGTGACCTTTATGATTTGTTAACAGATGACAATGGGCCTTTCTGAAATTGCTGTTTAGATCAAGGCCATCTATTGCCAAATTTATTCATTTTCAAGGGATTTCTAAACCTAATACTAGGTACTTTACTTTCAGGGTACATATGAATACGATCATCTCCTGTTGAGGGGTAGAAAAACACCCCAGAAAAGACACACTAGGTTATTTTCTTTCTTTTTTTTTTTCTGAAACGGAGTCTCGCTCTGTCACCAGGGTGGAGTGCAGTGGTGCAATCTCGGCTCACCGCGATCTCGGCTCACTGCAACCTCCGCCTCCCTGCAACTTCCGCCTCCCAGATTCAAGCGGTTCTCCTGCCTCAGCCTCCGGAGTAGCTGGGCGCTTGCCACCACGCCCAGCTAATTTTTTTTTGTATTTTCAGTAGGGACGGGGTTTCACCATGTTGGTCAGGATGGTCTCAATCTCCTGACCTTGTGATCCGCCAGCCCTGGCCTCCCAAAGTGCTGGGATTACAGGCGTGAGCCACCGCACCTGGCCACATTAGGTTATTTTCTACTTAATGACATCATCTTTCAAGTACTGAGCCCCCCAAAATACTTTCTGCTTATTCTAAGATTCGTATTTGCTTTCATTTTTTAACATTTCTTTGAAACACTTACTACATTCAATGTTACAGTATTTCTTTTTTTTTTTAAACTCCTATTTACTTAGAAATTATTCTGAGGCTAAAAGAAATCAAGTGCGATTTCTTTTAAGGGATAATTTATTAATAATTGGTTATCCCACTAGTTTTAAAGGTCTTCACATGGCTGTCTTCAGGAAAGAGGCAGGGCAGTAGAAGTAGAGGTGCAGGTACTAAATTTGTGAAGGCATGTGAAGGCAAATTGTTATTTAGCATAGTGGTATTCATTATCCATGGTCAAGGTGTCTGAAATTGCTCATTAATCAATCATTAACAACCACAGAAAATAGGGGAATTTCATGGAAGCGTAAAGGTTCACTGGCAGAGAAATTTCTTTATGACTTGCCAAGTAAAAGGAATGTGAAGAATAAGGCCAAGGCCCATCCAACAAAGCAAGAGTTAACAGGTCCTAGCAGAACTGCTAGTTTAAATTTCCATTCGGTGATTTTTTTTTTTTTTTTTTTTGAGACAGGGTCTCACTCTGTCGCCCAGGCTGGAGTGCAGTGGCACGATCTTGGCTCACTGCAGCCTCAACCTCCTCAGCTAGCTGAAGCAATACTTTCACCTCAGCCTCTTGCATAGCTGGTACTACAGGCATGCACCACCACACCCAGCTATTTTTTGTATTATTTTCTTTTCTTTTCTTTTTTTTTTTTTTTTTTTTTTGTAGAGATGGGATTTTGCCATGTTGCCCAGGCTGGTCTCGAACTCCTGAGCTCAAGCAATCTACCTGCCTCAGCCTCCCAAAGTGCTAGGATTACACATGTGAGCCACTGTGCCTAGCTGGGTTTCCTTATTTTTAGAAGGGTAATTCCGCTGTCAAAGTAAAAAGTCATCCGCCTAGATTTTTGAGGTCCTGTCTACTACGGATGAATGTACGTTAGCAAATGCAAGATACAGCACAATAACAAATGAATGCCCTTGGTTAAGCTCAGTTCCTAGACACCTCTCTCTCTTTCTCTCTCACTATCAATTATCAATAGTTGTTGATTTTACCTTCCAAATAGCTCTTACATCCACCCCCTCCTTTCCATCCCTAGTGCCAAAACCTTAATTCAGGTCTCCTTATTGCTCAGTTGGATTATCACAGTAACCTCCTGAACACATGACTGTTAGGCCTCCACTCACTGTCATTTTCTCAAGGTACTTTCTATTACAGTAGGGCTAAGCTACTGGTTATTTCCTAACAAAATTTCTGCTCATTCTATAGGTCTTAGTTCAGCTGTCTTAGGGAATTACTAACAATAGATGACAAATAGATGCCAATGCTGACTGATTTGTGTAATAATGTAGTCTGCTAAGTCTAGGCTTAGCAGGAAGGCTTAGGTTGGTAATGTCTGCTATGAGCAAAGCAACAAGGCCTAGCAGATGCCAGATACTTGCTCTGGATTTAAACAGAATTTTATATTAATTATATTCCATTTACTTCAAAAGGAAAAGAAACAGCTTTCAGTAATACATATGTACAATGATGCCACAAGGAGAAAGACGAGAGCACTGTAAGAGCCATGTAACAGGGAAGGTAAAAATTCCATCAGAAAACTAGCTAATGATTATAACTAATAAATAAATATAACAAAGTTAAGCTTACTGGCAGTCAAGGGAAAGAAAACTAAAATTGTCTCAGTGATTAATTGATCCATCTAATACTGATGCATAAAAGATTAAAAGAAGCCGCCGGGCACGGTGGCTCACGCCTGTAATCCCAGCACTTTGGGAGGCCGAGGTGGGCGGATCACGAGGTCAGGAGTTCGAGACTAGCCTGGCCAATATGGTGAAACCCTGTCTCTACTAATAATACAAAAAAAATTAGCCAGGCATGGTGGCACGCACCTGTAGTCCCAGCTACTCAGGAGGCTGAAGCAAGAGAATTGCTTGAACCCAGGAGGTGGACGTTGCAGTGAGCCGAGACAGCACCACTGCACTCTAGCCTGGGTGACAGAGTGAGACTGTCTTTAAAAAAAAAAAAAAAAAGATTAAAAGAAGCCTTCAAGAAACTTACAATATACACAAAAGACAAATGTGAGGAACATTTCATCAGTGATATTTTAAAGTACTGGATTCACCAAGTCCTGGATTTGAATGCTGGCTCTGTCGTTTTTAGCAATGTGAGACCAGACAAGTTACTCTATTTAGTTTCTCAAAATCAATTTCCTTGTGAGTAAAATGAGGATAATCAGTATTTTAAAGTTGAGATAATGCAAAGGAAGCACTAAACAGCGCCTGGTACATAATGAACATTCAATATAAAACCATATGACAGTTTCTAAAATAGGGTTAAACATAAATCCATGAAGGAACATCTTCCTGAGAGAAGGACTCAAGGAGACAGTACTACTTGAGCTGAGACCTAAAGGACAAATAAGTTGGCTAGGAAAACAAACTGGTGGGAAGGTACTCCAGGCAGAAGATACCATATATGCAAAAATTCTGAGGAACGAAAAAGATGGCATGTTTCTGTATCAGTGGTCCTCAACCTTTCTGGCATCAGGGACCAGTTTTGCGGAAGATAATTTGTCCACAGACTGGGGGTGGTGGGTGGGAGGGAGATGGTTTGGGGATGATTCAAATGCATTACATTTGAATCAACTAGATGGCCCCATCTGGAAGTGATGGGAGATAGTGACGGATCATCAGTCAGTAGATTCTCATAAGGAGTGCACAACCTAGATCCTTCGCATGTGCAGTTCACGATAGGGTTTGCACTCCTATGAGAATCTATGCCGCAGCTGATCTCAGAGGAAGCAGAGCTCACATGGTAAGGAGAGGAATGGGGATGACCACTATTGGTCTGTGGCCCAGGGGTTGGGGACCTCTGTTCTATATAACAGAGTCTAGGGGAACCACTAAATAAGTCTATGCATACTATGTGAACTAAAGTAAAAATGACAACATCCCTGAGCCTTATTAGTTTCTTACTTGATGTGATCAGGGTGATTTTAAGAATTAAATGAGAAAAGACATGAAAAGTCCTGAGCACAGTGTTAGGCACAAAAGAGATATAACACTTCTGAAATCTAACTTCAGGACTCAAGACTGCTACTAAGTAGTAGCAAAAGAAGAGAATCACATACTTGCAGTCATGTGGATTTTGGAGCCATAGTCTTACTTTTAGTAAACTAATTAAAAATTATGTGTATTATAAAACATAATATCAATTTATGCTAGAGTAATATTTCAGTAATAGAGCAGGAAATTTACAAATACTAGTTACCTTGATCAAATATTTTTCCCATCTGTCTGCAGTAACAGATTTGCCAATTTTCCTCATCAGCTTCAAATGGAGCTCCACCAATTCTTTTGGTACTTAAAAGAAAGAAAAAAAATATCATTAGCCAACAAAATAAAACAATTCTAAACATTTAAGATAATAAAAAAATAATCTTCTCCAACCCTGGATACCTTCTCAAAACAGACAGTGTTGATACTAGCTAACTTTTAGACCTCTGAATCAAAAAAGCCTAAACTACAGCAAGAAATGACCAAAAACCACTTTCTCAAAGACAAGCAAGAATATTCACATTTTCTTTCAAAACACCATCAAATAAAAGTAAAACCTAATATAAAGTATGAACTTTGGTGATAATTATATGTCAATGTAGGTTCATCAATTATAAGAAATGTACCATTATTGTGGGAGCCAACAGTAGAGAAGTTGTATGAGTATGGGGACAGGGATACATGGGAACTCTCCGTACTTGCTGCTTAATTTTTCTGTGAACCTAAAATTGCTCTTAAAAAAATAGTTTGTTAAAAAAAAAAACCATCAAGTAAAAGCACTTAACTATACAACTAAAGTTTGTATTGTTTATCTGCAATAACAAATATTTGGTTCCTTTACTGAGATTTCAAAGACATACATTCATAGAATTAGAAAGGAACCAAGAAGTATGAATTCCAAGTTGACAGATACGACAGAAATTAAACTAACAGTTTCCAAACTGTTTTGGAAAACTCTTCCAATCTATCCCTTGTCTGATGTGTTAAACTTCTCTGTAGCATTTCTATGAATCTTTGCTTGACAAGCTTCATGGACAAAAAAATTACTTACCTTCCATAGCACTTAGTTCTGTTTTCTGGATAGTTCTAATTACTAGAAAGTTACCCTTACTCTCAGTCAAAATCTGCCCTCTGACAACTTCCTCTCCTGATTCTGGCTCTTATTCTCTAGTTTCAATGACAGTACTTTTAATCCCTCTTCTGTTGGAACCTTCAAATATTTGAGGACTGCCGTATCTTCCCTCAGATTCTCTGCTTTGACTGTAAACAATCAGAGTTCCTCTAACTATTATTTAGGCATGGTCTGATTGTATTTAATTACATTAATTAGACCAGAGGGACACATACGGCTGTCAAAATAAGCATTTTTCTTTTTTCTTTTGAAACGGTATCTCACTCTTTTTGCCCAGGCTGAAGTGCCGTGGCACAATCTTGGCTCACTGTAATCTCCGCCTCCTGGGTTCAAGCAATTCTCCTGCCTCAGCCTCCCAAGTAGCTGGAATTACAGGTGCCCACCACTACTCCCGGCTAGTTTTTGCATTTTTAGTAGAGACAGGGTTTCACCACGTTGGCCAGGCTTGTCTGGAACTCCTGATCTCAGGCGATCTGCCCACCTTGGCCTCCCAAAATGCTGGGATTACAGGCATGAGCCACTGCACCAGGCCTAAAATGATCAAATATTTGTAACCTAAGAGAAATTACAGTATACTACCTAAAAAGATCCCATACTCAAATATATTGGCAAAATGCTGGATCAAAAAAAAAAAAGTTGTTTTTTTATCTTTAAACCACAGGACCATTGTCTTATCATTCGCCCTTATGTGCATTGTGAATATCCAAAATAGGTACATAATCTGCAGCGTTCTCTAACATATTTGATCCACTATCTTGTAGGATACAAACACTCTGAGGGACAGGTTGGGAAATGATGACCTAATATTTTTCAGTCATTCTTTCATTCTCTACTAAAGCTCCTTCTGAATTTGAAACAACACTTTGAAATATAAAAACATTCACCCATTCAACTACTTTCAGTGGGTCAAATACTAGTAAGAAAGAAACAGTCCTTCTGTCTTTAATGAGCCTACTTGAGTGAATCTTCATAGCAGGTAGAGTGGTGGGTTGGGGGTGGGAGTGGGGAACAGTGTTCAAAGACAAGTAAATAGACAAATCTACTAAGATGTGAATTATGGGGGGTTAAGGGTGGAATGGAGAAAAGGAGGGAAAGGGCATTGCTTGCACAAAAACAACAGATGCAAATAGCTAAAAAACCAAAAAGAACATGGAACTGGAGGAATGGACATAGATAATTACAGCCTAATGAGGCCAGGCTCAGAAGTTTAGATTTTATGTAAAAGTTTAAGCAGGAGAGTCTGTTGCATTTTAGAAGACCTTAATGATTGAATTGGAGGAAGACAGATTTTTAAATATTAACAAAAGAAGTTTTTATTTGCTTTTTTGTTTTAGGAGGTGGGGTGCAGGGCCGAAGCTAGATATAAATTCAGGAAAACCTCAATCCAGAAGATAGAAGTAGCCTAAACTAAGGTAGAGGTGGTACAGAGAGAAGTGGACAGATCTGAGAAATGTTTAGGAGACAAAATTATCAAAACTTAGTGATTTACTGGTTGTGCAGTGATAAAAGATCTGGGCTGGATTCTCAGCTGCCCCACCTATATAAGGGGACAATGGTTCTGGTCAAGTCCTTTAAACAATGAAGCTCAATTTCTCCATTAAAAAAGGCTGTGTTGGCTATCTCATGGAATTTTGAAACTGTATAGCGTTGTATAAATATAAAATACTTTTATTTCTCTTCTGTTTTAAAACCAAGGTCACTTTCTTCAATTTCTCCTTTTCCACAAACACAGAAGTATTGATGTTCCCCCTTCCCACATCTTAAACCTGCCTCCTATTTCCTCCTTTCCCTAGGACATGACTATACCTTCTCGCATCAGAAAAACAGCTATGGATAGTCTCCTGCAATCAAACCAATCTTCCAAAAAGACTGCTTTCATATCACTTCCCAGTTGGTAAGTATTTTTTATGGCTCCTAAATACCTACATAAACCCAGCCAGATTTCTTACCCTAGCCTCAGAGTCCCAACATTCAGTCTCATACTAACTCTGCAATTCTTCTCTCTTACTTCCTGCACTGAAATCCTTGATTCGAATCATTTTGCCAGTTAATGGTCCACTAAGCATGCTCAGCCCATTACCTATGTGGGCTTTATTAAAGAGTTATTTATTGTTTTCTGCCCACTTGAATCATATTTATCTTTCAATGTCTAGGCAATACAAGTCCCGAAAGTCTCCGTGATAGATTTCTAGTACCAGCAACCTTTTTGTCCCTGGAACACCCACTGTATTCATACTGTCTGTATCACTCATTAAGCAGTTGGCTAAAACCTTTGCACCAGTGTTTTACTCATGTTCCCCACCAGTGTTCTATGCTACACAGAATCATGAAAGATTTTGATACAACTGGTACTATTTTTTAAAAGCCAATACAAGACAAAAATAAAAGTGAATAAATGTTTTCATCCCACTTTACAAATCTACTCATTGTTGATTTAGGCATGTACAAATAGATTATGTATTACTTGATTTAAAAGAGTACTGGCTCTTCTACAGTCAGCACTGTGCAATAGAAATGTAAGGTGAGTCACATAATTTCAAATTTTCTAGTAAAATATTATAAAAAGTAAAAAGAGGTTAAAATTAATTTTAATAATATATTTTATTTAATGCCCTTCATCCAAAATTATATCAACATATTATCAGCTTTTTTTTTTTTTTTTTTTGAGACAGAGTCTCGTTCTGTCACCCAGACTGGAGTGCAGTGGTGTGATCTTGGCTCACTGCAACCTCTGCCTCCCGGGTTCAAGCGATTCTCCTGCCTCAGCCTCCCCAGTAGCTGGGATTACAGGCGTGCGCCACCACGCCTGGCTGATTTTTATATTTTTAGTAAAGACAGGGTTTTGCCATGTTCGTCAGGCTGGTCTCGAACTCCTGACCTCATGATCTCCCGCCTCGGCCTCCCAAAGTGCTGGGATTACAGGTGTTGAGCCACTGCGCCCGGCCAATCACTATTTTTAAAGTATTACTTTCTTTTGTACTAAGTAAAAGATTTTACTTTTCAGACTATTTAAAATACATTGTGCATTTCACATTGACAGCACATCTCAATTCAAACTAGCTACATTTCAAGTGCTCAAGAGCCACATGTGGCTAGTGGCTACTGTACTGGATAGCACTGCATAGTGTAGACCCAGCATGCTTAAAATTAAAATTTATAACCCAACTGAATTAATATTTTGTTACAAATAGAACTGACAAGCTGATAATCTTTAAGTGCACTAGTATAATCTGTCAACTGATAAGAAACAGGCTACAGGAAAATTAATCAACATTATAGTTTATTAAACATTAAAATCACCATACTTTTTATTCTTTAAAACGGCACTGTCTATTAAATAGATTGCTCCAGGATGATCGAAATGTTCTATATCTACACTTTTCAGTGCAGTAGCCATTAGCCACATGTGTCTACTGAGAAGCTGAAATGTGGCTAATGAAACTAAGGAACTCAATTCTTAATTTTATTTATTTTTAAATTATCTTAAATTTTAATAAACACGTAGTAAGTTGCTATGGCTTTGGACAGCTGTAAAGTATCAATCATATATATATTTTTTTGAGATGGAGTCTCGCTCTGTCGCCCAGGCTGGAGTGCAGTGGCGCAATCTCAGCTCACTAGAACCTCCACCTCCTGGGTTCAAATGATTCTCCTGCCTCAGCCTCCCAAGTAGCTGGGACTACAGGCACGTGCCACCACACCTCGGCCTCCCAAAATACTGGGATTACAGGTGTGAGCCACCGTGCCCAGCCATCAATCATATTTTTTAAATACATGATCATTTTCTAAAACACTGACAAGCTCTAAATTTATTTATCACCTGCAAGATTTCTAAAACAGTTTCATTTCCAGAAGATAATTAACTTCTTTCTAAAGATTTACTGATTAGCCACTTCAAGTCAATCCAAAAAATAGTTTTTGTCCTAATTGAACTGAAATATCCTCTACCTTTTCACATGATAAATTTCATAAACAAACCCCCTTCTTTCACAGGGCCTCAGGAGGTGAAAGACTCTGAAGGAGAAAGAAACAGTCAGGGGCTATGTGAATTCATGAAGGGCTGCCAACATGATGTAGGTATGAAGTAGCAGAAAAGTGGTGGAATCCCAGACTACATTACTGATCCAATTACTCAAAGATGTTTTATATTTTGACATTTTTCTAAGCATCTTTCTAGCACCATGTCTTAAAAATGTCACTGCTCCTGCAATTCTATTGTGTTACTTATAATTTTACTTTTTTGAATGGTAGAAATGTACAGCACCTCATAACGGCTAAACACATTAATTCTTATTCTTCAATAAAGTCTTCTACTTAAATTTAGTTTAAGCTTATAAGCAGAGATACAGTTATGGAAACAGTTGACACTTTATCTAGGCCATTGATAAAAGAACATTTATTTCAGACACAGTGATTCAAAGACAAGCTTACAATAAGCTTTTAGTTACTGCCCAGTTTTTAGAAACTCTCTTGGGGGAGCAGTTTTAGCATAATGAGACTGATCCCACAGGCCACTTCATCCTTGAAATCACTGTCATGTATTCATATACCTTATCTTTAAAGAGTTCATTTAATCAATCATCCTAGTTTTCTGAAAAGCAAAGAAACAGCTCAAGACTATGAACTGTAACTTAGACGATCATCTAAAAAGGTATAGTACAGAGAGGCTGGGTGTGGTGGCTCGTGCCTGTAATCCCAGCACTTTGGGAGGCCAAGGCGGGTGGATCACGAGGTCAGGAGATCGAGACCACCCTGGCTAACACGGTAAAACCCCATCTCTACTAAAAATACAAAAAATTAGCCAGGTGTGGTGGCGTGCACCTGTAGTCCCAGCTACTCGGGAGGCTGAGAATTGCTTGAACCTGGGAGGCGGAGGATGCAGTGAGCCCAGATCGTGCCACTGCACTCCAGCCTAGGTGACAGAGTGAGACTCCGTCTCAAAAAACAAAACAAAACAAAACAAAAGTATAGCACAGAGATTCCAGCTAAGTATATGCTCACCTCATTACCATTGTGGAAAAAAATAAATCCAAGAATAACTGTTATACAGGCAGATAAACCAAGGGGTATCTGCTGTTCCAATTTAGTTTTCTGAGTTCCATTGAGAATCATACTGTTGTTCCCACATACATAAAGAAACACACCAAACATGGCTCAGATTATTTCAGAACCAAAAACTAGAAAATTTTATCTGCTACCAAGAAAGTAATCAGCATACTACAAATATCAGCATGGCTTGAGGTGGTGATAAGACCAGCAATCCAGAAAGAAGAACAGTATTAAGAGAAATGAAACCCTGTAAAACTGCAGCACCCTGTGAAACCACCTTTCCTGAAGAAGGATTCCTTATGAAGAGACAAGGCCTCTATAAGATGAAGTGAGTAACCCACACAGCAGTCAGTCTTTAAAGGGATACTCTGCTTATACTTATATAACCACTATCCTGGTAGAGGGAATTTGTAGTACTTGGGGCAATGGCTTCTAGTATCAGATGTCTCCAGCTCCAATCAGATGACCCCATTTCCCCTCTTTCTATTCTTTCTAACTCAATTTAACGATCATAGAGAGGAATAAGGGGGGAAGAAAGAAAGGGACAGAAAGAGTCAAAACAAATTTAAAAAGAAAGAATGACGTGACAGTACTTAAGGGGGAAGAACGGATTTTTTCCCCCAAACTAATTTCTCTGCCCAGTAATTTCAAATCTAGTGAAAAGTTCAAAGACTAGTACACTCTTCACCTAGATGCACCACTTGTCAACATTTTTGTCATTGAAAGGGAAACATGTGACACACGGTTAAAACCATCAGGAAATGCCTCTTTAATAAAGATGACACCGTAAAGATAAGAAACAGCCAACTAAGCCAAGGAAGAAGGGAGCATGCCAGGCAAAAGGAAATGCATGTATGAAAGTCCTGAGGAGGCCAACAGCTTCCTCCAATGTGGCTAGAAAATGATACAAGATGCTGCTACAGAAGGGAGCAAAGGCCAAGTCTTAGAGCTATGTAAAGAGTTTAGATTTTATTCTAAGGGTAATGAGACCCCACAGGAGGAATGCAGGAAAGTTTCAAGATTTAAGTTTTTAAAAGATCACTCTTTTAAATCCAGGATCTGTTTGAAATAATCTAGGCGGCAGGAAGCAGAGGTAGATGAAGTTACTGAAGAAACAAAATTGTACTAACGCTGAGTGACGGGCACATGAAAGTCCATTATATAACTTACTACTTTTATATATTTCACATTTTCCATAATTTAAAAATGTCCATAGGATAGAGATTACTTTGGCTGCACTGTGAGGAACAAATTGGAGAGGGTATAAATATGACTATTTAGGAAGACATCGCAATACTTCAGATCAGATAATGATGGCTTGGACTAAGGCTGTGGTGCAGAGATGTAGGAAAGTACCCTGAAGGAAAATTGCAAAAATTTAGAACTTTTCTAAAATGTTAAAACATTTTCTAAGAAGCACCTTTGCCAATCTTAATCCAAAGAAGTGACTGCTTTATGTGTCCTGTATGATGATCCCTATGAGTTTATTCATTCTGAAAAGCAGAAATCATGACTTTTAGTTTAATCACATCCATATTTCAGAAAGACAATATGTACACACAGACATTTAATACTCAAGTCAAATAAATGTATTTGTACATTTTGTTTCTGACACTTTTTTTTTTTTGAGACAGGGTCTCACATCACTCAGGCTGGAGTGCAGTGGCACATCATGGCTCACCGCAGCCTCGATCTCCTGGACTCAACTGATCCTTCTACCTCAGCCTCCTGAGTAGTTGAGATTATAAGTAGGCACCACCATATGTGGCTAAATTTTCTAATTTTTTTGTGTACAGACAGGGTCCCACTATGTTGGCCAGGCTGGTCTCAAACTCCGGGGCTCAAGCGATCCGCCCATCTTGGCCTCCCAAAGTGCTGGGATTACACATGTAAGCTACCACGCCTGGCCTGTTTCTCATACTTTTCATCATTTCAAAGGTCACATATCACTTAAAAACCTGCACTTAATATAACAACTATTATATTACTAAAAACTATGTTATATGTATATTACAAAAAGCACTAGAAAGTCAGGAGAGAGGGGTGCAAACATTGAATTTGTCATTCATAATTGAAGGAATTACACGAGATGATCCAAAGTCCTCCAGCTCTAATATTCAATGTCTATGTCTAGGTATTGAGGTATTTATTTATTTGCCTTATAACAAGGCAACAATTGATAATACCATCTTAGAATTTTGGAACTGGAAGCAATGATCTAATTCACACTCTTTTCAGACTGGAAAACTTAGACCTGAGATGTGACAAGAGTTGCCCAAGATGGAAAAAAAAAAAAAAAAAAAAAAAGGGCCAAGAAGAACGTAGACATCTAGCCTTCCATTCCAGGGCTCTTTCCGATGTTTCTCAAAGTATCAAATGGATGAAGGAATAGTTCACAAGACCTAACTTATGAATCAAACCACTTTCTGCGCAGCTTTGTATCTGGTTTTTGATATTGGGTTGTTTCTGTCTATGCACCTTGAGGCATTATCCATTTCTAAAACATAACCCTGTCAAATAGTTACTGTGGAAACAGAAAAATTATTAATACTTCTTCCAATCCATTCTTCCTTTCTTAAAAAACAGCATTATTGAGATGTAATGCACATACCATACAACTCATCCACTTAAAGTGTACCATCCAATGGCTTTTAGTGTATTACATTATTTATTTAACGGTGGTAAAATATATTTACTGTGAAATTTGCCATTTTAATCATTTTTTTTTTTAGTGTACAATCAGTGGCGCCAATTACATGCCCAGCACTGCACAACCACCACACTATTTCCCAATCTATTCTTACAGTCAAAATTTTTGAAGCAGCCATTCCACTTCCAAACTGATTTCGGAAAATTTTAAATACAAAAAGCAGAGTCTGCTATAGTATATATGCTCAATGGGGGCAAACACTCGTTCTTGGAGGAAAAAAATCTAAATCTGGTCCTCTAAATCTAACTTAACCTTACCTGTCAAAATCTTATTCCTTTATATTTAATGTCTCTTCCTAGAGAAAAATTAATTTAAAATTAAATTATACTTTTCTCTTTAGTGGTGTGATAATTTTTAAAAATTCAAAAGCAAGTGTTGTTACTCAAAATGTAATATGCTATCATAGACAATGCCTAACCTACAAAGCGGCTCTATCCCACTGAAACCCACACAAAGCTGTAAACTGCCCAGTTACCCCTCAAAAACTAATTTTATCAATAATGTTCACTAGAATAGGAAAAATTATCTTGTAATTTTAATATTTAAAGCAGAAAAGGCAAGTACACTGGCTAAAAAAGTGTTTTAAATTTATCCCAAATGCTGATAATTAAGAGAAAACAATTGCTTAGATTTCTGGCCAAGATCAAGTGTAGTATCGGTTCTTATCAGTGTAATATCGACAACAACAACAAAAAAGAATACAGAACACATGAACTAAGTAAAACCAGGAAAGGAGAAAGAAAATAAAGGTAAGCTCTTTAACTTCTTTAGTCCTAATTATCTTTAAGTCTCAATTCCTAATTATCTATCTTCTATCTCTTCTTCTTTCTCTCTCACCCTTAGATGTAAGCTCCATAAGCACAGCCACCTGCCTTTTTCATCACTGTATTCCCAGCACCAAGCACAGTTCCTACTTAATGGTAGACACTCAATTATTTGATGAACTGGAACAGGGACAAGAAAATAAAAAGAGAATGAAAGCAACAGGGAGAGGGGGAGTAAGCAATGTAAAATATTTCTGCAGACAGCTAGAAAAGAGAGTTCCAGGTTGGGCGTGGTAGCTCACGCCTGTAATCCCAGCACTTTGGGAGGCCAGGGCAGGCAGATCACGAGGTCAGGAGTTCGAGACCAGCTAAAAAATACAAAAATTAGCCAGGCATGGTGGTGTGCACCTGTAGTCCCAGCTACTCGGGAGGCTGAGGCAGGAGAATCACTTGAACCCAGGAGGTGGAGGTTGCAGTGAACTGAGATTGCATCACTGCACTCCAGCCTGGCCACAGAGCGAGACTCTGTCTCAAAAAATAAATAAATAAATAAATAAATAAATAAATAAATAAATAAATAAAATAAAGAAAAGAGAGTTCCTAGGCCAGATGCTGCAGTGGCTCACGCCTGTAATCCCAGTACTTTGGAAGGCAGAGGCAGGCAGATCACCTGAGGTCAGGAGTTCAAGACCAGCCTGGCCAACATGGTGAAACCCTGCTTCTTTCTTTTTTTTCTTTTTTTTTTGAGACGGACTCTTGCACTGTCACCCCAGGCTGGTGTGCAATGGCATGATCTCGGCTTGCTGCAACCTCTGCTTCCCGGGTTCCAGTGATTCTCCTGCCTCAGCCTCCCGAGTAGCTAGGATTACAGGCGCCCGCCACCATGCCAGTATAATTTTTTGTATTTTTAGTACAGATGAGGTTTCACTATGTTGGCCAGGCTGGTCTCGAATCCTGACCTCATGATCTGCCCAACTCAGCCTCCCAAAGTGCTGGGATTACAGGCGTGAGCCACTGCGCCCGGCCGTGAAACCCTGTTTCTACTAAAAATACAAAAAAACTAGCTGGGCATGGTCGTGGGCACCTGTAATCCCAGCTACTCAGGAGGCTGAGACAGGAGAATCTCTTGAACCCGGGAGGCAGAGGTTGCAGTGAGCCAAGATTGCACCTTTGCATTCCAGCCTGGGGGACAACAGCGAGACTCCATCTCAAAAAAAAAAAAAACCCAAAACACAAACTGAAGAGAGTTCCCTGTAGGTGTGAAAGAGAAATTATCTGAATGAATATATTAATATGCAGGAAGTGATACAGAAGAGATGAAAAAGATGGCAAAGATGACTCTGGGTTGTTCAGAGCACTGTGGGAGCGAACAGGTGATATCACTAACCGAAGAGGGCTCATTGTTGTCTTTTCCCCGCTTTTCTCTCCCTTTTAAGGGGAGGAAAGGGAAAGGAGAATGCTCCCATGGACATCTGTATATAGGAGTAAATAACCAAGTCCATATGTTTAATTAAAGAAATACTTACACAGGCATATTCTAGTATCAGACCTCTATAAAACGCCAGGCTTCTATGCTCATCATGTATATTCCATAGGTATTTAAAACTTGAGCAGGGCCAGGTCCGGTGGTTCACACCTGTAATCCCAATGCTTTGGGAGGCTGAGGAAGGAGGATAGCTGGAAGCCAGAAGTTTAACATCAGCCTGGGAAATAGTGAGACCCTGTTTCTTTGTTTGTTTGTTTGTTTAAACACAGAGTCTTGCTCTGTTGTCTAGGCTGAAGTGCAGTGGCACGATCGGGGCTCACTGACTGCAGCCTCAAACTCCTAGGCTCAAGCAATCCTCCTACTCAGCTTTCTCATGTAACTGGGACCACAGGCATGTCCCACCATGCTTGACTAATTTTTAAATTTTTCTGTAGAGTCCAGGTTTCCTTACTATTGCCCAGGCTAGTCTTGATCTCCTGGACTCAAGTGATCCTCTGGGCTCAGCCTTCCAAAGTGCTGGGATTAACACTCAAAAAAGACGCTGGGCATGGTAGCATGTGCTTGTAGTCCTCCTTAGCTACTTGGGTTGCTGAGGGAGGAGGACTGCTGGAGCCCAGGACTTCAAGGCTGTAGTGAGTGATTGCACCAACTGCACTTCAGCCTGGGTGCCAAAGTGAGACCCTGTATCACTAAAAACAAACAAACAAAAACGGGGAAAAAACCTTCAACAGCATATTAGAAGATTCCTTTATGATTCAAAACCATAATTTTAGGTGTTACAACATCAGTTAGATGTTTCTTTTATAGAAAATTCTGCAGAACTATAAACTTATACTGTAAGAACTCCATTTCTTTGTGAAATTTATATTTTGTCTTTACTCCTTGCTAATAAGTGATCAGCTCATACCTTTTTTCAGTTAACATTCATTTGACAAGCAGAGGTACCTAGATGAGTAGCATACTATGTCATCTTATAGTTTCCTGAGATTTTGTCATAAAGCAGAACGAAATGAGCTCATTATAGTTTCTAGTTATTTCAATAAATTAGAAAATGTATATGATGTACTTTATATATCATAAAGCAATACCCAAGCCAAAGTTATCACTATTCACCAGCAGATGGTGATCATGTCTTACTTAAAGAAAAATTCTGACACCTTATTTGAGGGCTAGCCAGCCAATTGCTAAAAATGATCAATAAGCAAACTAGAGTATCTGAATAAAATGTTGGTGATTTTTAAGTACAATCAAATGGAACACCAGCAAACACAAGCAATAAAAAACAAGTTTAGAAGTCTGAAGACTTCTAAAGGAACTGTTTTCTCTATGTGAACATTTGCAAACTGGTAATTAAATAAAAAGGTAACAATGAATGTGTTTCTGGCAATCCTATATAGATTATTAAACCACTCATTCCACACTGAACTTCTTGAACTACAAATAGAAAAACTTCTACCCAGCAAAATGGTGACACTAAACCATTTTTTAAAAAAACAAACAAAAGGACAGACTAGTACAATAAAACCTCATGACCTCATCACCTCACTTAAACAATTATAAATAAATGAACAAGACTTTTTTTCTTCTCCAATGGATCATTTTAAAGCAAATTCTAGATATCATTATTTCATCCATAAATACTTCAGTGTGTATCTCTAAAAGATAAAATTGCCATAATACCATTATTACCTCTTTGAAAATAACCATAATACCATTATGATATTAACTATAATTATTTTTAAATAACCATATCATTATTACCACATTTTCAAAATTAGTAATCCCCGCCAGGCGAGGTGGCTCAGGCCTGTAATCCCAGCACTTTTGGAGGCTGCAGCGGGTGGATCCCCTGAGGTCAGGAGTTTGAGACCAGCCTGGTCAACATGGTGAAACCCTGTCGCTAATAAAAATATAAGAAATTAGCCAGGCGTGGTGGCGGGCGCCTGTAGTCTCAGCTACTTGGGAGGCTGAGGAAGGAGAATCGCTTGAACCTGGAAGGTGGAGGTTGTGGTGAGCCAAGATGGCACCATTGCACTCCAGCCTGGGCAACAAGAGCGAAACTCCGTCTCAAAATAAATAAAAAAATAAATAAATAAAGTAATACTTCCTTTTAAAGGTTCAGGAAAGCTGAGACCTTAATGACATTTTTAAAAGAGTTCCACCAAAAGAACTGAGTTGTGCTGAGTGAGGTGGCACACACCTGTAATCCTAGCTACTCGAGAGACTCAGACAGGAGGACTGCATCAACCCAGGAGTTCAAGACCAGTCTGGGCCACATAACAAGACCCTGTCTCAAACAAACAAACAAATGAACGAACAAACAAGCAAGCAAAATTATTCCATTGTATTGAAAAATTAACATCCTTACTACTCTTCATTGTTGGCAAAGAAGCATCATTATCTCAATACCTAGTTCTTATGTGCATAAAATCTAACCTAACAGAAAATAAGACAAACAGTATCTTAAACTTCAGGTATGGTGGCTCATGCCTGTAATCCCAGCAGGCTGAGGCATAAGGATGGCTTGAGACCAAGAGTTTGAGAGCAGCCTAGGCAATACAGGCAGATCCTGTCTTGGGAAGGGGAGGGGAGGAGGGGGAGAGGATGGGGAGGGGAGTGGAGGGGGGAGGGAAGGGGGAATGGAGGGGGAGTGGAGGGGAGGGGTGGGGGAGGGAAGGGGAGAGGATGGGGAGGGGAGGGGGTGGGGGAGGGAAGGGGAGAGCATGGGGGAGGGAAGGGGAGAGGATGGGGGAGGGGAGGGGAAAAAATACCTTCAGGCTTTAGAGAAAAACAATGTTCCTAGCGGTGTTTTACTAAGACTGGGTCCCTTGAAAACTCATAAAACATGAAATTAACAAGTATTTTCATTTATATGTGACACTGAACAAATCTTTTACACTGCTGTTGGTCTCAAACAATAATAATATAAGGTTATCAAACATGTGGAAACTTTTTTTAATCAACTATTACCATGTTAAGAGCATGATAAAGTCCCCTCTAACATATGCTCCCTCTTCTCTCTTTCTGAAAAAAGTTCTTGGCAAACTCTTGCACTCAAGTGATCTTCCTACCTCAGCCTACCAATTAGCTTGGACTATAGGCACACCACCACACTCAGCTAATTTTTAACAATTTTTAGCAGAGATGAGTCTCACTATGTTGCCCAGGACTAAATGGACTCTTCAGTCTTTGTCTTAATTTGGGAACATGTGACACTGTTGATCATATCTTCCTTCTTGAAACGTGGACATTCTGTGACATCACTTTTCTGATTTATCTTCTCTCTCTGTCCTTTTTTGGATTCCTTTGCAAGCCCTCTGTTTCTGGTCTATCCCTGAAAGCTAGTTATTTCCATTTTAGAATTTTCATTTCTTTAGTCCCTAAGTTATGTGATCCACCCTTTTGTTTCAATTTATCTTTTCATTCATTCATTTTTTGGAGACAGAGTCTCACTCTGTTGACCAGGCTGGAGTGCAGTGGTACTATCTCAGCTCACTGCAGCATCCACCTCCCAGGTTCAAGCGATCTCATGTCTGAGCCTCCCAAGTAGCTGGGATTACAGACATGCACCACCATGCCCAGCTAATTTTTGTATTTTTCGTAGAGACACGGTTTCACCATGTTGGCCAGGCTGGTCTCAAACTCCTGACCTCAGGTGATCCACCCACTTAGGCCTCCCAAAGGCCATTTATTTATTTTTAGAGACAGAGTCTCACTCTGTTACTCAGGCTGGAGTGAAGTGGTGTGATCATAGCTCACTGCAGCCTTCAACTCCTGAGCTCAAGCGATCCTACTGCCTTAGCCTCCCTAGTAGCTAGGACTATAGGCACACCACTATGCCTTGCTATTTCTAAAAAAAATTTTTTTTTTTTTTTGAGATGGAGTTTCACTCTTGTTGCCCAGGCTGGAGTGCAATGGCGCGATCTTGGCTCACTGCAACCTCCGCCTCCTGGGTTCAAGCCATTCTCCTGCCTCAGCCTCCCAAGTAGCTGGGATTACAGGCATGCGCCACCACGCCTGGCTAATTTTGTAGTTTTAGTAGAGATGGGGTTTCTCCATGTTGGTCAGGCTGGTCTCGAACTCTTGACCTCAGGTGATCTGCCCACCTCAGCCTGGGATTACAGGTGTGAACCACCACACCTGGCCTCTTAAAATTCTTTCTAGACACGGGCTGCTTAAATATACTATTGTCTTGCTGTGCTGGTTAAAGATTTGTTCAGGTAACAGAAAACCTTACTAGAGTGGCTTTACAAATAAAAGGTTAGTTTTTCTCATGTAATGAGAAGTCCAGAGTAATGAGTTGCCAGTTTTTGTTTACTGGCTCAACAAATCTGTCATACTGAACTTCTTGGAGTTCCCAAACATACCATGCTATTTCTAGCCTCTAGGGCTTAGCATGTACAGTTCCCTCTATTCTCACTCCATCCCCTCCCATCATGGGGTTCAATTTAGATGTTGCTTCCTTTGGAAATCATCTTTTTATCCCACTTAATCCAGACTAAGTGCCAATGCTGGGTGTTCCCAAATGATCCTAACTTGTACTTATGCATCACATTGTATCATAAATGCCTGTTTACTTAGCTCTATCCCACATTAAACAGGCCTATATCTTCAGCACCTAGGACAGTGGCTAGCACATACCATGCATTCCATAAAGACTTGTTCAATTCAATGGGTTTGGTCTTTAAAAAAACCAAGTAACTTTTTGATAAACATCAACTTCTAACCCAAGTAACTAACTGATTAGCAAACAATAATACATGTTTCTTGCTCATACTTAAAGAACCAAACAGAAAAAAGGAACAAATTTCTAAATCCATTAAGGAAACATGTAAAATAAAATATCTGTCTTCAGGATGTGCAATCAACCATTCCATGCCATCAACTTACAGGTGGACAAGCATAAACTGGCTTTTATGAAAACTGAAGTTTTAGGAAGTTTAGTGAGCTTGCTAATTAATAGATGACAAAAGGCAGGCTACCTAAGATAATAAAAAACAAAACAGAAGAGAGACTATGGGCCGGGTGCTGTGGCTCACACCTGTAATCCCAGCACTTTGGGAAGCCAAGGTGGGCGAATCACTGGAGGTCAGGAGTTTGAGACAAGCCTGGCCAACATGGTGAAACCTGTCTCTACTAAAAATACAAAAATTAGCCGCGTGTGGTGGCACATGCTGGTAGTCCCTGCTACTCGGGAGGCTGAAGCAGGAGAATGGCTTGAACCCAGGAAGCAGAAGTTGCAGTGAGCCAAGATCATGCCACTGCACTACAGCCTGGGTGACAGAGCGAGACTCCGTCTCAAAAAAAAAAAAAAAAAGAGACTATGACTAAATAAATGGTTCTCCCATGCTCCACTTTGCAGTCAGTCACCCCACTTCTGGCCTCAGGAAACCATTGATCTGTTTTCCATACTACAGATTTGCCTTTTGTAGAGTTTCATATAATACGAACTCTTTTTGTCTGGCTTTTTTGCTTCACATGATGTTTCTGAGATACACATTTTTTAACGTCAGTGTCCCTTTGTATGAATTTATAAAAATTTGGTCATCCAATCATTGGCTGATGAATGTTTGAATTGTCTTTTTTTTTTGAGAGAGAGAGAATCTCACTCTGTCACACAGGCTGGAGTGCAGTGGCTCGATTTCGGCTCATTGCAACCTTCACCTCCTGGGTTCATACAATTCTCCTGCCTCAGCCCCGAGTACCTGGGATTACAGGCATGTGCCACCATGCCCAGCTAATTTTTGTATTTTTAATAGAGATGGGGTGTCACCATGTTGGCCAGACTGGTCTCGAACTTCTGACCTCAAGTGTTCTGCCCACCTCAGCCTTGCAAAATGTTAGAATTACAGATGTGAGCCACTGTGCCTGGCCTCCGTGTTTTGACTATTATAAATAAAGCTGCTATGAATATTTCTGTGCAAGTCTTTGTATAGACATACATTTTTATTTCTCTTGAGTAGACAGCAGTGGAGCTCATGAGTTGTGTGGTAGAGACAGGTTTAACCTAATAAGAAACTCCCAAACATTTTGCCAATGTAAGTTGTACCATTTATTATTGTCTAAGAGTTCCAACTGTTTCACATCCTCAAAAACACTTGAGGTGTCAGTCATTTTTAAAGAATGTTTTTTTCTTTGTTGGATAGTGTTCTGGAAATATCAATAATATCATTTATTGACAATATTGTTCATGTCTTCTATATTCCGAATGATTTTGTCTAGTTGCACTATTGACTACTGAGAGGGAAGTGTTGAAATTTCCAGTTATAACTGCATTGTATATGTTTTTTAAGTTGTCAGTTTTTGCTTCATGTGTTTTAAAGCTCTGCTATTAGTAAAAATACTGTCAGAATTGTATCTTCCTAATGAACAGCATTATGAAACACTCCTATCTATTTCTAATATTCTTTTTCATTTTCAGATACTAATATAGTCATTAGTCTTTGCATTTTAGTTGGCTATAGTAATATAGCTGTCTCATTTTCTGATATTAATATAGTAATTCCAGCTTTCTTATGATGAGTTTTGAGTATCATTTTCCATCCTTTTACTTTTAACCTATATCTTTATGTTTGAAGTGAATTTCTATAGACAGCATATACCTGGGTCTTTCTTTTCTATCCACTCTACCAATCTCATTTAATTTTAATTACAATACCACATGTGGCTTAGTGGTGACATATTGGAGACAGCAGGTTTAGAACAAGGATTAGGCCAGAAGTGGTGGCTCACGAGGCCAGAAGTGGTGGCTCACGCCTGTAATCCCAACACTTTGGGAGGCTGAGGCAGGCAGATCACTTTTGGTCAGGAGCTGGAGACCAGCCAGGCCAACATGGCAAAACCCCGTCTCTACTAAATATACAAAACTTAGCCAGGTGTGGTGGCGCGCACCTGTAGTCCCAGCTACTCAGGAGGCTAAGGCAGGAGAATCGCATAAATCCAGGAGGTGGAAGTTGCAGTGAGCAGAGATCGTGCCACTGAACTCCAGCCTGGGCCACAGGGCGAGAATCCGTCTCAAAAAAAAAAAAAGAACAAGGATTAGCAAACTACTGCCCACAAGGGCTGTATGCAGCATATTACCTGCTTTAGTGGTGCCTGCAACTAACAATGTTTCTACATTTGAAAATAGGGTAGAGGGGAAAAAAAAATCAAAGAAAACATAATATTTTGACACACAACAACATGAAATTCAAATCTTAGTGTCTGTAACGTTTTATTGGAACACAAAAAATGTAATTTCTATGGCTAATTTTGTGCCTCAAGAGCAGAATTAAACACTTTTAACAGACACTATTGATGATCACAAAGCCTAAAATTAAAATATTCTTTAATGTCTGACTCTTTACAGAAAAACTTGGCTAACCCCAAACTAAAATTATTTGTTTAATGCAATAACTGATATAACTGAGTTAAAATCTATTATTTTGTTCATATACATTTATTTGTTCCTTTCTTACTCCTTTTAATGTCTTCTTTTGAATTAACTTGATTAAAATGAACTTCATTTAACATCTACTCTTAGCTAATTAATTACACTTCTTTAAGTTTTTGTGGTTGCTTCAGGTTTTACAAAACAAAGCATCTTTAACTCAATACAGTCTACTATTAAATAATATTCTACCACCTCACATACAACATGAACACTTTTTACCCTTACATTATATTTGCAATTCCTTGTTCTCATCCTTAGTACTAGAGCTTTCATGTTTCACTTCCTCATATATTGTGAAATTTGCAATACATGGTGATTTTTGCTTCAAATGGCTAATTACCTTTTAAAAAGACTTTTTTAAAATTGGGAAAAATTTAATTTTAACATATTTATCCTTTCTTCCACTTGTCATCACTTTGTCTAGGTCCAAGTTTTCATCCGAAGATGTTTCTTGTAGTGCAAGTGGCTAGCTCATAACATATTCTCTGGTTTTACCTGTCTGAAAAAGTTTTTATTTCACCCTAATTTTTGAAGGATATTTTGCTAGATATAGAAGTTTTCATCTAATACCTTTCATTTAGTACTTTTGTAACATCCATTATCAGCCGGGTGCAGTGGCTCACACCTGTAATCCCAGCGCTTTAGGAGGCTGAGGCGGGCGGATTGCTTGAGCCCAGGAGTTTGAGACCAGCCTGGGCAACACAGCGAGACCTAGTCTCTACAAAAAATTAAAAAATTAGCCAGGCATAATGGTGTGCGTCAGGAGTCCCAGCTACTCAGGAGGCTGAACTGGGAGGATCGCTTGAGCCCAGGAAGTTGAGGCTGCAGTGAGCCATGTTTACTCCACTGCACTCCAGCCTGGGTGACAGAGCAAGACCCGATTTCAAAAAAAAAAAGTTACTTATCGCCTAGTTTGTATAGTTTCCAACAAAACGTCTTCTTTGTTCCTCTGTATATAATATGTCTTTTTCTTAGGTTGCCTTTAAGATTCTGTCACTGCTTTCTGGCAAAGGACAAACATACAAATGTCTGTAAATGTTTGTCTGTGTTTGTCGTACTTTAGGTTTGTTGAGATTATTGGGTTTGTGGGTTTATAATTTTCATCAAATTTGAAATTTTGCATTCATTATTCTTCCAATATTCTTGGCTCCATCCTCCTTCTAGGATCTCAAATACACTTTATGGAGGCTGCTTGATACTATTCCACAGACCAGTGAAGCACTTGATTATTTTCAGTTCTCTTTCTCACTGCTTCATTTTAGGATAAAGTCTACTGACATGTCTTCAAGTTCACTAGTTTGTTCTGCAGCATCCAATCTTCTGTGAAATGCCTTTCAGTAATTTATTTAAGATACTATTATTTTTTTAATCTCTAGAAGTTCTATATGTTTATTTTTCTTATCTTTCATTTCTTTCATTATGTTCATATTTTTCTTTAAATACTTTTACTAATTATAATACTTATTTTACTGTCCTTGTCTGCTAGATCTAGTATCTCCATCATTTCTGAATCTGCTTCTTTGGGTTCATTTTTCTCCTGGTTAAGAGTTAGACCAGTTTCTCAGCACAGCTAGTAATTTGAGCCATATTGAGTAAATTAAGCTTGGATGTTGGAAAATATCAATGTTACCATGCTGCTAAGCGCTGCTAAGATGTGCTGTTAAGATTTTGCAATGTGCTGTAAAAATCAGTTGGGCTTTGTTTTGGCAGGTATTTATTTGCAGATTCATCTTATCTTTTTAAGGCCTTTTCTGTCAGGTTTACTACAATGAATCAATTGGGTTCTCCATTGAATGCCCTGAGTGCTACAAAGAATATTTCACTCTGGTCAGAGTTCAAACATCTCCAGTGTAAGTTCTAGGAAATGTTTGGCTAGTAATAACCTGGATGTTCAGTGCCTAGCGTTGTGGATTTTCACTGTTTGCATATACGACCTAGTCTTCAGCAAAGACTCAAGGTAGCCCATGTACAGATTTCTGAAATTCTGTCTTCTGCATAGCCCTCTTCTTTTCAGAACCTGGCCCTGCAACTTCTAGCTGCCTAAGCCTCTTGAAATCCAATCTTTGCCTCCTCAACTGAGTGAAGCTGCCAGACTCATTAGATTCTCTCTCTCTGTTTCTGCGGTCCTAAAGCTGCTTCCAGGCAGGAAACCCTGGTAGTGGTATAGGGCTCACTTCTTTTATTTCACCCATCACCCAGGGAAAACAATCCTGATTTGCCTTAGTACAATATCTAAAAAGAGATGGTTCATGTATCTTGATCCAGTTTACTAGCTGTTTATGACAAGTGGGTAAAAGCCCCTTATTACTCCATCATGTCCAGAGAGAATTCTCAATTTTTAAAGCAACATTGGCTGGGCACAGTGGCTCATGCCTGTAATCCCAACACTTTGGGAGGCTGAGGTGGGTGGATCACCTGAGATCAGGAGTTTGAGACCAGCCTCGCCAACATGGTGAAACTGTGTCTCTACTAAAAATACAAAAATTAGCCAGCCGTGGTGGCATACACCTGTAATCCCAGCTACTTAGGAGGCTGAGGCAGGAGAATTGCTTGAACCTGGGAGGCGGAGGTTGCAGTGAGCCGAGCTCATGCCATTGCACTCCAGCCCAGGCAACAAGAGCGAAACTCCATCTCAAAAAAAAAAGAAAAGCAACATTAAAGAATTAAAGATGTGTACTTGAGCAGATGATATGAATTTTTAAAAGAGCAAATTGGACAGGCACAGTGGCTTACGCCTGTAATCCCAGCACTCTGGGAGGCCGAGGCAGGTGGATCACGGTGAAACCCCGTCTCTACTGAAAAAAAAAAAATACAAAAAAATTAGCCTGGCATGGCGGCGGGCACCTGTAGTCCCAGCTACTCGGGAGGCTGAGGCAGGAGAATGGCGTGAACCTGGGAGGCAGAGCTTGCAGCGAGCCGAGATCGCGCCACTGCACTCCAACCTGGGCGACAGAGTGAGATTCTGTCTCAAAAAAAAAAAAAAAAAAAAAAAAAAAAAGAATTATACGTAGATCTATTTGTTAAACATGAACTATGAACTCTAAAAAGAAACATCTGCATATCATATCGTATAGTGGATTTTAACATTTCCATAAGGCAAAAGATCCTTAAAACTTTATAGGAGGATATTACTGTCTCCATTATGAAGAAACTCTGAAGTTAATAAATTGCCAGGTCACACAAATATCAAGTGGCAAGGCTAAGATTTCAACCCAGCTAATACTAAAAATCCTGACATTTACTACGTACCATCATGCTTCCCATTAATTTATCCCCACAAATACTATGTATATTAAGAGATTTAGTCTACCAAACTGAATTTATTAAAGTATCCTATGTTGTGCTTAGCAAGATTATTGTTAACTTATCATTCAGAATATCTGATCAGCACGCGAATAAAAAATTACCCAATTTTGGTAAATAAATGTATTATTTATTTAAATTTAAAATTGGCATTTAAAAATATTTAAAATGGCTGGAGCCTTGGACACCTTTTCACTCAAGCCAGGAGTACCCCAAGGAACACATATATTTCCTATTTCATATAGTTCAACATTATATTATGATCTGTTGTTGAGACCACTAGAATGTATGTTCCATTAAAGTTTTAGTCACAAGGTTTAGAGAAGGGGTTAGCATACAGTAGACACTCAATATACAGTGGGGAATAAAAGATCCCCATAATTTTAATTCTCCTAAAACTATAATGGTGGAGGCATATTACATCAAGATGGTGGGCTCACCCTCCTGCCCAAATCTCTTAAAATACAGTAAAAAAGAAAAAAAAGTACTGTTCTTGTGTTTCCAACAAATATGGAGTAATAAGGACAAAGTTTACCTGACTGAAACAACTAAACGACAACAAAAATATATGAAACTAGACACTCAAGACATTATACGAGTAACAAAAGACTATGAATAGTGATACATGAGAGATGCAAAACAGAGATAAACCCTATAACTACCCCAATTTACAAACTGGGTAAAGAGGCAAACAGGGAGGATCAATCAAAAACCTGGCAATCTCCCTTAGAGAGATGAGGTTAAGAGTCAAGAAGGCAAAGGTAGAATTAACAGAGAAAAGTGTCAGAGAAGAGAGCTGCAGAGAGTACTCTGGAAATTTGCAGAGTCCCTCTGAGTCTTTAGCAAAGGACTGAGCAGGGCATGTACCCGGGGAAATTACCCAAGGTCAGGGATAGAACTGCTCCAAAGAAATAAAGGGAATAGCACCCAACACCCACACAGGTCTATGAACAAGGCCTGCCCCCCAACAGCAAGAATGGAAAAGCTCATCTTTTGGCTAACACTGGTTAAAGCAACAGGGGGTCAGCAAATTATATCCTACAGATCAAATGTGGTTCAGCACCTATTTTTGTATAGCCCAAGAACTAAGAATGACTTTTACATTATTAAATGGCTGAAAAAGGTAAAAAAAAGAACATTTCATGACAATTTAAAACTACATAAAATTTAAATTATAGTATCTAAAAATAAAGTTCACAACCATGTTTATTCATTTAAATACCATTTATGGTTGCTTTTACACTACAGTAGAAGAGAGAGATAGCTGACACACAAACTGTAGAGCCCACAAAGCCTAAAATACGTACTATCTGGGTCTTTACAGAAAAATAGGTCTTGCCTTAATATGAAAAAAATAAAAACTAGACTAAACGCATATCCAGTCCCACTTAACAAAGCTTAAAAATCAAGATGCTAAATAATCAATCTCTTTCCAATCAACTTAATCATAATGCAGAACAAATATCAAGAATATCATAGGAATATAAAAATATCCAGCATCTAGCATAGTAAAATTCAGAGTTTAGTATCTACTAAAAACTTACCAGGCATTGCTAATGTACCTTCAGAACAGTAAAAAAAAAAAAAAGTTCGAGTGCTGTGACTCACACCTGTAATCCCAGCACTATGGGAGGCCTAGACAGGCAACTGCTTGAGTCCAGGAGTTTGAGACGAGTCTGGGCAACACAGTGAAACCCCGTCTCTACTAAAAATACAAAAAAATACAAAAAATATTTGTCAGGTATGGAGGTGTACGCCTGTAATAGTAACTACTCGGGAGGCTGAGGTAGGAGAATCACTTGAGTCAGGAAGGTCAAGGCTGCAGTGAGCCAAGATCACACCACTGTAGTCTAACCTGGGCAACCAGAGTGAGACACTATCTCAAAAAAAAAAAAAAAAAAAAAAAAAAAAAAAAAAATTAGGGGTAAAAAAAAAAAAGTAAAATATTACCGGGCATGCAAAGGAAGCAGAAAAATTCAACCCAAAGTGAGAAAAACAAAAACAACAAAAAAAATCAAACCTGACCCAGAAATTACTGGTAATAGAATCAGTAGAAAAAGACATGAAAAGTTCTTATATGACTATGACTATAATCCATATGTTCAAGAACCTAGAGGAAAAACTGAAAACATGTTGAGTGAGATAAGGTTAATATAAAAAAAGACCCAAACAAAAATTCTAGAAAGGGAAATTCTAAAGTCTGATACTGAATGGGATAAAAGGTAGAGAAGACAGGTTAAAAAAAAAAAAAAAAAGACTAGCGAACTTAAAAATGTAACAATGAAAACTAAACAAAATGATACAGAGGAAAAAAAACTGCCTTAGTCTAGTGAAAAAGGTATCCAATATAATGAAAATAACAGTCGTGGCATGCATCTAAAGCAGTATTTGTAGAAAAATTTATATGCTACAAATCCCAGTGGATACAGTTAAACAAAAAGGAAAAAAAATTACAAAGCTAAAAATTCATTAGAAACAAAGAAAAGTCTTAAATCTATGACCAAAGCTTTCACCTTAAAAGACAACAAGGGAGAGACTTTAAGATTGCTAACTAGAGGCCTCCTCTACTAAGAACAACCAAAATAGTGAGTAGATAATGACACTTTGAATAGATCACCCAAGAGATAGATGCCAGGAAAAGAGAGGCATGTGGCCATAGTTCCAGCTACTTGTGAGGGTGAGATGGGAGGATTACTGAGGCCAAGAGTTGGAGACCAGCCTGGGTCAAAAAGCAAGACCTTATCTCAAAAAACTAATTTTTAAAAACATTAAAAAAAACAGAACACTGGAATTCAACAGAAAAATGACAGGAAACATCTACGGCAAGGAAGGAGAAAGAAGGCAACCTGCTCAACCCCCATCAAATGGGAGCCAGGAGAAACTCCCCAATGTGTTAAAAGGAAAAGTGAGAGCTCAGCGGTCCATGTTCCCACCGTGGATTTCTGCAATTCTAGCTAGCCACGGGAGAGGGCCTCAACTCTCACAGGTCCTGAAACTAACAAAGGAAGCTGTCGGGAGATTGTATGAAGATGCAGCTCCAGGGAGGGAGCTTGTCCTGGGTTCCACAGATTCCCTGAGACCTAGGCAGCTATAGCAAGGTGCCATTTTAGAGTCCTGTCCCCAACAGACTGCCCATTGTCCTGGGGCCCAGTGCCACCAGGGCTGAGACTCAAGTGATGCATGGACTACTGCCGCCGGGGCTGAGGCACAAGCAAGGCACAGGCTACCTCTGTCAGGGTTGAAGCATGAGCAAGTGGCAGGCCACTATGGCCACAGCTGAGGCGCGAGCACCCCCAGACTGATCAGGAGCTGAGATGTGAGCAGAGCGTGTGTTCCCCACCCACCAGTCTAAGCTACTACCATAGAAGGCAGCTCCACCCTCCACAGTGGCAGGGCCCCAACACATCCCTGATGGTCCCCAAGTCAATTACTCTGCCCAGGGCCTGGGGAATGCCCCGCACCTGCCCACTACTGATTGTACCTGCACACACCAACAGGGAGCCTGAGGATAAGCCCTTCTGGCCCAGCTTCACCCCCATTCACACCATCCCAGACACACATTCTGGAAACAGGGGACTGCTCAGCCCACCACTGTTGGTATGTGAGCACACCTCCCAGCGGCCTGAGGTTGGGCCTGTCTACCCGCAGCTGCCACCACAGCTGTAACCTACCTGCAGACGCCACCTGCAGGCCTTGGGAGTGGCTGGCCCAGTCTATCACAGCCACCGCCAACACCAGTACACACTGCTCAGGACTAAGAAGGCAGTCCTGCCACTGCCATCAACCATGCCATGCTGACTGCCTAAGAGCCTGTATTAGTCCATTTTCATGTTGATTTACTGTATGAATCCATTTTCACACTGCTGATAAAGACATACCTGAGACTGGACAATTTACAAAAGAAAGGTTTATTGGACTTATAGTTCCACATGGCTAGGGAGGCTTCACAATCATGGTAGAAGGCAAGGAGGAGCAAGTCACATCTTACATGGATGGTGGCAGGCAAAGAGAGCTTGTGCAGGAAAACTACCCCTTAAAATAACTATCAACTCTCATGAGACTTAGTTATTATCATGAGGACAGCATGAGAAAGACCTGCCCTCATGTTTCAATTACCCCCACAGGGTCCCTCCCACAACACATGGTAATTCAAGATGAGATCTGGGTGGGGACACAGCCAAGCCATATCATCCTGCCCCGGCCCCTCCCAAATCTCATGTCCTCACATTTCAAAACCAAACATGCCTTCCCAACAGTCCCCCAAAGTCTTAACTCATTTCAGTATTAAGTCAGGAGTCCACAGTCCAAAGTCTCATCTGAGACAAGGCAAGTCCCTTCTGCCTATGAGTCTGTAAAATCAAAAGCAAGTTAGTTACTTCCTAGATACAATGGGGGTGCAGGAAGTTGATAAATACAGCCATTCCAAATGGGAGACACTGACCAAAACAAAGGGGCTACAGGCCTCTTGAAAGTCCGAAATCCAGTGGGACAGTCAAATCTTAAAGCTCCAAAATGACCTCCAGTGACTCCAGGTCTCATATACAGGTCACGCTGATGCAAAAGATGGGTTCCCATGGTCTTGGGCAGCTCCGCCCCTGTGGCTTTGGAGGGTATAGCCTCCTCCCTCCTGGCTGCTTTCATGGGCTAGTGTTGACTGTCTGCGGCTTTTCCAGGCACATGGTGCAAGCTCTCAGTGGATCTACCATTCTGGGATCTGGAGGATGGTGGCCCTCTTCTCACAGCTCCACTAGGCAGTGCCCCAGGTAGGGGATCTGTGTAGGGGTTTCAGCTCCACATTTCCCTTCTGCACTGCCCTAGCAGAGGTTCTCCACCCACTCCATGAGGACCCTGCCCCTGCAGCAAACTTCTCCCTGGGTATCTAGGTATTTCCATACATCTTCTGAAATCTAGGTGGAGGTTCCCAAACCTCAATTCTTGACTTCTGTGCACCCACAGGCTCAACACCAAATGGAAGTTGCCAAGGCTTGAGGCTTCCACCCTCTGAAGCAACAGCCCAAGCTGTAACTTGGCCCCTTTTAGTCATGGCTGGAGTGGCTGGGATGCAGAGCACCAAGCCCCTAGACTGCACACAGCATGGGGACTCTGGGCCAGTGCTGGGATGGGATGCCGTGAAGACCTCCGACATGCCCTGGAGACATTTTCCCCATTGTCTTGGGGATTAACATTTGGCCCCTCCTTACTTGTGCAAATTTATGCAGCAGACTTCAATTTCTCCTTAGAAAATGGGTTTTTCTTTTCTATTGTCAGGATGCAAATTTTCCAAACTTTTATGTGGTGCTTCCCTTATAAAACTGAATGCCTTTAATAGCACCCAAGTTACATCTCGAATGTTTTGCTGCTTAGAAATTTCTTCCGCCAGATACCCTAAATCATTTCTCTAAAGTTCAAAGTTCCACAAATCTCTAGGGCAGGGGAAAATGTCGCCAGTCTCTTTGCTAAAACATAACAAGAATCATCATTGTTTCAGTTCCCAGCAAGTTCCTCTTCTCCGTCTGAGACCACCTCAGCCTGGATCTTATTGTCCATATCGCTATCAGGCTTTTGGTCAAAGCCATTCATCAAGTCTCTAGGAAGTTCTAAACTTTCCTACATTTTCCTGTTTTCCTTTGAGCCCTCCAAATGTTCCAACCTCTGCCTGTTACCCAGTTCCAAAGTCGTTTCCACATTTTCAGGTATCTTTTCAGCAACACCCCACTCTACTGGTACCAAGTTACTGTATTACTCTGTTGTCATGCTGCTGATAAAGACACACCCAAGACTGGGCAATTTACAAAAGAAAGAGGTTTATTGCATTTGCAGTTCCACATGGCTGGGGAGGCTTCACAATCATGGCAGAAGGCAAGGAGGAGCAACTCACACACTATGTGGATGGTGGCAGGCAGAGAGAGCTTGTGCAGGGAAACTCCCCCTTATAGTAACCATCAGATCTCATGAGACTTACTCATTATCACGAGGACAGCACCAGAAAGACCTGCCCCCATGATTCAATTACCTCCCACCAAGTCCCTCCCACAACACATGGGAATTCAAGATGAGATTTGGGTGGGGACACAGCCAAACCATATCCAAGCCCAAGAACCCACCCCCACTCTCCCAGCCCATGCTGCCCTACTGGCATCTGAGTAGGCCAGCTGGAGGCCCAAGAATCGGCCTGTCTGTACCTGGCTAACACTGGTGCTGGTGTACGTCACCCTGGGACCAAAGACAGGTATGCTCAGCCCATAAATCCCACCACTGGGGACAGAAGACTAGCCCAGCTAGCAACCCAGTCCCCAGGAACACTTCACCACAGCCTCTACTAATAACCAGACCCTAAGCTGTCAAGGACAAAACAGGTACCCCTGACGTTGTTTAGAGCCAAAGAAATCATACAGAGATTACATTATCATATATGCTCAGAATCTCAGCAGAAACTTTACCGGCCAGGAGAGAATGTAATGACATATTCAAAGGTCTGAAAAAAAAAAAAAACTGCCAATCAAGATACTATACCTACCAAAATTACCCTTTGTAAGTGAGAAAAATCTTTCCCTGACAAGCAAAAGTTAAGAAAATTCATCACCATTAAAGGGAATTCATTACCATTAGACCAGACCTACAAGAAATGCTCAAAGGAGTACTAAACCTGGAAGTCAAAGGATGATATTTACCATTGTGAAAACACACAAAAGTATAAAATTCATGGGTAAACATACAAATGAGGAAGAGAAAGGACTCAAAAGGTACCACGACATTAAAACCTGTAAATCACAAAGATAAACAAGAAAAAGAAAAGAAGAAAGAAATACATACAACAAGCAGAAAACAACAATATGACAGGAACAAAACATCACATATCAATAATAACCTTGAATGTAAATGAATCTGTCTCCACTTGAAAGATACAAACTGGCTGAATGGATAAAGAAACATGATCTGGCCAGGTGCAGTGGCTCACGCCTGTAATCCCAGCACTTTAAGAGGCCAAGGTGAGAGGATCACTTTAGGTCAGGAGTTCGAAACCAGCCTTGTCTACATAGCAAGCCCTCATCTCTACAAAAGAAAAAAATTTAAAATTAGCCAGGCGTGGTGGCCTGCACCTGTAGTCTCAGCTACTCAGGAGGCTAAGGCAGAAGATTGCTTAAGTCCAGGAATTTAAGGCTGCAGTAAGCCGTGATCATGCCACTGTACTTCCAGCCTGGGTGACAGGAGAGATCTTCCCTCAAAAAAAAAGAAAAAACAAGAAATATGATCCAACTATATGATGCCTAGAAAAAACACTTCACCAGTAAAGACACATATAGACTAAAAGAGGTGGAAAGATATTCCACACAGATGAAAACCAAAAGTGAGCAGAAGTAGCTAAACATATATCAGATATGGATGTGAGGGTGATCTGGCTGCGACATCTGTCACTCCACTGATCGCCAGGATTGATTCAGTTGATCTGGCTGGCTAGGCAGGTATCCCCTACCTCCCTCACTGGCTCCATGTGCGTCCCTCCAGAAGCTGGGCACTTGGTCGAAGAAGACAACCATCCCCAATAGAGGAGGACCGGTCTTCCATCAAGGGTGTAAGAGTAGCTGCGCTCTCCTGATAGAACCTCCAAACAAGCTCTCAGGGGTAGCTATACATAAAAACAACTTTAAGTCAAAAAAGGTAATAAAAAAAAAGATGATGAAGGTCATTATACAATGATAAAGGGATGAATCCAGCAAAAGGATATAACAATTCTAAACATATATGCACTCAACACTGGAGCACACAAGTTCACAAAGAAAATATTACTAGATCTAAACAGAGAGACAGACTCCAGTATAATAACAGTGAGGGACTTCAACATTCCACTGTTGAAGGGGATAAGACAGATTCTCTAGACAGAAAATCAACAAACATGGATTTAAAAGGGACTTTGCACCAAATGGACCTTACAGATACATACCTACTGAACATTCTAACTAACTGCACAATACCTTCTTCTCATCAGCACGTGGAACATCTTCCAGGAAGTGTTAGTCCACAAAAGAAGTCTCAATTAATTTTAAGAAATCGAAATCATCTAAGTATCTTCTCAGTCCACAATGGAATAAAATGAGAAACAAATACCAAGAGGAACTTTAGAAACCATACAAATACATGGGGCCAGGCTCTGGTGGCTCATGCCTGTAATCCCCGCACTTTGCAAGGACAAGGTGGGAGGATTACTTGAGCCCAGGAGTTCAAGACAAGCCCGGGCAAAATAGTGAAACCCTGTCTATAAATAAAAAATAAATAAATAAAAGATTAAAAAAAAACATACAAACACATGGAAATCAAACATGTTCCTGAACAACCACCGGGTCAATGAAGTAAGATGGAGGTCAAAAACTTCCTTGAAACAAATTATCAATCTCTTCATGATAAAAACTCTCAACAAACTAGGCATAGAAGGAATATACCTCAAAATAACAAAGCCCATAGATAACAAACCCACAGCTAACATCATACTGAATATGTACAAGTTGAAAAACTTTCCTCTAAGAACTGAAACAAGAAAGACAAGGATGAATACTTTCAGCACTCCTAAATCAACATAGTACTGGAAGTCCTAGCTAAAGCAGTAAGGCAAGAGAAAGAAAGGAAAGGTATCCAAATTGGAAAGAAGGAGGTCAAACTTTCCCTCTCTGCAGATGATATGACCCTGTAATTAGAAAAACCTAAAGATTTTACCAAATACCTCTTAGAACATTCAGTAATGCCGCAAGAGACAAAAATCAACATATAAAAATCAGTAGCATTTTTATACACCAATAACGCAAGAGCGAAAAAGGAATCAAGAAGGCAATCCCATTTGCAATAACTACAAAAAAAAATGAAATACCTACAAATACATTTAAACAAGAAGGTAAAAGATCTCTACAAGCAAAACTATAAAACACTGACTGAAAGAAACTGAAGAGGACAAAAACAAATGGAAAGACATCACATGTTCATTGATTAAAAGAATATCAATAAAATGACCATACTGCTCAAAGCAATCTACAGATTCAATGCAATTCCTATGAAAATACTAAGATCAGTTTTCATAGAACTAGAAAACACAATGCTGAAATCACATGAAACAAACAAAAAAACCCTGCAGAACAGCCAAAGCAATCCTGAGCAAAAGGATCCAAACAGAGAGACAGCTGTCAACAAAGCTGGGGGCATCACACTACCCAACTTAAAAATATATTACAAGCTACAGTAACCAAAACATTTCAGTATTGGTATAAAATCAGACACACAGACCAATGAAACAGAATAGAGAACTCAGAAATAAATATATTTACCAGCCAACTGATCTTAGACAAAGCTGTCAAGAACCTACACTGGGGAAAGGACACCCTCTCAAATAAGTGGTGCTGAAATAACTGGAAAAGCATATGCAGAAGAATAAAACTGGACCTCTATTTCTCATCAAACACAAAAATCAAATTAAGATGAATTAACAACTTAAACATTATTTGTAGAAAACATAGGGAAAACTCTTCAGGACACTGACCTAGGCAAATATATTAAAGCTAAGAAGAGCTCTGGTAGAATTCGGCTGTGAATCCATCTGGTCCTGGACTTTTTTTGGTTAGCAGGCTATTAATCACTGCCTCAATTTCAGAACTTGTTATTGGTTTCCTCAGGGATTCGACTTTTCCTGGTTTAGAGGTGTATGTGTCCAGGAATTTATCCATTTCTTCTAGAATTTCTAGTTTATTTGCGTAGAGGCGTTTATAGCATTCTCTGATGGTAGTTTGTATTTCTGTGGGATCAGCAGTGATATCCCCTATATCGTTTCTTCTTGTGTCTATTTGATTCTTCTCTCTTTTCTTTTTTATTAGTATTCCAAAAAATAGGAAAAGAGGGAATCCTCCCTAACGCATTTTATGAGGCCAGCACCACCCTGATAGCAAAACCTGGCAGAGACACAACAAAAAAAGAAAATTTCAGGCCAATATCCCTGATGAACATCAATGTGAAAATCCTCAATACAATATTGGCAAACCAAATCCAGCAGCACATCAAAAAGCTTATCTACCATGATCAAGTCAACTTCATCCCTGGGATGCAAGGCTGGTTCAACATACACAAGTCAATAAACGTAATTCATCACATAAACAGAACCAATGACAAAAATTACATGATTATCTCAATAGATGCAGAAAAGGCCTTTGACAAAATTGAACAGCCTTTCATGCTAAAAAATCTCAATAAACTAGATATCGATGGAAACATATCTCAAAATAATAGCTATTTATGACAAACCCACAGCCAGTATCGTACTGAACAGGCAAAAACTGGAAGCATTCTCTTTGAAAACTGGCAGAAGACAAGGATGCCCTCTCTCACCACTCCTATTCAACATAGTATTGGAAGTTCTGGCTAGGGCAATCAGGCAACAGAAAGAAAGAAAGGGTATTCAGATAGGAAGAGAAGAAGTCAAATTGTCTCTGTTTGCAAATAACATGATTATACATTTAGAAAATCCCATCGTCTCAATCCAAAATCTCCTTAAGCTAATAAGCAACTTCGACAAAGTCTCAGGCTATAAAATCAATGTGCAAAAATCACAAGCATTCCTATACACCAATAACAGACAAACTGAGAGCCAAATCATGAGTGAACTCCCATTCAAAATTGCTACAAAGAGAATAAAATACCTAAGAATCCAAGTTACAAAGGATGTGAAGGACCTCTTCAAGGAGAACTACAAACTACTGCTCAAGGCAATAAGAGAGGACACAAACAAATGGAAAAACATTCTATGCTCATGGATAGGAAGAATCAATACCGTGAAAATGGCCATACTGCCAAAAGTAATTTATAGATTCAATGCTATCCCCATCAAGCTACCGCTGACTTTCTTCACAGAATTGGAAAAAAACTAATTTAAACTTCATATGGAACCAAAAAAGAGCCTGCATAGCCAAGACAATCCTGGGCAAGAAGAACAAAGCTGGAGGCATCAAGCTACCTGACTTCTAACTATACTACAAGGCTAGAGTAACCACAACAGCATTGGTACTGGTACCAAAACAGATATATAGTCCAATGGAGCAAAACAGAGGCCTCAGAAATAACACCACACATCTACAACCATATGATTTTTGACAAACCTGACACAAACAAGTAATGGGGAAAAGATCCCCTATTTAATAAACGGTGTTGGGAAAACTGGCTAGCCATATGCAGAAAACTGAAACTGGACTCCTTCCTTAAACCTTACACAAAAATCAACTCAAGATGGATCAAAGACTTAAATGTGAGACCTAGGACCATAAAAATCCTAGAAGAAAATCTGGCCAATACCATCCAGGACATAGGCATGGGCAAAGACTTCATGTCTAAAACACTAAAAGCAATGGCAACAAAAGCCAAAATTGACAAACGGAATCTAATTAAACTAAAGAGCTTCTTCACAGCAAAAGAAACTATCATCAGAGTGAACAGGCAACCCATAGAATGAGAAAAAATTTTTGCAATCTATCCATCTGACAAACGGCTAATATCCAGAATCTACAACAAACTTAAACAAATTTACAAGAAAAAAACAACCCCATCAAAAAGTGGGCAAGGGATATGAACAGACACTTCTCAAAAGAAGACATTTATGCAGCCACAGACATGAAAAAATTCTCATCATCACTGGTCATTAGGCAAATGCAAATCAAAACCACAATGAGATACCATCTCACGCCAGTTAGAATGGCAATCATTAAAAAGTCAGGAAACAACAGATGCTGGAGAGGATGTGGAGAAAATAGGAATGCTTTTACACTGTTGGTGGGAGTGTAAATTAGTTCAAACATTGTGGAAGACAGTGTGGCGATTCCTTAAGGGTCTAGAACTAGAAATACCATTTGACCCAGCGATCCCATTACTGGGGTACATACCCAAAGGATTATAAATCATTCTACTATAAAGACACATGAACACGTATGTTTACTGCAGCATAAATCACAATACAAACACTTGGAACCAACCCAAATGTCCATCAATGATAGGCTGGATAAAGAAAATGTGGCACACAGGCCGGAAGCAGTGGCTCATGCCTGTAATCCTAGCACTTTGGGAGGCCAAGGTGGGTGGATCAACTGACGTCAGGAGCTCGAGATCAGCCTGGCCAACTTGGTGAAACCCCGTCTCTACTAAAAATACAAAATTTAGCCAGGCACACACACGCCTATAATCCCAGCTCCTTGGAAGGCTGAGGAAGGAGAATTGCTTGAACCTGGGAGGTGGAGGTTGCAGTGAGCCGAGATCATGCCACTGCACTCTAGTCTGCATGACAGGAACGAGACTCCATCTTAAAAAAAAAAAAAAAAAAAAAAAAAAAAAAAAAAAAAAAAAGGCACATATACACCATGGAATACTATATAGCCATAAAAAAGGATGAGTTCATGTCTTTTGCAGGGACATGGATGAAGCTGGAAACTATCACTCTCAGCAAACTATCACAAGAACAGAAAACCAAACACCACACATTCTCACTCAGAAGTGGGAGTTGAACAATGAACACATGGACACAGGGAGGCAAACATCACACAACAGGGCTTGTCGGGAGGTGGGGGGATAGGGGAGGGATAACATTAGGAGACATACCTAATGTAGGTGACGGGTTGATGGCACGTGTATACCTATGTAATGAAACTGCACGTTCTGCATATGTACCCCAAAACTTAAAGTATAATTAAAAAAAAAAAAGAAAAAAAAGAGCCCAAAAGCCTTGAACAAAAACAAAAATAAACAAATGGGACTATATTAAATTAAAAAGCTACACGCAGAAAAATAAGCAGTCAACAGTGTGAAGACACAACCTCTTGAATGGGGGAAAATATTTACAAACTGCTCATATGACAGAGGAATGATATCTAGAATATACAAGAAACTCAAACTAAATAGTAAAAAAATAATAATAATAAAGACTAAAAATAAATTCCATTAGAAAATGGGTAGGCAGGGTGCAGTGGCTCACGCTTGTAATCCAAGCACTTTGGGAATATGAGGCGGGAGGATCACTGGAGCCCAGGAATCTGAGACCAGCTTGCAACATGGCAAAACTCCATCTCTATAAAAAATACAAAAATTAGCCAGGTGTGGTGGCATGTGCCTATAGCCCCAGCTACTCAGGAAGTGAAAGGATCGCTTGAGATCAGGAGAGGTCGAGGCTGCAGTGAGCCATAATCTTGTCTATGCACTTCAGCCTGGGTGACAGAGTGAGACCCTGTCTCCAAAAAAAAAAAAAAAAAGCAAAGGATATGAATAGACAATATTGTGTAACCATCACCACTACATAATTACAAAATATTTCCATTAACCCAGAAGGAAATCTTGTCCTTTCAAATTTCACCACCCCAATCTCGGGCAGCCATTAATTTATTTCCTGTCTCTATGAATTTGCCTATTCTGAATTTGTCATGTAAATGGAATCACACTCAAAGAAAAGAAAAGCTGGTTGTTTGAAAAGATTAATAAAATTGATAAACCTTTAACTAGACTGATGAAGAAAAATAGAAGACTCAAGTTTCCCAAGTCAGAAATGCAAGCAGGGATAGTACTAACAACCTTACATAAATAAAAAGATTATAAAAGAATACTATGAAAATTGCATGCCAACAAATTAGATAACCTGGATGAAATTATCAACTTCACTGAAACAAACTACCAAAATGTACTCAAGAGGAAACAGAAAATGTGAATATCCCTGTACAGAGTAAAGAGACTGAGTCACAAATCAGCTTTCCCACAAAGCACTGCAGCTACGTGGGAGGCTAATGTGTGAGGATCACTTTAGATCAGGAATTTAAGGCCAAAGTGCCCTACGATTGCTCCCGTGAATAGCCACTGCACTCCATCCAACCTGGGTGACGTGGCAAGACCCTATTCTCTAAAAATAAATAAATAAATAAAAATAAAGTTTAGGAAAAATTTGGCTGTGGTAGGGCGTAGTGGCTCATACCTGTAATCCCAGCACTTTGGGAGGCCGATGTGGGTGGATCACTTGAGGTCAGGAGTTGGAGACCAGCCTGACCAACATGGTGAAACCCCGCCTCTACTAAAAATACAAAACTTAGCCAGGTGTATTGGCACACACCTGTAATCCCAGCTTTGCGGGAGGCTGAGGCAGGAGAATCATTTGAACCCGGGAGGCAGAGGTTGCAGTGAGCTGAGATCACACCACTGCACTGCAGCCTGGGCAACAAAACAAGAACCTGTCTCAAAAAAAAAGAAAAGAAAAAAGTATTTTCCACAAAGAAAGCCCAGTACCAGATGGCTTCACTAATTCTACCAAACATTTATAAAAGAATTAACACCAGCTGGGTGTGGCAGCACATGCCTGTCATCTCAGCACTTTGGAAGGGAGAGGATCACTTGAGGTCAAGAGTATGAGACCAGCCTGGGCAACACAGCAAGACACTATCTCTACAAAACACTCAAAATTAGCTAGGCTTGGTGGCAAACACCTGTACTCCCAGCTACACAACAGGCTGAGATGGGAAGACAGCTTGAGCCCAAGACTTCAAGGCTGAAGGGAGGTATGATTGCACCACTGCACTCCAGCTTGGGCTACAGTGAGACTCTGTCTCTTCAATTAGCTGAGTGTGATGGTGCACCCTAAGTTCTCAGGAAGCTGAGGCAAGAGGACTGCTTAAGCCCACTAGGTCAAGGTGGCAGTGAGCCATAATCGCACTATCGCACTCCAACCTGGGTAACAGAGCCAGGCCTTCTCTCTCTCTCTCAAAAAAAAAAAGAATTAATTCCAATCCTTCTCAAACTCCTCCAAAACACAGAAGAGGATAGAACACTTCCCACACTTCCCAATTCATTTTATAAGGCCAGGATTACCTTGTATATATAAGAATACATGGTTGGGGCTGGGCTCAGTGGCTTCCACCTGTAATCCCAGCACTTTGGGACACCAAGGTGGCTGGATCACCTGAGGTCAGGAGTTTTGAGACCAGCCTGGTCAACATGGTGAAACCCCAACTCTACTAAAGATACAAAAGTAGCCGGGTGTGGTGGCACATGCCTGTAGTCCCAGCTACTCGGGAGTTTGAGACAGGAGAATCACTTGAACCCAGGAGGCGGAGGCTGCAATAAGCTGAGAGCTTGCCACTGCACTCCAGCCTGGGCAAAACAGAGCAAGACTCCGTCTCAAAAAAAGAAGAAATACATATTCGATCTTTGCTCCACAGTTCCTGACACAGAGCTCCTAAAATCCTTGTAAATTCCTGAGTGATAGGGCACTAGCAGCATCTTTTGTTCTAATATGTGCTCTTTGGACCTGGTTCCTGACACAGAGCTCCTAAATTCCTTGCAATTTCCTGAGCAATGGGGTAACATGCGTGTCTACACAGAGCTCTTAAATCCCGTGGAATTTCCTGGGTGATAGAAGCCTCTTTTGTTCTAATGAGGCAACTCTTGGTGGGCTCCTGGAATCTTCAGAATGAGAACTGGTCACCAGGAAGACCAAGCCATGATTACATGCCTAGAGCCTGGAACTTTCAGCCCCATCCACTTCCTCCAGAGAGCGAAGAGAGTCTGGAGACTGGGTTAACAATCAATCATGCCTACATGATGAAACCTCCATTAAAAAAAAATCCCTAAACTGGCTGGGCATGGTAGCTCATGACTGTAATCCCAGTACTTTGGGAGGCTGAGGCAGGAGGACCGCTTGAGCCTAGGAATGCAAGAACAGCCTGGGCAACAGAGAGAGACCCCATTTCTATAAAATAATAATAATAATAATCCCTAAACTAGGATTTAGACAGCTTCTGAGTTGGTGAATGCATTCATGTGCTGGGGGACAGAAGCGCCTGCACTTGGGACTCTTCCAGATCTTGTTTACCCAGCGTACCTCTTCATCTGGCTGCTCGTTTATAACCTCCATAATAAAGCTGAAACAGAAGTAAAGTGTTTCCCTGAGTTTTGTGAGCCAATACAGTAGGTTATTGAACCTAAGAAGGAAGTTGTGAGAACCCCCAATTTGTAGTCAAGTCAGACAGAAGTGTGGGGACCCTTGGAACCCAATACTTGCAACTGATGTCTAAAGTGGGAAGGCAGTCTTGTGGGTCTGAGTCTTTAATTTGTGGGACTGTGGTAACTCTAGGTAGTAAGTGTCAGAATCAAATTAAATTTTAATACACCCACTTGGTGTGTGCAGAGAAATGGAAAATTGCTTGGTGTGGAAAAACCACAAATTTGGTGTCAGAGTATTCTGTGGATAGAAGGAACAAATTTTCATTTACTTTAATACTGAAACCATTTAATTAATTAATTTTTTTTTTGAGACAGAGTTTTACTCTTATTGCTCAGGCTGGAATGCAATGGCGCGATCTCAGCCTACTGCAATCTCCGCCTCCTGGGTTCAAGCGATTCTCCTGCCTCAGCCTCCCAAGTAGCTGGGATTACAGGCACGCACCAGCACGCCTGGCTAATTTTGTATTTTTAGTAGAGACAGGGTTTCACCATGTTGGCATGTTGGCCAGGCTGGTCTCGAACTCCTGACCTCAGGTGATCCATCCGCCTTGGCCTCCCAAAGTGCTAGGATTACAGGAGTGAGCCACCAAAACCATTTAAAAGATATCACAAGAAAAAAACTTTCAACAATGTACTAGCAAACTATGATATATAGCGCCTCTCCAGTGCCTCTCACTCCAGCCTGGGTGACAGAGTGAGGCCTCATCTCTAAAAAACAAACAAACAAAAACCTAGCAAACTGAATTCAGCAACATATGAAAGACATTATATACTATGAACAAATGGGACGGGATAGGGGCTAGCCATGCCAGAAGGACCTATTGTGAGATTAGAGGGTAGGGGCTTTATGCCACGTAGTTTCAGCCCAACCTCCAGGGACAGGATAGGAACTAGAGAGTGAGTTGTTTGTTTTGAAAGAGGGTCTCACTTTGTTCCCCAGGCTGGAGTGCAGTGGCACAACCATGGCTCACTGGAGCCTCCACCTCCTGGGCTCAAGTGATCCTCCCGCCTCAGTCCCCCAAGTAACCAGGACTACAGTTGCATGTCACCAAACCCAGCTAATTTTTTTATTTTTTGTAGAGACAGGTTTCAACATGTTGCCCAGGCTAGTCTTGAATTCCTGAGCTCAAGCGATTCACCCACCTCGGCCTCCCAAAGTGCTGGGATTACAGGCATGAGCCACTGTGCCTAGTCAAGAGTGAGTTCTATCACAAAACAAATACCCTAATAAAAACTGTTATGTTGGCTGGGCATAGTGGCTCATGCCTGTAATCCCAGCACTTTGGGAGGCCAAGGCGGGTGGATCACTTGAGGTCAGGAGTTCCAGACCAGCCTGGCCAACATGGTGAAACCCTGTCTCTACTAAAAATACAAAAATTAGCCGGGCATGGTGGTGCGCACCTGTAATCCCAGGTACACAGGAGGCTGAGGCAGGAGAATTGCTTAAACCTGAAGGCGGAGGTTGCAGTGAGCCAAGAGCACGCTACTGCACTCCAGTGTGTGCAACAGGGTGAGACTTCATCTCAAAAAAAAGCTGTTATGCATGGCCAAGTGTGGTGGCTCACACCTATAATCCTAGCGCTTTGGGAGGCCAAGGCAGGAGGATCATTTGAAGCCAGAAATTCAAGATCAGCCTGAGCAACATAGTGAGACCCCATCTCTAGAAAAATATAACTAAATTAACTGGGCATGGTAACATGTGCCTGTAGTCCCCCCTACTTGGCAGGAGGATCGCTTGAGCCCAGGAGCTCAGGGCTGCAGTGGGCCATGTTGCACCACTGTACTGCAGCCTGGGCAACAGAGCAACACCCTGCCTGAAAAGAGAAACAAAAAACTGTCATACTGAGCAGTTTCCTGACTGGTGAACACAATGATGTGCTGGGAAGGTGACATGCCCTGATTCTACAGGGAGAGTGCACAGAAGCTCTGCATCCAGGACCCTTCCAGACCTTGCCCTATGGGTCTTTTCATCTGGCTGGTCTTATGTTGTATCCTTTATAATAAAGCCATAACTGTAAATAAAGCACTTTCTTGAGTTCTGTGAGTCATTCCGGTGAATTACAGAACCTGAGGTGGGTTATGGGAAATCCTCAGATTTGTAGCCTGTCGGGTAGAAGGGCAGGTAGCATGGGGACCCCACCTATAGCTGGCATGTGAAATGGGGACAGTCTTGTTGGTGACATTCTACCTTGTAAAATGATGGAACCATCCTTCACTAAATAAATGGCATGAGACCAGCCTTTACTTATAGCTCAAATAATATTACAGGTCTATATAAGCACATGGTGTCTAATAGTTGGAGAGCCAGCCACGGTGGCTCACGCCTGTAATCCCAGAACTTTGGGAGGCCAAAGTGGGTGGATCACTTGAGCCCAGAAGTTTAAGACCAGCCTGGGAAACACAGTGAGACTCCATCTCTAGAAAAAAAAAATTAGCTGAGTATGGTGACACGTTCCTGTGGTCCCAGCTACTCAAGAGGCTGAGGTGGAAGGATAGCTTGAGCTCAGGTCAAGGCTGCAGTAAGCCGTGATTCCACCACTATACTCCAGCCGGGGTAACAGAGCAAGACCTTGTCTCAAAAAAGGCTGGATAAAGAGTTGTTCCTCAGATGGAATTCAAGTCAAATTATATTTCTTCTAGACAATTTTTCAAGATCAATCAGGAATCTCTTTACCAACTTTCAACCCCCACAAACACACATATCACTTATGTGTACTTCTCATCTACAATGAACTAAATCCACACTATATATTAAACATGTGTTTATTTATCTAGAGTGGTATTTCAAGTTATTGGAAGTTCCCGTTTGTTTCTTTGTGGGGAGAAAGGAACAAAAAGGATGTCCAATAAGTATCAAATCTCTGTACCTAGCAGAAAAAAGCAATCTCTAAAATTACAACAACCTTTTTTTTGCAAATAAAAATGACAGAATGTCTTGGCAGGGCACAGGCTCGTGCCTGTACTCCCCATGCTTTGGAGGCTGAGGTGGGTGGATCACCTGAGGTCAGGAGTTCGAGACCAGCCCGGCCTACATGGTGAAACCCTGTCTCTACTAAAATACAAAACTTAGCCAGGCGTGGTGGCATGCTGAGGCAGGAGAATTGCTTGAACCCAGGAGGCAGAGGTTGCAATGAGCCAAGATCACACCACTACACTCCAGCCTGGGGGAGAAAGCGAGACTCCATCTCAAAAAAAGAAAAAAGAAAAAAAAAGAAAAGACAGATTATCTCACTAAAGAAAACTTTACCTATAAGACAAAACAATTGGGTACAAATGCCAAGATAGTTAATTAAAGTTAATTTTAATTACCTTAAGTACATAAATAAGGCACTCTAAAAAAATTCTTCTTAAAAGCATAAATGTTAAATGCATACTTAACGTTTATATAGCATATATATACATGTATGTAACAACTTAATTCACAAAAACAAGAATTGCAAAATATGATATATTGCTATAATCTGTTTATTCAAGTAAGCTTTTAGAAAGCTATGAAATTAACATGGTAGTGCTTCAAATAGTACTTATATGTAAGTTACCAGACTTCTGATTGTTTAAAACTAGAAAGTCACATATTTTCCCTATAAACAAACGCTGGGTCTTTTCAGCTGTTTCCCTCCTCAGTAAATGGAACTACTAACTACCCACTCTCCAAGCCAGAAGTCTGGAAATTAATACTATTCCTACTCAAAACACTTTGCATCAATCCATTAACTAAGTCCTTATCTATTCTACCTGCAACTTCTCTTTCTCAGATCTAGCCTTTTCTCTCACTCCCTATGGCCACTTCCCCAACTTTCTCACAATAGGAATGTAATATTATAACAACCTCCAACTGGTTTCCCTATCACCACCCCAAAGTGCCCACTGCCTTTCCAACACCCCAAAAGAATTGTTTCAGAAATGAGAATTTCAGGTCACCCCTGGTGAAGATCATATAAATCCATTCAGAGAAACTGGGGTGGGGCTCTTAGAAAAAAAAAAAGGTAAATAACAGAAACGGAATAATGACTTTTCCCTCATGGTGTCTTGGGAAAGATAAATAAAAAATTGAATTTTTAACTATACTCAGAGGATTCAAATAAAAAGTAATAAGCTTAGAAGAGGTTAATAACATATGCTTTTCATGCAGTTAAGACATGGTATAACCAAATAACCCAAAAAATGAGTTGAGTGATTATCCAAAGATTTTCCATCTCAGGCATCTCAGGCACTATTATAAAACCCAGCCTGGGCTACATAGCAACACCCATCTCTATAAAAAAAGATTTTTTTTTTTTTAACTAGCCAGGTGTAGGGGCACAAGTAGTGCTAGCTACTTGGGAGGCTGAGGCAGGAAGATCACTTGAGTCCAGGAGTTCTGTGTTGCAGTGAGCTATGACTGCACCACTGCACTGCAGTCTGGGCAATAGAGCAAGACCCTCTCTCTAAATAAAGAGAAAGAAAGAAAGGAAGAAATGAAAGACCAAAGATGGGGAGGACCCAGAAGGAAACACCTGAGTCATTAAAAAAACAAAAATTAAATGAGTGAAAAAACAAGGGAGGAGGGGGTGAGAATTCAGTAATGTATATCTTTACAAGCTATATCCAAAAGAAAAAAGTTATACCCTGAAAAATGTCTAGCAAACAAGGGATGAAGAGAAAATCTAAAAATATTTTGAAATACATGACACATTCATTCAGCTAACATTTGAGTATCTACTATATGCTAAATACTAGGCTAGAAATAGAGTGAATAAGAGAAAATTAATTCCTTATAGAATTTATTGTCAGTCACTGGCATGTTACCTTTATTTAATGTGCTACATTTTTACTTTAAAGAAGGGAAAAATACATGCAAATCATTTATAACTCCCAATCTAATTTTCTCATATGGTCTTAAGTTCCTCAACCACAAACCTTATCAGAAACCTAATGTATACAGTTAGGTTACAATTTCCCATACATGCCACATTATCAGAAACTTCTGTCTTTTCCCATGCCGTTCCCTGCCTCGAATGCTTTTCCAACTTTTACTCAACCATTCAAATTTCCATAATGCCTACAGTTATGTTATGATTTCCCCTGGCCAAAATTAGGTACTTGCTCATTTATATTCCCAAAGCACCCTAGAATTACTCTAAACAGTAGTTATACTTTGTATTATAACTGCCTGCATAACTATATTCATGCAAACAAGATCAAGCAAACATGATACAAATATCTGCTGTCTACAAGAAACAAAATTTAGAATCAAAGACACAAGGAGGTTAAAAGGATGGAAAGGAACACACCATGCAAAGTAAACAAAAGACCATGCAAAGTAAACGAAAGACAGATGAAGTGGCTATGCTAATACCAGACAAAACAGACTTTAATCTGAGCATAAATATAGAGTTTAAAACAAAATTTGAAGTATTAGGAAAAATAGGTAAGAACAGACATTCCTGATTACACATTAAAATCACTGATGCCAGGGCCTCAATCCCCAGAGATTCTGATTTCAATGGAGCATTGTTAAGGCCTAGGCATGAGTATTTTTCAGAGGGATTCAAGGGCTTCTAATGCACAGCCCGTAGTTAATGACACACGATTATCATAAGGGCTGAAAAACACTGAACTACAAGGAAAAGACAGTTGCTTTAATTAGGGTAAATGGAAGTCATGGCAGTACAGGAACACACCCTGGAGGCATTTGATAACACAATGCACAAAACTTGTATAGGTACAGGAGACGAAGTCTAATTTCCAAAATATTCAAGAAGAAAATTATTTCGTCGAGCCAATCCCATTAAAAAAATTTTTTAAATAAAAAAATTAGGCTGGGTGCGGTGGCTCACACCTGTAATCCCAGCACTTTGGGAGGCCAAGGCAGGCGAATCACTTGAGGTCAGGAGTTCAAGACCAGCCTGGACAACATGGTGAAACCCTGTCTCTATTAAAAATACAAAAATTAGCTGGGCATGATGGTGCGTGCCTGTACTCCCAGCTATTCAGGAGGCTGAGGCAGGAGAATCACTTGAACCCAAGGTGGAGGTTGCAGTGAGCCGAGATCATGCCACTGCACTGCAGCCTGGGCAACAGAGAAAGACTCTGTCTAAAAAAACAAACAAACAAACAAAAACACAACAACAGCAAGAAAATTATTTCAAAGTGTGAGGAAGACTAGGATTTTCCCAAGCAATGATGAAAAGCTGGTTAAGATTCATGTTCAAATATCAAGGCATTCAACTGTACGTATGACTTGTAGTTCTTTGGTTTCAATATATTTTAGTATCCCATTCAAATATTATACCTTTTTTTTTTTTTTTTTTTTTTTTGAGACGGAGTCTCGCTCTGTCGCCCAGGCTGGAGTGCAGTGGCGGGATCTCGGCTCACTGCAAGCTCCGCCTCCCGGGTTCACGCCATTCTCCTGCCTCAGCCTCCCGAGTAGCTGGGACTACAGGCGCCCGCCACTACGCCCGGCTAATTTTTTGTATTTTTAGTAGAGACGGGGTTTCACCGTGTTAACCGGGATGGTCTCGATCTCCTGACCTCGTGATCCGCCCACCTCGGCCTCCCAAAGTGCTGGGATTACAGGCGTGAGCCACCGCGCCCGGCCTCAAATATTATACCTTTTAAAAATAATGTTCATGCTAATAAAATTAAAACTTTTAAAGTAAAAAGAGGTGAGTGGGGAAATATGCTACGTTATCTGACTCAGAAGCCTAAGTGTTCAGATCATTGCTTAGAGTTCAGACCACAACCATAGTACTGTGGATCACACTACAATCATTTTAAGAGCATACCTGTGGGGACAAAACACTGGTTAAGAGTTGGGCTCTGAAGCCAGACTTACCCAGTTTTAAATTCCCACAGCATTACAAGTATCTTTTTATCAAAATTTTCTCCAACCCTTTAACACTGTGTGACTTCAGGCAAGTTACTTTACCTTTCTAAATAGTTTCCTTATCTATAAAATGAAAATAATGACACTATAAATAGAGTGGCTCTAAGGATTAAATAAGATAATCTTGGTAGATGACTTTATCATGGAGTCTGGCTCAACAGTAAGCTCTGATAATTACAACAGTACTACTACAGGCATTTAACCTATAAAATTATGGTAAAGCATGCATACTACAAAGCCCCTTATTTTTGCATTTTTGTAATCTATTTTTCTACGAAAGATAAGAATGGAGAAGATAATTAAGGTTTAAAGGGGAAGTCCAAAATACAGGAAAATAGGACACTAAAGGAGTGAGATATAGTTATCATGGTGAATACAACTAGGTAATAATAGAAGATAGGGTATAAAATGAAAAGGCCATGAGGCAAAAAGATAGCAAGGAGAAACCAGTTGACCACAGTCAAAATTCATAGGACAAAAAACCTCTAAAATGAGGATTATGGAATGTCTGAATTCAGATGCCAGACCAAGTTAGTGCTGCTGTAGATGGTTTATTTATGGTTCTGATAAACTGGAGGTTGGCAAGACTTTAATGGGAATATAAAGTAAGCTCCATTATACTTCTGATTAATCAAAGTTTTCCAATATTACCATATTGCTATATCCCCAAACTCCAAATACCAAAAGCAAGTTAGAATGGATTATTTGGAATAACTCATTCTACCTAATTTTCTTTTCCTAAAACACTTTTAACATCTAAACATTGAAGAAGTGGCAATTATATTTATTTGCAGAGCCAACTGTGAAGATGCTAAGGACAAAAGGAAAAGAGTAAGTATCAAACTCCCTGAGATATCTAGCATAACACATGCCTAAGCTTCATAACCAGTACTGCACTTTTGCTGCAAAATACACTGATGACCAAGGCATTTAATCCCACTTACTAGTAAGCTATTATCTAGTACATTCTTTCCCAGTCCTGTGTCCTCTAAGTAACCTAAGTAAATCTTTTAAGTTCTACCTTTAATAACTACATCCTTTCCCATCTGAGTACACGGCATCACCATTCATCCAACCTTACCCTCCCCTAATCAGTCCACTTGGATAAGACTTTGAGGCCAGTATAGCAGCAATGTTACAACAACTCTTACCCTCACTACCAATTACCATGTCACATGGCTCCCATCCTGGCATTGCCTTATGACAATTAGGCAGAGGTAGCCATGGCTACTCTTGAATGAAAGAAATTTAGTTCAATATAATGTCATCACCTTGTTAACAAAAAAGCTTTTAGACTCACCTAACCCAAGAGGAGTAATTAATACTAAAACAGTTGGATGTAAAATTAGATCAATACTGGGGAGACTACTGTTCCACTAAGTTTCATTCACAGGACATTCTAGGCATTTAATTTGTATTATATTGGTTCCTTTTTATTTTTATTTTTTGGGGGGGAGATGGGTGGAGTCTCCCTCTGTTGCCCAGATTGGAGTGCAATGGCATAATCATGGCTCACTGTAATCTCTGCCTCCTGGGTTCAAGCAATTGTTGTGTGGCAGCCTCCTAGGTAGCTGGGATTACAGGTGTATCCCACCACATCCAACTAATTTGTATTTTTAATAGAGACCAGGTTTCACCATGTTGGCGAGGCTGGAAATTTGTATTATACTGGTTCTAAATGTATTTTCAAAAACAGAGATCATCATCTGATAAGACTTCCATCTTCATACACTGGAATAAAGATCAGTAAATTTTTTTCTGTAAAGGGCTAGACAGATAATAAGTTCTTCAGGTTTTGGGTTTTGTTTTTTTCTGAGACAGGGTCTTGCTGTTTCACCCAGGCTGGAGTGCAGTGGCATGATCAGCCTCAACCTCTGGGACTCAGACAATCCTCCGAAAGTGCTTGGATTGCAGTATGAGCCACCATACCCAGCCCAATACTTTAGGTTTTGAAGTTATATGTTCTCTGTGACCATCACTCAACTCTGCCACAGTTGTGTGAAAGCAGCTACAGACAACAGAATGTAAACAAATGAACATGGCTGTATACCAGTAAAACCTTATTTACAAAGATAGAGAGGACAGGCTGTAGATTGCCCACCACTGTACTAAGCTATCACAGACTAGGCTTTAACTTCAAAGTTTTAGAGCAGAACATGGTCCTATAGTAAGTTGAGGAAAACTATTAATTCCACAAACATTTACTACATATTTGCTATTACCCACCAATTGCTGGTGATAAAATAAAGTAAGAAACCCTGTCCTCAAAGAGTTTACCATCTTGTAGGCTAGGCAGTAACTGCAAAAAGTGTTATGAGTACTGTGGCATAAAATCTACAAAGTGTACGTGCAGGGTAAGGAGATTGAAGTGGTTAATTTAACTTGAGAGACAGAAAGAAGGAAATTTTCCACAGAGCATTTGATGCTTAAAGAGCAGACTAATGACGGGTACAGTGAGCAGGCAAGGGAAGGAAGATGGGGATGGTATATTCGACTCAGAGGCAGGAGGACGAAGAAAAAGCATAAATGTAAAACAACCTTTCACATCTTCAGAGATGTAAAAGCAGTTTGGCGTGATTAAAACTAGCAATGAGAACAGAAAAGCAAGGTTGAATATAAAAGGGGATAAACAGACTCAATATAACTTGGTATCAAAGAAAGTGTCAGAGGCTAAGGTCTAGGATGCCTCCTTGGTTTCTGATCTGAGTGACTTGGGTAGATGATAGTAACATTCATTTAAGAGGTAATTCAAGATTAAGAATAAATAAATAGGCTGAGCTTGGTGGCTCACGCCTGTAATCCCAGCACTTGGGGAGGCTGAGTCAGGTGGATTGCTTGAGCCCAGGAGTTTGAGACCAGCCTGGGCAACATAATGAAACTCTGTCTCTACTAAAAATACAAAAAATTTTTAGCTGGGTGTGGTGGCACATGCCTGTAGTCCCCAGCAACTTGAGAGGCTGAAATGGGAGGATCGCCTGAGTCTGGGAGGTAGAGGTTGCAGTCAGCAGAGAACAAGCCACTGCACTCCAGCCTGGGTGACAGAGTGAGACCCTGTCTATAAAAATAAGAGTACATAAATACAAGCAGAAATTCAATTTTCCTTTTAAAAAGCCTCTTTAGAAATCTAGTTTTAAATAGTTTTTTGGTGATTATCAAAGAAATGCACAATTAACATAGAAAATGAAATGTGAAAAAATATAAGAAAAACCAAAGGGAAAAAACTGTATAATCCTACTATTCAGAAAATGATTAAGATAAACATGTACAAATACTGGAGAATAAAGCTTAGAGTCTAAAATTAAATACAGACTCAACCTCCACTACGAAAGCTTTCTGGAGGAACTCTTGCTTACATGAGCCATATATACATTATATACTTCATGTTGCTCTTCAAGCAATCCTTGTTCAACTACAGGAGGCTGAAGCCTGGTCTGTCTGCTGTCAAGTTTTGCCCTCATGCTCTTCTTTCTTAAAATCAGTTTGGGCTGGATGTGGTGGCTCATGCCTGTAATCCCAGCACTTTGGGAGGCCGGGGCAGGCAGATCACTTGAGGTCAGGAGTTTTTGAGACCAGCCTGGCCAACATGGCGAAACCCCATCTCTACTAAGAATGCAAAAAAATTAGCTGGGCGTGGTGGCGGGCACCTGTAGTCCCAGCTACTCAGGAGGCTGAAGCAGGAGAATCACTTGAACCCAGGAGGCAGAGGTTGCAGTGAGCTGGGATCGCACTACTACACTCTAGCCTGGGTGACAGAGCTCCATCTCAAAAAAAAAAAAAAAAAAAAATCAGTCTGGTGTAGTTTCTGCTTGCTGTGCCCTCACAACTCATGTTCTTACACTGAAAAGATCACCTTAATTTTGGACAAACATTCTAAGCATAACTTTTAATTCTTGCTCTTTGTCCAGCCTCTAAACTGGTAAGATTAAATAAACACTGCAAATTCCCCACCACCTCATCCCTGCTTCTTCTGTTTATTAACAGAAAGGCACAAATTATGAAATAATTTGCTAAAATCAGAATATCTTACACAACTTACTTTGAGAGAAACCAAATTTATTTGATAAGTATTTTTAAATGAATATTAAAACTTACTTAATTCTGAGCAAAACATGAAAGTAGTCTAATGATGAATGGGATCAAGTCTGCCATTTATAATTTTTTTTTAACAACTGGTAATCAATTTATTAAAATAGTTGACTTAAGCATCTGCAATGGTGACTTTCACCTCAACTCCCGGCTCAAACTGATGGAAGCAATCTGCTTAACAATCTCAGAAGGACTGTGCAAGTCAATGAGTCGCTTGTGGATTCTCATCTGGAAAGGATCCCACGTCTTAGAACCTTCACCACAAGGACTTTTTCTGTAGTGATTCTCAAAGTCTTGGTAGGTATTCGAACTGGTCCTTTCACTTGGAGATTCTTTGCCTCTGCTCCTCTGATGAAGTCAGCACACACCTTTTCCAGGGATTTTATGTTGCGGCTCGTTAGAGTGATTCAATTTCGGTGAACTGCCACCTCCAGCTCCACGCGTGTTTTTCCGGTAACCTTCAAAGCCATAGCTGCTGCACGGCTTCCTGACCGACTTGTTCCTCGGCGAGAGCGAACAGTAGTGAGTAAGGAGCAGGAGCCTGCGGATCACAGAGCCGCAGCACCTACCACCGCGACTTCCTCAAAGAGCGGCCATTTATAATTTGTAAAAGGACACACACACACACACACACACACACACACACACACAGAGATAATGGAGAATTAATACAATTTAACACATCCCTAAACTCAGGATAAAAATAAGAAGTGGCTGGGCACAGTGGCTCATGCCTGCAATCCCAGCACTTTGAGAGGTGGAGGTGGCTGGATCACCTGAAGCCAGGAGTTCAAGACCAGCCTGACCAACATGGCAAAACCTGTCCCTACTAAACACATAAAAATGAGCCAGGCATGGTGGTGCATGCCTGTAATCCCAGTTACTTGGGAGCGTGAGGCAGGAGAATCACTTGAACCCAGGAGGCAGAGGTTGTAGTGAACCAGGATCGCGCCACTGCACTCCAGCCTGGGCCACAGAGCGAGACTGTCTCAAAAAAAAAAAAAGTTTTGGCCACAAGTGGTGACTCATGCCTGTAACCCCAGCACTTTGGGAGGCCGAGGTGGGAGTATCACCTGAGTCCAGGAGTTCAAGACCAGCCTGGACAATACAGCAAGACCTCATTCTCTACCAAAAAAATTTTTAAAAATTAGCTGGGCATGGTGGCATGTGCCTGTAGTTCCAACTACTCGGGAGGTTGGGGCAGGAGGATTTCTTGAGCCCAGGAATTCAAGGCCCTAACTCTGGGGGGGAAAAAAAAGGACAGAGTCTCGCTCTGTCACCCAGGCTGGAGTGCAGTGGCACCATCTTGGCTCACTGCAACCTCTGCCTCCCAGGTTCAAGCGATTCTCCTGCCTCGGTCTCCCGAGTAGCTGGGATTACAGGCGCCTGACACCAGGTCTGACTAATTTTTGTATTTTTAGTACAGATGGGGTTTCACCATGTTCGCCAGGCTGGTCTCAAACTCCTGACCTCAGGTGATCCGCCGCCTGGGCCTCCCTAAGTGCTGGGATTACAGGCATGAGCCACCGTGCCCAGCCGAAAAAATACATTTTTATAAAGTAGGCATTCACCTCAGAAATCCTTTGATAATGTTTGAAGCAATACCAGTTTAATACTGTTTAAGTCAGTTTCCTCTATTATTGTGGTTCAATTGTTTAGTGACTTGGAAACCCCCAAAATATGGTTTTTTTTTAATTTCAGTGCCTCCTTTCTTCCTAACACACTGGTGCAAACCTCATACAGAGCACACTGGAGCTAGCAGGCACTGCACTTTATGGCATACAAGTGAAAGAAAGCGTAAAATGGAAGAAGCAGCCCCTTCAAATGGCTAAAGGTGGTGTGACTTCAGACATGAGGATCAGGAAATGGAAGTAAAGGGGAAGTGGAAGAGTAAGGAGAGAATGCCTGCTGTTCTCTCTAGTTTAGGCATCAATTTGCCTGGAGGCACTGCTTGTGCCCAACAGTACAAGAGCGAGCAAAAATGTTTAAAAGTTAGCTAATGCAAACCTAACGTACAGATATGACCATATAAAGCTAAACAAATTAAAAATCAAAGCCTGCTAGAACATATGTAATTACAAAGTGTACATTATAATTGCCCATATAATTAAATGTTTTTAAAAGAAAATAGAAAATACCCTAATACCTTTTGTGGGATCTACTCTACAATAAAAACAGAAAACAAACAAAAAAAGCCAAGCATAATATATTAAGACTATACCCATCAGGTAGAGTAAAATTTTATTAAATCTAACAACACACATAACTGTCTTCCTTGAATACATGATTCAGTTTAACATGTACTTTAGGCCTGAATTATTCTTTTTCATATTGCATGTGGTCATACATCTCACCATAAAATTGTTAGATAATTTTAGTTTACAACTGTAGACTAGAATGCACGGACTATTGCTCCACTTGATAAAATCTCAGAGAAAAAAAACTAAGTCTTTGAATGATGTCATTAGTTTCAAGCTCAGTTTAGCTATTTCTTACTAGATTAGAAATTTCTTTTAAAAGGCTCATGTTTAATGTTTTTTTAAAAAAATAATCCCCACAATATTTACTGTAGCTACATCTGTACATAGCAGATGCTCAATATATATATTAAGTGAATAACCTCACTAATAAATGCTTGCTTACCTTCTTACCGGTGAGGTCTGTTTAAGAACTTAACAAAACATCTAAATTTAAGGCAAACTTCTTAATCATTAAAAGACTAAAAAGTAAGCCAGTTTGCATTAACAGGCTCATGTTAGCCAGACAAGTCCCTCTGTCTCCATTACCTCCTAGTTCCTAGGACAATGACAACAACCTCCCTCCAAACCTCCGTAACTTTACTCTATGACATATCGAAAATGGTGGAGATGAAATCTGTTTCTCTCTTTTCATCTAATAAGTGCCCTAAAGAATATTTGCTTTTTCAAAGGCAGAAGAGACACAACTAAAAAGTTTCAACCTAACCAGGCTCTGGCCCCAGCAATACTACTATTAATGTATGTATGCCCTACCAGTGTCTACCACTGTAGACTCATGCAACCTCTAGTACATGCACCTGGTAAAATCTTTTGTTTAAATCAACACATGTGGCCCCAGTTACAGTAATCACCTTTCCACTTTATCAAATGCACCTAAAAATATATTGTTACACACAGATCAGTTACAGTACCAGTAAGAGAGACCATAGTAAGTTATAGTTACAATTCCAGTTAAAAAGGCATTTTTTTAACTTTGATATTTTCACTTCGAGTTAAAATTCAAATCATTAAATGCAAAAATGAAACAAAAAACTAATGGCTCAACTTACTTAATATCATACAACTAATTCAGCCAACCATAGTATAAACTATGAGAATCCTAACACATTATCTGTATTTACCTTAATAAATTTATTAGATATATGTAACATCTCAACCAATATCCAGACTGTTTTTAAAGAATACAGTAGTATAGTTTCCTCTTGAAAAGAAATATTCTCTGCAGGAGAGGAAAGATACTTAGGAGCCTTGGGTGTCAGGGATCTCACAAAGTCAACGTCAACTTTATCCATAACCACCATCATCTACCTCCAGTTAGGAGAAACCTGGGGAAGTCCACACAAAGCACAGAATTGGGAGGACTAAAGTAGACTGCAGGGAGAGGAGGATAAAACACCACCTTCATTTGGCACATCCTTTTATAACTAGTATCAACTATAAATCTAAATTTTTTGTTGACAATTTCAGCATATATGTGGGCTTTTCAAATAAGAATTTGACTAACACCAACAGTTAGCTGTATACACTTGAAATCTCTCTCTGTAGCTTGATTTTCCTCCTGAAAAATAAAGGCAATGACACAATAGTCCCTTCTTTCTTGCCCCGAAATTCAATGATAGTTTCTAGAGCAAAGGTTCTCAAACATTCTAGCTTCACGGCACCCTCAGTATCTCAGTAATTTTCTCACAGCAGCCCTAGGCCAGAAATAATAACACTTCCACTTATTAAGTAGTCAGTAGCCATGTGAAAAAATAACCTAGCTAAATTTCAACAAATAATGTTTTTACTTCATTCTTAACCATAATTACTTGTGAAATGTGTATTACTGTTGGGCACTGCACAACTTTTCAAACCTTGGAATCAGAGTGGACCCTGCTATCCTCTTTCCTGCTGCATACTGACTTTTTTGTGAATTTTACCACAGCAACCGCTAAAAAACCAGCTTCACAAAGACATATCATCTATAGAAATGTGGCACAACCTTGAAACCATGAAGTATGTCAAGGCAGTAGCTCACCTGGCAACCAGCAAATTTCGGCTACCACTGTATCCTACTTGAAAATTTAAACTATCAGATGGAGTTGGCAACAATGCTCTAGGGTGCCTTGGTGCAGTTTGGAAACCATGATACTATGGCAAGGTATATAATTTTGTGGCTTTGGACTCAGACTTGGGTTGGAAATCATATTCTACCATTAACTATAGACTCTTAAGCACCTTAATCTATTGAGCCTTAGTTTCTATGCCTGCCAAATAGGAATAATACTATCAACTTCAGAGAACAGTTGCAAGGAACTAAATCCATGTCTTTTAACTCTTGTACACTACAACTCTTTCCCAAAAAGACTCAGTTCAAATCTTGTTGGCTGAGCCACTATCATTTTATCAGCTATTTGAAACAGGCTGAAAGTTTGTAATAGCTGATAAAACGACAGAGGTTCACCCAACAAGCCAACTTTGATGATGATATCATGGTTCATCATCAAAGTTCTGAAAATCGTTTCCCTGCACAGTAACAGCATTTCACCTGCAGAGACTTCTCATTTGCCAAGTGTTCTGAACTGTGTAACATTAATTAATAATTATTCTAAGATCACCTTATGATAGGATCTATTATTATCAGTCCCCTTAGCAACTCTATACCAACGGTAATGCAGTGGCTGAAATAAATGATCCTTCTTAGCCCAGGTTACCTGTCATTTTTACTTACTTAGTGAACCACTATTCAATTCAACTGACTCTAATATTGTATTCCTGTGATATTAATATAAACTAAATGCACTGGTCAAAATACCTAAAATAAATGTAGATTCAAGCAATCTCATATACTACCCAAAATACCACGCCATCCCAGAAAACCTATGCATTTCAACTTGGTCCAAAGAAATTACCAAAACAATTTACTAGCCATCCTTTCCCCAAATGCCCACAGTTCGTTCTCTGAGAGATACATTACTATCACTTCCCAAGGCATCCTAAAAGCAACTTACTAAGGCATCCTACTTCACAATGACTACCTTCTTAAAAATTAAAAAACGGGCCAGGCTTGGTGGCTCACGCCTGTAAAGCACTTTGGGAGGCCAAGGTGTGTGGATCACGAGGTCAGGAGTTCGAGATCAGCCTGGCAAACATGGTGAAACCCCGTCTCTACTAAAAATACAAAAATTAGCCGGGCTCGGTGGTGCACACCTGTAATCCCAGCTACTCGGGAGGCTGGGGCAGGAGAATCGCTTGAACCTGGGAGGCGGAGGTAGCAGTGAGCCCAGATCCTGCCACTGCATTCCTGCCTGGGCAACAGAGTGAGACTCCGTCTCAAAAAACAAATAAAAATAAAAAATATAAAAAAGAATGTAAATACAATTTGATAATGAAATTACTACAATGGGAGCTTAATTTTTAAACAAATTCTGTGAGAAGCCTTTATATAATGTAATTAGTCACCCTCCTATTTTGTACTATTTTTTAAATTAGCCTTTTGTAAGCCAGTTTGTTACAGGTAGAGGGAATGTGGACAGGTAAGAACAGATTACTAGGCTTATATTATAACTGCTGTATTAATTTGAGTCTTCGGTAGCCATAACATCATACAGATTCTTTATAGGTAATATTCTGAAGAACTTCATACTTGGCGCTTCCTAGCAATGCAAATAAATTCAGTTAACAGAAACTTCTTCATTTACATAGAGAATAGAAGAGCGACCCTGCTTTCTTGGAAAGGAAACAGCTATCTGTCTTGTACAATAACCAATCCACTTTGGCCAGCTAATATGGACAAAAAAAGAGACCTATTTGGAAAACGTTTCTTCTCCAGCCAAGGGCTGTTTCCAGATAAAGGCAATGCTCAGAGTATAACAAAAAAGCCTTCTCTGAGGAAAGAAAAGTGCCAGAAAAGGAGAGGCAGGGATCGGGAATAAATGGGGGTGAGTATAAGCACTCAGTGTGAAGGCTGGAGGCAGCAGGCGCAGCGCTGAGATGCTCCAGCAAAAGAACCAGCAGCAGCAGCAGGAAGTTTCAATGGGGCCGGGCAGAGCATGCGCCCTGCACCCGCGCGGTGGCCTTATGTGGAAGGAGCACCACTTGCGAACACCAATAATAGACCAGCGGCACCAGAGAGAGAAACATGAGCAACAAGCACCTTCTTCAACTGTTTCCCCCTCCGTCAGAGCCCCTCCTCCAGCTTACATACTAACCACCCCACCCTACCGTGCAAATGGGAGGGAGACGACTTCTTCGCCTAAGCCCGGCTGCCAAGATGAAGGGGGAAGGGATTGGAAAAGTGGGGAGATGCTCGCCTATTATTTTGGGGGAGGTGGGGAGAGGAAGGAGAACTATGGAGGAGGAATTAACCCTCTCCTCTCCACAGTGGAGCTGAACCGACTTCGCCCCCCTACCGAGAATGGAGAAGAACCCCCTCCCGTGGGGGAGGAGCAGACCTCCCCACTTCAAGGAAGGAGTTTTAGGGGTTAAAGCAGCCCTCGAGGGGAAGGGAAAAGGGACAAATCTCTCAGGGGAGTTCCCAACAGAGGGAGGGAGAGTTGAGTGTCCGCTGGCCCCCGCCCACCCAGGTGAAGGGAGATAAGGAGGTGTCCGGAGCAGCCGAGCCCAGCCTTCCCCGAGATGGTCGGGAAGACTGGTGGGAGGAGGGGAGGGAGTAAGGGTGGGGAGGAGGAGAAAAGCGCAAAGCTGGCCGGAACCTGCGCTCCCCTTCCCCCGCCGCCAAGGGGGAGACGGGGTGGGGGGCCGCCCTCCGCCGCGGAGAAGCAGTCCCCGGGGCTGCCGACCGGCACAATGACCCCTCCCCGCCTCCAGCCCACACCTAGCCCGCAACGCCTCCACCTCAGCTCCCCGCCCGGCCGAGTGGCCCTAGGGGGCCTCCGCCCCGCCTCCCCACTGCCCAAGACCCCGGGGGCTGGGCGGAGAAGACCAGCCCGGCGGAGTTGCGTCCCAGGGGGAAGACAGAGCCGCGGAGGCCCGAGCCGCGAAGAACCGGGGCGCCTGTGAAGAGCGGAGAGTAGCAGAGCGCCAGGGCCGCTTCCCGCCGGGCGTTCGGGCCCCTCGCTTACCTTCTCCGTTGCCGACGTCCGGCGGCGGCGCCTGCAGCACCCGCTCCAGCTCAGGGAACGGCAACTCAGGCAGGTCTAGCAGCGGCCCGTAGCGCTCCAAGAAGGAGCAGACTACGGCGAAGTTGGGGCACGAACCCGGGCAGCCCGGAGGAGCCATCACCGCCGCCGCTGCCGCCGCCGTCGCCATTTTGAACTGGAGGATGGAGGAGGAGGCGATGGGGGGGCGGGGGAAGTTGTGGTGCCGAGGGATGGCAAGGCAACCTTACAGACGACAGGAGGCGCTCTCAAGTGGGCTCCTCTGCGGATCCCAGCGTCTCAGGGACGGCTCCGCGATCCCACAATACATCGGCGGCCCGGAGCAGTCGAGAACCGAGTCAGACGGGAGACAGAGCGGCCCTCGGCGCCTTTCACTTTCCGCCCTCTTTCCGCCCCCTTCTCTCCTCCCCTTCGGGCTTGCCACTGCCTCGTGTGACAGGGGGAATGAAAACAAGGGAAGCGGGGCGGGGAGGCGGGCTGGAAGCGGGAGGGGCGGGACTTCTCGAGAACAATGGCCAATGGACGCAGAGGGGGCGGGGCCTCGGGCGCTGTTCAACTGCAGGGCGTATTCCCGGAGGGCAGTTGGGGAGCGCAGATCCCGAAGCAGCGCTGGGAGCGTAAGTGCGGGCAGAGCACTGCGCCGTTTGGGAACGCAACTTTGAGGAGACAGTGCGGTGGGTGAGTTTGCGGGGGAATCCTGAAACTGGGCCACGAGATGGTGGAGAGGTTGAGGAGAATTAATAAACAGAAAAAGGGAATAGGGCGGGGGAAAGCACAGTTGTGGGAGAAGGTTGGGAAGGGGAAAGGTAGAGGTGTGCCCTTAATTAGGGGCTGGGCTGGGACCTCGGTAAGATGTCTCTGTGGAAGTTTGCCGACGGGGTATTGCTCTCTGCTGGGGTACAGGAATCGCAGCTTTGCTGGAAAAGCAGGATCTGAGGGAACGGAACTCTGGGGGAATCGTCGGAGTGAGGAGTTGGGGCCCTGCTGGGAGAAGAGGATCTGAGGAGACCAGGCTCTGCTAGGGGGCCATGGTGTGAGGGGAAGGGGCTCTGTTCAGGGACCAGAATCGGAGTGTGGGCTGGGACTCCATTGAGAGGCGGAACATGACAGGAGACGGTGGAGCAGCGAAAAGTTTGTTAGAAGACAGGGTTCCACTTCGGGGCGGGGCGGGGGCAGTGAACATTCCCACAAAGAACGCCAGAGAGAAACTACCAATAATGTAAAATAGAATGTGCAGCCTGAGAAGCAGCAGTACACGTTATGCTTAGAAGCCTGAGCTTTGGATTCAGCCAGGCCTGAGTCCTAGCGGGGCTACTTCATGACACTGTGGAGGTTTCTTTATTTCTTTGAACTCCTTAGAGTGGGGTGATAATAGTACCTACATCATACGGTATTACTAGATAAATCACAGTAAAGTGATTAGCACAGTGCCGTAGCACATAGTGAGTACTTTAAAAATATTAGTTATCAAAAAAGGAGTTCCTATAATTTAGACTGAATTCCGCTATATTTATTTAGTCTATAATTTATTACTTTGAGAATTTTCTGAGTGCATTTAAAACTCAATGTAGTACCTAATTCCTAAAAAGAATTTGGCCGGGCGCGGTGGCTCATGCCTGTAATCCCAACACTTTGGGAAACCGAGGTGGGTGCATCACCTGAGCTCTGCAGTTCCAGACCAGCCTGGGCAACATGGTGAAACCCCGTCTCTAGTAAAAATAACGAAAATTAGCCGGGAATCCTTGGGAGGCTGATGCAGGAGAACCCCTTGAACCGGGGAGGCGAAGGTTGCAGTGAGTCGAGGTCGCGCCACTGCACTCCAGCCTGAGCGACAGAGCAAGACTCCACCTCAAAAAAAAAAAAAAAAAAAAAGAATTTGAAGCAAGGTACAACACAAACCATGTAAAAAAGAGAAATCTGTAATTATAGAAAGATAAGAAATAGATGGGCAAATAATTATATGAGTAACAGGGAAAATGGTCACACAAACACCGAATTTTTTTCTTCATTTCCAGGTTTTAAAAAGGGGAAAAACCATAAGGGTGTGTATTATTCCCATTATCTAAAGAAAGAATACTCAATTTATCAAGAGAAAAATTCTATATTGTAAGAAGAATTTATTGCCTTGAATAGTGATTCATAGTCTTGAGTGGTATACAAACCGTTTTTAAAGGAAAAAAGTTCTTTTGAAACTTGGCAAATACTTTTGAAAATTTCACTGTAAGAAATACTGATGTAAGAAATCAAAGTCTAAAGAACACTGTAAATGTACTTAATGCCACTGAAGTATACACTTAAAGTGGTTAAAATGGCATATTTTATGTTACATGTATTTTACGACAATAAAAAAGCTTTTAAGAAATTAAAATCCGCCGGGCGCTGTGGCTCACGCCTGTAATCCCAGCACTTTGGGAGGTCGAGACGGGCGGGTCACGAGGTCAGGAGATCAAGACCATCCTGGCTAACGCGGTGAAACCCGTCTCTACTAAAAATACAAAAAATTAGCCGGGCGTGGTGGCGGCGGGCCCCTGTAGACAGCTACTCGGGAGGCTGAGGCAGGAGAATGGCATGGACCCGGGAGGCGGAGCTTGCAGTGAGCCAAGGTTGTGCCACTGCACTCCAGCCTGGGCGACAGAGCAAGACTCCGTCTCAAAAAAAAAAAAAAAAAAAAGAAATTAAAATCCTACTTCAGGAAAATATCTTTATGGTTATGAATTATCACTGCCAAAGAAGTTTTAATTTAATAAGTCGGAAAATATTGTTTTTAAGCAATTACTGAAATGAAACACAAAACTAAACTAAAACATTTTTATAGAATTCCCAAACGGGCAAGTGTATATCTCTTGACCCTGGGGACCTGAAGACTCCAGTTTAAAAATAATCTGGGCGAGGTGGGGTGGCTCATGCCTGTAATCCAAGCACTCTGGGAGGCCGAGCAGGAGGACCCCTTGAGCCAAGGAGTTCGAGACCAGCCTGGGCAAGGTAGTGAGACCTCATCTGTAATCCCATGTAGTTGCCACTGCACTCCAGCCTGGGCGACAGAACTACACCCTGTCTCAAAAAAAAAAAAAAAAAAAAAGAATAATTTGACCCAGAATACAGTTTTAACAACAGTTTTGTGGAAACATACAAAGACTTTCATATACTGGTTACTTAACTGACCTTAAATAAAAGCCAGGTACAGGATATTTTAAAATAAAATTGTATCTTTGTGAAGGAATTTCTATGGAAAGAACCTTCAAACCTAAAAGGAAGATTTATTATGTGAACCTTGCCTGTACTTTCTATCTTTGCTTCTAGCTTTTGCAGCACTTCACTTCCCACATTCCAGTGAGGTTGTGAAATAACATTCTAAAAAAAAAAAAAAGCTTTATTACTATAGTTTTCTTTTCTCACTGCTCACACTGTTAGTCAAACAGACTGATAAATAAAGGTTAGAGTTTCTGCCTTTTCTAATCTAGATCGGCAGGGAAACAGAGTCCTTTGGCATCAGAAAGTTATATCCACCCAAAGATAAGAAGTGTTTTGCTACAAAGCAAGGTTTAAGCATGCCTTCCTTCACTAAAGTCTGTTCTTGAAAATAAATGACACACACCCATAATGCTATCATCACTTCTTGCTTTCCTGGGCTAAGAGAAATTGTGGAATACAGAGCTTAACGACAATTTATGTAGTTATATAAGTGAGTTATATTTATCAGACTGGAATGTAAAGGTGCAAAAAAGAGTAGCTATTTTTAAAACCTGTATTTGATTTATTGCTACTGCCATGAAGAGGCCTTTAAATAAGCATTAAGTTACACTTGGTTCAACTTTGTTTATGAATAAGAAATTTCTTAAGATATTTCAAATTTCATGTCCTATTAGGGGGAAATATTTTGCTCAATTAGAATTAACGGCTAATTTATTAAAAATACCAAAAAGTCAAAAACAACACAAATATTCATCAACAGAAAAATATAAATTGTGATATACTACTCAGAGTAATACACACTGTTGATATACACTACAGCCTGGGTGAATCTTAAAAACATGTTGAGTAAAAGAAGGCAGACACAAAAGAGTTAGGTACTGTACAATTCCATCAATATGAAGGTCAAAACTAATCTGTGGCAATAGAAATCAAAGTAGTTGTTTCCTTTGAGCTTGGAAGGGTATTGACTAGAAAGGGGCACAAGGGGACTTTGTAGATAGTTTCTATATCTTGATTGGCAAGTTTATTTCTCAAAATTCATTGAACTCTATAAACACTGCATTCAACTAAATGCAATGCAATTATGCTTCAATTTTAGAAGTTAATGGTTTATTCCTATATAATCCCAATTAGCATTGGTACCAGTCTGCCTTTTATACAAATTTATACACATTTCTGTCTCCTTCATATGTTATCTTTGCATTTGTTACATAGTTTTTTTGTTGTTGTTGTTTTTCTTTTTGAGACAGAGTCTCACTCTATCACCCAGGCTAGAGTGCAGTGACGCGATCTCAGCTCACTGCATGCTCCGACTCCTGGTTTCACGCCATTCTATTGCCTCAGCCTCCCGAGTAGCTGGGGCTACAGGCGTCTGCCACCATGCCCGGCTAATTTTTTTTGTATTTTTGGTAGAGACGGGGTTTCACCATGTTAGCCAGGATGGTCTCGATCTCCTGACCTTGTGATCTGCTCACCTCAGCCTCCCAAAGTGCTGGGATTACAGGCATGAGCCACCAGGCCTGGCTGCTTTTTTTTTAATGGATATTATAAGCTCAGTAAATGTATATTGAGGCAAACTGAATTCCATTTTAGAGCCAATTTGGGGAATTCCTAATCAAGGATGAGCAAATTAGGTTTATCTAAAACTCACTTTAAAAAAGCTAAAACAAGCTGCGCACGGTGGTTCAAAAAAGCTGAAGGTATATGGACTTAATATTACATGTAGTGAAAAAGCTATTAAGTGTCAACAGAAATAGGAATCTCTACTCTTTGAGATAGTTTAATAAGAAGATGTATGAAAATAAAAGGAAGCCCTAATACAAACAAGATGTAAACCAACCATTTTCTGGATATTTGTCTTGATAACTGAATTCTGTGTTACAACAGAATTCTATTCATTGAAGAAGACACCTTTAGAAGTGTCTTACTACCCATTTTTTTTGTTTTTTTTTTTTTGAGTCAGTCTCACTCTGTCGCCCTGGCTGGAGTGCAGTGGCACGATCTAGGCTCACTGCAACCTCTGCCTCCTAAGTTCAAGTGATTCTCCTGCCTCAGCCTCCCAAGTAGCTGGGATTACAGGCAAGTGCCACTACATCCGGCTAATTTTTGTATTTTTTGTAGAGATGGGGTTTCACTACGTTGGCCAGGCTGGTCTCAAACTCCTGACCTCAGATGATCTGCTCACCTCGGCCTCCCAAAGTGCTGGGATTACAAGCGTGAGCCACCGTCTTACTACCCATCTTTTTTTGAGACTTATGCATGAGTCTATTCTCTGACAAGCCTGGCTAAGATTGGTTTCTCCGATGGAGTAAAGATTTTTACTGAAAAGAAAAATGAGCGGGTAGCCAGAAGCAGTGGCTCATGCCTATAATCTCAGCACTCTGAGAGGCCGAGGTGGGAGTTCAAGACCAGCCTGGTCAACATGGTGAAACTTCGTCTCTACTAAAAATGCAAAAATTAGGTGGGCATGGTGGTGCATGCCTGTAGTCCCAGCTACTCGGGAGGCTGAGGCAGGAGAATCACTTGAACCCAGGAGGCAGAGGTTGCAGTGAGCCAAGATCACACCATTGCACTCTGGCCTGGGTGACAGAGTGAGACATCATCTCAAAAAAAAAAAGATGGGGGACAGCCTGTATTATTATGTTTTATGTCTTTTAGCTATGTGTCTGTGTTTTAAATTTTTATTATTAAATAATTCAGAACAGGGATAATCATCGGCAGTTTGACATCCTATACAGCAAGGCCTGATATTCACTTGTATGAACCAGAAAGGCTGTACTGACTGTTAAACTGTTAAGATACTGTATTTACATGCCAGTTGCAGCATAGTCGCTACCCTGAGCCTCCCAAGTACACTCCTGCTACACTGGCTAGCCAGTCTGTCTCCAACAACACCCAGCAACCGAACCTTTGAAACAGACACACCAGACCCTATAACTGTATGCCTGCAAATCAGATAATCTCAATGAAATGAACACATTTCTAGAATAACATGAACTATGGAAACTCACTCAAGAACAACTAGAAAATCTGAATGAACCCATAATAAGTAAAAATACTGAATTGGAGCTGGGTGCAATGGCTCATGCCTGTAATCCCAGCACTTTGAGAGGCCGAGGTGGGCAGAACACCTGAGGTCAGAAGTTCGAGACCAGCCTGGCCAACATAGTGAAACACCATCTCTACTAAAAATACAAAAATTAGCCGGGTGTGGTGGCACACACCCGTCGTCCCTGCTACGCAGGAGGCTGAGGCAGGAGAATCACTTGAACCCAGGAGGCAGAGGTTGCAGTGAGCTGAGATGGGGCCACTGCACTTCAGCCTGGGTGACAGAGCGAAACTCGTCTCAAAAAAAAAAAAAATCGAATTGGGAATTTGAAATTTGCCCCTGGCCCCGCCCCCCTCAGAAAAGAAAAAAAGCTCAGATTCAGATGGCTTCATGGTCAGTTCTACCAAAAGTTGAAATAGGAATCAATACCAATGCTTCACAAATTCATACCAAAAACTAGAAGAGAGGGAACACTTCCCAACTTATTCTGTGAGGACAGATTTTCCTTAGTAGCAAGATAGAGAAAAATATCACAAGGAAAGCCCAATACCTCATGTGAATCTAGCAAACACAGCAATCCTCAATTAAATACTAGCAAACCAGTTCCAACCACATATAAAAAGGATTATACACCATAAACAAGTGGGATTCATCCCAACTATGCAATATTGGCTTAAAATCTAAAAATCAATATATTGTAATATATTTACAGAATAAAAGAAACAACATAGTCATCTCAATAGATGCAGAAAACTCATTTGACAAAATTCAATATTCTTTCATGTTAAAAATAATAAACTAGGAAGAGAAGGGAACTTTTTCAGCCTGATTAAGAGCATTATGAAAAACCCATGCCTAATATATGGAATGCTGAAAACTAATTCCTCCCTCCTAAGGTCAGGAACAAGACAAGGATGTTTGCTATATCCACTTACATTTAATATTATACTGGAGGTTGTAGCCAGTGCAATGTGTCAAGAAAAAAATAAAAGGCATCCAGATTGGCATGGAAGAAGTAAAACAAGCTCTATCTTAAATTACTGATCTTGTATGTAGGAAATCCTAAAGAATCCACAAATAAAGCTATTAGAACAAATAGGCAAGCACATTTGCAGGATACAAGATAAATACTCAAAAATCCTGTGTTATTCTGTACATTAGCAATGAACAATCCAAAAATGAAATCAGACCAGGCACAGTGGCTCCTGCCTGTAATCCCAGCACTTTGGGAGGCGAGGTAGGTGGATCACTTGAGGCCAGGAGTTCAATACCAGCCTGGCCAACATGGTGAAACTCCATCTCTACTAAAAAATACAAAAAACTAGCTGGGCATGGTGATGCGCACCTGTAATCCCAGCTACTAGGGAGGCTGAGGCAGGAGAATCACTTGAACTTGGGAGGCAGAGGTTGCAGTGAGCCAAAATTGCACCACTGCACTCCAGCCTGGGTGACAGAGCGCAACTCTGTCTCAAAAAAACAAAATACACAAACAGCAAAAAAATGATATCAATAACTCCATTTACAATAGAATCAGAAAATATTTAGAGATTTCTTAAAAAGAAATACAAGAATGAAAATTATAGCCGGGTGCGGTGGCTCACACCTGTAATCCCAGTACTTTGGGAGGCCGAGGCAGATGGATCACAAGGTCAGGAGATCGAGACCATCCTGGCTAACATGGTGAAACCCCATCTCTACTAAAAATACAAAAACAAAATTAGCCGGGTGGGGTAGTGGGCGCCTGTAGTCCCAGCTACTCGGGAGGCTGCGGCGGAAGAATGGCGTGAACCCGGGAGGTGGAGCTTGCAGTGAGCCAAGATCGCACCACTGCACTGCGCCTGGGCAACAGAGTGAGACTCCATCTCGAAAAAAAAAAAAAAAAGAAAGAAAATTATAAAACATTGTTCAAGGAAATTTTAAAAGACGTACATGGGAAGAAAACACATATTCATGGATTGGAAGATTTAATATTGATAAGATGCCAATACCTTTAAGTTGAAGTACAGATTCCACAGATTCACTCTCCATCAAAATTCCAGCTGGCTTCTTTGCAGAAATTGACAAGTTGATCCTAATACTAATATGGAAATTCAGAGAACCCAGAATATCCAAAACAGTTTTTCAGATGATGAACAAAGTTGAAGGACTCACACTTCCTGGCTTCCAAAGTTACTACACAGCTACGGTAATCAAGATTGTGTGTAGTAATGGCATATGACAGACTGTGTCTCCCCCAGATTCATATGTTGAAGCCCTAACCCCTAATGTGACTGTATTTAGAGATAATGCCTATAGGAAGGAGTTAACTAAAGTTAAACAATGTCATGAGGGTGGGGCCCTAATGTGATAGAACTGGTAATTTTATAAGAACAGAAATAGAGAGAGAGCTCTTTCTCTTCACATGCATATGCCAAGGAGAGGCCATGTGAAGACACAGAGAGATGGCAGACATCTCCAACCCAAGGAGAAAGCCCTCACGAGATACCAGTCAGGCCAGCACCTTATCTTGGATATGCCAGCTCCAGAACTGTGAAAAATAAATTTTTGTTGTTTAAGTTACCAATTTATGGTATTTTTTATAGTAGTCAGGCTGAATAACAAATAGCCATTTGGGTCAATGGAACAGAATGGAGACTCACATATAAACCTATACATCTAGAGTAAATTGATTTAAAATAAACATACCAAGACCATCTAATGGGGAAAGAATAGTTTTTGCAACAAATGATGCTGAGAAAACTGGAGATCCACATAGAAAAGAATGAAGTTGAACCCCTAATTCATTCCATATAAATAATTCAGAATGTTTCAGACGACTACATTTGTGAGACCTGAAACTAAAACTCTTAGAAGAAAACAAGGGTAAATCTTTAAGACCTTGGATATGGCAATGGATTCTTAGAAATAACACCAAATCCACAAGCAACAAAAGGAAAAATAAATTAATAGACCTCATCAAAATTAAAAACTTGTGTGCTTTACAAAAACATGTATCAAAAAGTCAAGACCATCAGTTCAAATGTGGGGCTTAAGAAAGAAAATCAAGTCTGGGCACAGTTGTTCATGCTTGTAATCCCAGCACTTTTGGAGACCAAGGCCGGAGGATCACTTGAGGCCAGGAATTTGAGACCATCCTGGGAAACATAGTGAGACCCCATCTCTACAAAATTCTTTTTTATAGCCAGACATGGTGATGCACACCTGTAGTCCTAGCTGCTCAGGAGCCTGAGGTGGGAAAATCACTTGAGCCCAGGATTTTGAGGCTGTGGTAAGCTGATTGTGCCATTGCACTCCAGCTTAGGCAACAGAGCAAGACCCTGTACCTAAAAGAAGAAAAGAAAAGAAAGTCAAAAGACAACCTACAAAATAGGAAAAAATACATCCAGTAAGAGATTCATCTAGAATATGTTAAAAACATGTTGGGAGCTCAAAAGGCCAAAGGGATCATGACCAACTAAGCATTCCGCTGGAGGCTATATGATCAAACAGCAAACTGTTTATCATGAATGCAGAATGTGGGCAAACTGATACTGCCCTGCCACCAAAAGGTTTGCTGAGGGCCTCACTCCCTGGCAGTGGGCTCCTTAAAGTTATCTATTGAGAAATCTAGCGCCTATTGTTTGAAGAATGCAGTCTTACAAACCTGCCGTGAATCAAACTGCTGACGACACCCACCCCCCACCCACCTCCACTTCTTGCTATCTCTTTTGCCTAATAAATATGGAGGGCTGTGTAAAGCTCAGGGCCCTTGTCCACTAGAGGCAAGGTGCCCCCGACCCCTTCTTCCAAATATACTCTTTTGTCTCTTGTCTTTTATTCCCGCGTTTGCCCCCCTTTATTCAGTCCCATAGGTCCGTGTGGGTTACACAGTGGCACCCCAAACAGCAACAGGATTGGGTGCTCTACAAAAACACATGTCAATAATAAAAAAGACAAATAATTGGCATTTCACCAAAGAAAATATACAAATAGCCAACAAGCAAATGAAAAGATACTCAACATCATTGATCATCAAGAAATAAATAATGAAAACCACAATGAAATAGCACTTTATGGTTGGGCACAGTGGCTCATACCTGTAATCCCATCACTTTGGGAGACTGAGGTGGGAGAATTGCTTGAGTCCAGGAGTTTGAGACCATTCTGGGAAACATGGCGAGACCCTGTCTCTACAAAATATACCAAAAAAAAAAAAAAAAAAAAAAATAGCCAGACATGGTGGCATGCACCTGTAGTCCCAGCTACTTGAGAAGCTGAGATGGGAGAATTCGTCGAGGCTTCAGTGAGCTGTAATCATGTCACAGCATTCCAGTCTGGACAACAAAGCAAGACCCTGTCTCAGAAAAAAGAAAGAAGGAAAAAAATACCACTTCACACCCACAATGATGGTTTGAAATTGGTGTTGACAAGGATATGGAGAAAGCAGAACCCTCATCACTGCTAGTGGAATTGCAAAGTTGTGGATCTGCTATGTAACAGTCTGATAGCTCCTCAAAATGATAAACATAAAGTTACTTGAACCAGCAGTTCCTTTCCTAGCTATACCCAAGAAAAATGAGCATATGTCCATGAAAAAATTTTTACATAAATGTTCATAACAAGCATTGTTTCTAATGTCAAAAATTGGAGACAACCCAATGGCCATTAGCTGTTTAATACAGATTCTTTGGCTACTCCTTGAAATTCTTACTTAGTAGATCTCTGTTGGAGCCTAGGTATCTGCAAGCACATGATGTGATTATCATTCTGGTGTTCTGAGAACCAATCTTAATACACCCTGCTCTACCCTTACCTTCTTGATTTTACTCTCCCAAGCCATGCTTACTATGGGATGTAATTTCTTCCACACAACATGAAAGAAGCAGCCACCTTTCACATTACTTAGGTATCTTTTTTTTTTTTTTTTTCTGAGACAGGGTCTCACTCTGTCACCCAGGCTGGAGTGCAGTGGTACGATCTTGGCTCACTGCAACCTCTGCCTCCCAGTTTCAAGTGATTCTCGTGCCTCAGTCTCCCAAGTAGCTGGGATTACAGACATGTGCCACCATGCCTGGCTAATTTTTTTTTTTTTTTTTTTTTTTTTTTAGTAGAGATGAGGTTTCACCATGTTGGCCAGTCTGGTCTTGAACTCCTGACCTCAAGTGATCCACCCACTTCGGCCTCTCAGAAGTGCTGGGATTACAGGCATGAGCCACCACGCCTGGCCAGGTATCTTTTTAAATCTTGTATGAAATTATGTCACTGTTCTGTTGACAAACATCTTGTGACTTCATTTTCTCTAAAGTCCAAATCTCTTGACATACCTATGATATCCACCATAATCTGAACTCAATCTACCTCTCCAGCTACATCATGCACTATAATCACACTGACAATAGTTAACTGTACTTACAATTATAGGTTTGGAAGTGGCAATACACAAAAACCATCAACATCATATATTTCTGGCAGGGTTGATTCTCATATATAAATTTATTCTTTGAGTTTATAAGTTTATAAAAAATGAAACTTCACAAATAGAGGAACTTTTTTTTTTTTTGAGACGGCGTTTCGCTCTTGTTGCCCAGGCTGGAGTGCAATGGTGTGATCTCGGCTCGCTGCAACCTCCGCCTCCCGGGTTCAAGCGATTCTTCTGCCTCAGCCTCCCCAGTAGCTGGGATTACAGGCATGCGCCACCATGCCCACCTAATTTTGTATTTTTAGCAGAGGCAGGGTTTCTCCATGTTGGTCAGGCTGGTCTGAAACTCCGGACCTCAGGTGATCCACCCGCCTCAGCCTCCCAAAGTACTGGGATTACAGGCATGAGCCACCGCGCCTGGCCATAGAGGAACTTTTATATTTATTCTTCAAATGTATTTCCAGTATTTTGTCATGTAGTACCCTCTGTTTTAAGAAAAAAAAAAAAAAGTCCTCCTACTCCCCAGTTTTCCCCATATTTGCCTGCTGAAATTTTTTGTATACCCAGGCTTATAGTGATGTTGTCAAAGAAGAATTCAGTCCATTTGTGCTCTGTAACAGCAGTCCCTAACCTTTTTGGCACAAGGGACCAGTATTGTGAAAGACAGTTTTTCCACAGACCAGGACAGAGATGGTTTCAGGATGATTCAAGCTCATTACATTTATTGTGCACTTTATTGTATATATATATGTGTGTGTGTGTGTGTGTGTGTGTGTGTGTGTGTGTGTGTGTGTGTATATATATATATTTTTTTTTTTTTTTTTTTTGAGACAGGGTCTCATTCTGTCACCCAGGCTGGAGTGCAATGGCAGATCTCATATCAGTGCAACCTCAATCTCCGAGGTTCAAGCAATTCTCCTGCCTCGGCTTTGGAGTAGCTGGGACTACAGGCATTCACCACCACACCCAGCTAATGTTTGCATTTTTAGTAGAGATGGGGTTTTCGCCATGTTGGCCAGGCTGTTTATTTTTATTATTATTACATTGTAGTATATAATGAAATAATTATACAACTGACCATAATACAGAATCAGTGGGAGCCCTGAGCTTGTTTTCCTACAACTAGATGGTTCCATCTGGGAGTGATGGGAGACAGTGACAGATCATCAGGCATTAGATTTTCATAAGGGACTGTGCAACCTAAATCCCTCACATGTGCAGTTCACAATAGGGTTCACGCATCTATGATCATCTAATGCTGCTGCTGATGTGTCAGGAGGTAGAGCTCGGGCAGTAATGTGAGCCACAGGAAGTGGCTTACATACAGACAAAGTATCGCTCACTCACCTGCTGCTTACCTCCTGTTGTGCAGCCCAGTTCCTAACAGATCACGGACTGGTAGCAGGCCTGTACCCAGGGGTTGGGGACTCCTGCTCTATGAATCTTCTCAGAGTTAATCACTATTCCCACTAATATCCCCTTGTACTTCATTTGTACCTATTAGAATGTTTATCAATACCTAACATTAAAATTCTCTACTCACCCTGGACTTAGCACAATCTGTTTTGTATTACAGTTAATCGTATATTAATACTTATCTATCATTCCATCTAGATTTTGACATTTCTTCTTGAGGTCATGAAATGATTCCATTTATTTTTGAGTAATTCTACCTTCCTAATTATTTATTCTGCCAGCTCTTAGCACAAAGAGTTATACATGTTAGAAGCTCAAAAATGTTTCTTGAACAGAAATAAATTGAAAAGGCAACTGAAAGCAAATTCAAACTGTAGATGAAGAAAACTGCTTTTGAAACTAGTTACCACCATATATTAAGTAAAGTTGTCAACAGCAGAAAAAGTGTCCCATTATATGTCTGTTTTTTATGGTGCTTTAAATCTTATAATCCTAGACATAGTCATGCAGATTCATATATACTCCATACACAAACCAAGATTATAAATACTAATTCAATGAATAAAATGTAAATTACATATCAACAAATACAAATGGTAAACAAACTCACTTAATGGTTAGGGAAGCAATGGTTGCATTCCCAACAATGAACTAAACACTTTAGGTGGTTTTGAAGAAATTAGAAGATGCAAAGTTTCTACAGAAGTAAACACATAATGAAGATCAGAGAATCTCTTAATTATGATTTTATTATCAAACTGAGAAGGGCATGAGGAAACCATTACATCTTTTATGATGAATTTCATGGAGAAAGTTGATTTTGTTTTTTTTTTTTTTTTTTTTTGAGACAGAGTCATGCAGTCTCGGCTCACTGCAACCTCCTCCTCCCAGGTTCAAGTGATTCTCCTGCCTCAGCCTCCTGAGTAGCTGGAATTACAAGTACATACCACCTCGTTCAGCTAATTTTTGTATTTTTGGTACATATGGGTTTTCACCATGTTGGTCAGGCTGATCTCGAACTCCTGACCTCAGGTGATCCATCCACCTTGGCCTCCCAAAGTTCTGGGATTACAGACGTGAGCCACTGCGCCTGGCCAAGAAAATGGATTTTAAGGGTAATTCAAATGGCTAGGAAAAGACTGAATAAGTACTTGCAGAAGAATGTTTCTAGTATCAAGATAAGGAGGTATAATGGAAAGGACATAACTTTTGACATCTGATGGCTTTAGTTTCAAATCTCACCTTTACCACTCAAACTGTAACATTATTGATAATTAATACTGAGAGTGGAATACAGAAGTTAAAAAAATGAATATTATCTCATGAGCTAAACCAGAGTAGTCCGAAGGGTATCCATATTTTTATAAAAAAAGTAACAACAAAAATCTGATTTATAAGGATAAATAATTATTTTGGAGACTAGTACTTCCTTAATACATATTCTCCCCTTGAAATCTCTACTTTTAAGCTGGGCACATTGCCTCTTAGAACAGATAGATCTAGCATTGTTTGCAATTGAGTGTGACCACATGACTGTATTCTAGCAAATAACATGCAAACAGAAGTATTCTCTGAAACCTTTCAGGAAATTTCTTAAAGGACACCAGACATATACCCTTTGCCCCGTCCCACTTTATCTCTTTATTCTGTTGCTTGGAACATGGATGTGATCGCCAGAGCTCCATATTAAACTATGAGAGTGAAGTCCTCATCATCAAGACTGTGAGGCTGAAACCTGGAAGCCACCTAATTCCTAGACTTTGGGATAACTACTATACCTGCCGTATGTTGACTACCTCCAGACTTTAAACTTTGTCTTATTTAAGCCACTATGCTTTGGGGTATGTTTAACTCATAGTGATTATGGTTTATTTTCTAAATCAGACTCATCTTCCTCGTTGATACTCCCAAAAAAGCAGCAGTGACATTTTATCTCCCAGGAAGTTGTTTTCCTAATAATAAATTCTATAATTTTCCTATGCATTTCCTTATTTAATAGTTGTTGAGTCTAAAGTTGGGGCCAGGCGTGGTGGCTCACGCCTGTAATCCCAGCACTTTGGGAGACTGAGGTGGGCGGATCGCTTGAGATCAGGAATTTGAGACCAGCCTGGCAAACATGGCGAAACCCTGTCTCTACCAAAATATACAAAAAATTAACCAGGCGTGGTGGCATGTACCTGTAATCCCAGCTACAAGGGTGGCTGAGGCACAAGAATCACTTGGAGGTTGCAGTGAGCCGAGATCATGCCACTGCACTCTAGCCTGGGTGACAGAGTGAGACTCTGTGTCAAAAAAGAAAAAAAAAATAATAATAAAAATAAAGTTGGAGTAGAATGGCAAAGTGAATTGAAGAATACATGCTGTAGAGTCAGACAGACTTGGATTCAAATTCTCATTTTCTCACTTATTAGCTATATAACTTGGAACAAAGTTCTTAACCACTCTCCAATCTTGATGTTGTTGAGATAACAGATCTAAAATATCTGGTACATAGTAGGTTCCCAATAAATATTCCTTTTTTTCTCAATTGAATTTTAAGACCCAGTTCAAATACTATTTCCTCAAACATATTTATTTAATTTCTTACTTAGAAATTGCTGTGGACTGAATGTGCCCTCCCCACCAACTTCATACATTGAAGCCCTAACCCCAAAAACGACTGTAGTTAGAGATAGGGTCTTCAAGGAGGTAGTTAAAATTAAATGAGATCATAAGAGTCAGGCCCTAATCTAATAGGATGGGTGAATTTATAAAAAGAGAAAGAGATAGCAGGTGTGCCCATGCAAGCAGAAAAAGCCATGTGAGAAAACAGCAAAAGGCATCCATTTCCAAGCCAAAAAGGCCTCGCCATAAACCAACCAATCCTATTGGCACCTTGATCTTGGACTTCTGGTCTCCAGAAGTGTGAGAAAATAAATTTCTATTGTTTAAGACACGCAGTCTGTGGTATTTTGTAATGGAAGCCCTATCAGACTAATAAAGAAATCCTCAAAACATACTCGTTATGTCTCTCCTTATATCACTTTTTAAAAGTTACTTTGTTTTTTCTTAAGAAGTTACCCTGTGGCCGGGCGCAGCGGCTTACGCTTGTAATCCCAGTACTTTGGGAGGCCTAGGCGGGTGGATCGCCTGAGGCTGGGAGTTCGAGACCAGCCTGAACAACATGGAGAAACGCCATCTCTACTAAAAATACAAAATTAGCTGGGCATGGTGGTGGGCACCTGTAATCCTAACTTCTCAGGAGGCTGAGGCAGGAGAATCGCTTGAACCCGGGAGGCGGAGGTTGCGGTGAGCCAAGATCGCGCCATTGCACTCCAGCCTGGGCAACAAGAGCGAAACTCCATCTCAAAAAAAGAAAAAGTTACCTTGTAATTATATGTGTTTGTCTTCTCTACTGTAGTATTAGATCCTCAAAAACAGGAATCATGTTTTATGAATTTGTATCTTCCTTCCATAGCACCCATAACAATATATTGAACTTCTGTGTTGTTTTTTGTTTGAGTTTTTTGTTTGTTTGTTTGCTTGCTTGTTTTTTGAGACGTAGTCTCGCTCTGTCACCCAGGCTGGAGTGCAGTGGCACGATCTCAGCTCACTGCAACCTCCACCTCCCAGGTTCAAATGATTCTCCTGCCTCAGTCTACCGAGTAGCTGGGATTACAGGCACCCGCCACCACACCCAGCTAATTTTTGTTATTTTTAGTAGAGACAGGGTTTCACCACGTTGGCCAGGCTGGTCTCTTAACTCCTGACCTCGTGATCCGCCTGCCTCGGCCTCCCAAAATGCTGGCATCACAGATGTAAGCCACTGCGCCCGTCCCTTTGGTTTTTGTTTGTTTGTTTGTTTGTTTGTTTTTGAGATGGAGTCTCGCTCTGTCACCCAGGCTGGAGTGCAGTGGTGCGATCTTGGCTCATTGTTACCTCCACCTCCTGCCTCAGCATCCCGGGTAGATAGGACTACAGGTGTGCATCACTACGCCCGGCTAATTTTTGTATTTTTAGTAGAGACAGGGTTTCACCATGTTGGCCAGGCTGGTCTTGAACTCCTGACCTCAAGTGATCCACCTGCTTTGGCCATCCAAAGTGCTGGGATTACAGGCATGAACCACCACGCCCAGCCCTCAGGTACTTATTTTTTAGATGGACATTCAGAAATTGAGCCTGGGCACAGTGGCTCATGCCTATAATGCAAGCACTTGGGAGGCTGAGAAGACAGATTGCTTGAGCCCAGGATTTGGAGACCAACATGGGCAACATAGTGAGACCCTGGCTCTAAAAATAAATAAATAAATAAATAAAATTACAAAATTAGCTGGATATGGTGCCACACACCTCTAGTTCCAGCTAGGAACTAGCCTGAGGTGGGAAGATCACTGGAGCCCAGGGGCTTGAGGTTGCAGTGAGCTAAGATCACACTACTGCACTCCAGACTGGATGAAAGAATGAGACACTGTCTCTTTGATATTAATAATAAGTTGAACTTGCAAAAATGGGTTATTAGTTATTAATGTTAATCAGAAGTAAGACTTTCTAATCGTCTTTAGTTGGAGATTAAATATGGTTAAGGAGACACATATAGGTGCCAAATTGACAAGATGTAGACTGTGACTGTTAGTTTTATGTGTCAACGTGGTAAGGTTATAGTACGGTTATTTAATCAAATACTAATCTAAGTGTTGCTGTGAACATACCTTGTAGATATGGTTAACATCTACAGTCAGTAGACTAGTGTATATATGAGATTATATCCTTGATACACTGAGTTGGCCTCTTCCAATCAGTTTAAAGTCCAAGCAAAACTGATGTTTCCTTGAAGAAGAAATACTGCCTCAGTACCATAACAACTCTTGCCCAAGGGTGAGCAGCTTACCAGTATTATCTATACATTTTGGACTTGCCAGCCTCCAAAATTTTGTGAGCCACTTTTTTGAAACAAGTCTGTCAATATTTATAGTCATCTGCTTCTGTTTCTCTGGATAACCCTGACTGATACAAGTACCTTTTTTTTTTTTTTTTTTTGAGACAGAGTCTCGCTCTTTTGCCCAGGCCAGACTGCAGTGGCATTATCTGGGCTCACTGTAAGCTCCGCCTCCCGGGTTCACGCCATTCTCCTGCCTCAGCCTCTCGAGTAGCTGAGACTACAGGCGCCCACCACTGCGCCCAGCTATTTTTTTGTATTTTTAGTAGAGACGGAGTTTCACCGTGTTAGCCAGGATGGTCTCAATCTCCTGACCTCGTGATCCGCCCACCTGGGCCTCCCAAAGTGCTGGGATTACAGGCGTGAGCCACCGCGCCCAGCAATACAAGTACCTTTTACTTACTGTGCTTACCAGTGCTAGAATTTCCATTTTATTCCTTTTTGAAGTGTTTCCTTATTGAGATTCTGTATTTGCTGAGTCATTGTTACCATATTTTTGTTTATTTCTTTGTGCTTTATTTCCCTTATACTACTTTCTTTGAAGTCTTTGCTAAATGTCAGACTTCTGAGAATACTCAATTACTCAGATACAGTTTCTTTTTTAATTAATTAATTAATTTTTGGAGACAGAGTCTTGCTCAGTCACCCAGGCTGGAGTATAGTGGCAAGATCATTGCTCACTGCAGCCTCAAACTCATGGGCTCAAGTGATCCTCCTGCCTCAGCCTCCTGAGTAGCTAGCACTATAGGTGCAAAGCCAACACACTTGGCTTTTTTTTGTTTGTTTGTTTTTGTAGAAACCAGGTCTCCCAATAGGAATGCTTTTACACTATTGGTGGAAATGTAAATTAGTTCAACCTTTGTGGAAGACAGTGGGGCAATTCCTCAAAGACCTAGAACTAGAAATGCCATTTGACCCACCAATCCCATTACTGGGTATATACCCAGAGGAATATAAATCATTCTGTTATAAAGAGAAATGCACACATATATTCATTGCAGCACTGTTTACAATAGCGAAGACATGGAATCAACCCATATGCCCATCAGTGATAGACTGGATAAAGAAAATATGGTACCTCTACACCATGGTATACTATGCAACCATAAAGGGGAACAAGATCATGTCCTTTGCAGGGACACAGATGGAGCTGGAAGCCATTATCCTCAGCAGACTAACACAGGAACAGAAAACTGAACAGCACATGTTCTCACTTATAAGTGGGTGCTGAACAATGAGAACACATGGACACAGGGAGGGGAACAACACACACTGGGGCTTGCTGGTGGGGGTCAGGGGGAGGGAGAGCATCAGGATAAATAGCTAATCCATGTGGGGCTTAATACCTAGGTGATGGGTTGATAGGTGCAGCAAACCACCATGGCACATGTGTACCTATGTAATGAACGTGCATGTCTTACACATGTATCCTGGAACGTAAAAAAGATGTTACATGCATATAACAATTTCCAAGATATTGGAAAGCAAAAAAGCAAAATAAAGACCAGGGTTGATAGCATGTTATCATTTCTGTAATATTAGAGTATGGAGAGGGGGACAGTAAACACACACACACACACACACACAACACCCAGGGATTTGAATGATTAATGCACAATATACCCTTGAAAAGAAACATGAAAACTAGGTATCTGGGGTTCATGGGAGCAAGGAAACTTTCACTTTCTACTGTTTAGTACCTTTTGAATTAAAAGTATCTTTAAGTGGCTCACGCCTGTAATCCCAGCACTTTGGGAGGCCAAGGCAGGTGGATCACCTGAGGTCAGGAGACCAAGACCAGCCTGGCCAACATAGTGAAACCCTGTCTCCACCAAAAATACAAAAATTAGCCGGGCATGGTAGCACATGCCTGTAATCCCAGCTACTTGGGAGGCTGAGGCAGGATAATCACTTGAACCCCGGAGGTGGAGGTTGCAGTGAGCCAAGATCGCACCACTGCACTCCAGCCTGGGCAACAGAGCCAGACTCCATCTCAAAAGAAAAAAAAGTGTTTAATGTATTTCTATTAGAAAAATAAAATTCTAATAAAAACATAAAAGAAACTGGGTATCCCTATGTTACCCAGGCTGGTCTTGAAATTCTGGCCTCAAGTGAAATTCCCACCTTGGCCTCCCAATGTGCTGGGATTACAGGCATGAGCCACCACACTCAGCCCCAGGTAACAGTTTCAGTTTACTGAGTGTGGGTCATAGTTTTTGTTTATTTGCATGCCTTGTAATTTTTTGTTGAAGAGTGACATTTTAGATAACATATTGTAGGACAGTGTGGATGGCATCCAGCCTGGCGAAACAACTTTTCCCCCTGAAAGTTGTTCTTCTGTTTATTTGTGTGTGGGGGTTTAGCCATTTGCCTATACTAAATGTCTTAATCCATTTTGTGCTTAATCCATGTTGTGCTCCTATAACTGAATACCTGAAACTGGGTAATTTAAAATTTATAATGAAAATAATTTTTTTTCTCACAGTTCTGGAGGCTGGGAAGTCCAAGACCAGTTGGCTCGCATCTGGTGAGAGCCTTCTTGCTGCATCATCCTATAGTGGAAGTCATCACATGGTGGAAGCACCAAGAGAGGGCCATACTTGTCCTTTTATAATGAACCTACTACTCCTGCAATAACAGCATAATCTATTCATGAGGGTGGAACCCTCATGGCCTAATCAGCTCTTAAAGGTCCCACCTCTTAATGTTGTTATAATGGCAGTTAAATTTAAACATGAGTTTGGAAGGGTGCAGACATTCAAACCATAGCACTAAACTAAATCTATGAATTCTCCCATGCAATATGTGTCTACTTTAGTCTCTGTTCTGTTAGAGTTTTTTCCTTGATTTTATTCTTAAACCCAGTTTCCCAAGATTCTCCTTGGTGTGTATATAGCTTAGTGTTCAGCCAAACATTAATTAAACATTTGGCTCAAACACCTTGAGGCAGTAAGACTTTCTCTCTCTACTGATGGAACACTGTGTGTACAGGGGAGTGCGTTCAAAGTCCAGCTGTTGTATGTCTTCACTGGCTTTTACATTCTGCAAGGCCCTCTTGAACCTTCTTGCTTATCCACTGTGTATGTGCTGAGGATCCATTAGCCCAGAATGTTTGGGTGTCTTGGGTCTATCTTCCAAATCTTTGATGCATATCCTTGCAGCCTCTGGTCCACTTGGGATATGTAGAGAGCTTATAAAGCCCCCTGTGGCTGTGTCATCCCTGGGAAATTCCTGTTAAATCCCACCTAGTTTGCCAATCCATAGCTTGCCTCAAATAAAAGGCAACATAAGGCAAGCAGAGCCACCTTCTATCCATGTTTGCTTGCCACTGAGATCACCTTTTTAAACTGATAATGGCTCCAACTCAAGTAAGCCTCCTTTGGCCATGGCGGCAAGGCTGTTCATTTTCATGTTCTGCCCCAACCTACTTGAACTTCACTTACAACAGAACTGGAGTGGTGGAATGGGGGTTGTTCCAGGCAAGAACAACAAAAAGAAATTGTCCTTATCTGAAATTCAGCGATCTTCATGAATAAGCATTTCTCTGATTGTGGTATATGCCTTTAATTTTATTTCTAGAGTGACAAATTTTTGGTTTTGACAGTTTTTTTCTAGCTTTATAGTTTCTTCTTGGGGAGAGAATATGTCAACCTCACTCCATCATGCTGAAGTAAATCTTCATCTCTTAATTTTATCTCTCAAAAATATCCTAAGGATTCCCTCTGGAGCCTGATAAGTAATTGCAGTATCTGGTTTCTATGGTTGGATGATTCAGGATTCCAGGAATAATAGTTACTTTTTAGACCTCTAAAGAAGAAGTAACAACCACGTAAATGAAAAGATGCTTCTTAAATCATGGAGAATCAGGGCTTAGTATCACTGTATTTTCAAACTGTTTCAGCCTTACTTTATAACTGATTTAGTATATTTTTCTTTTAATTTCAGACTTCAGTGAAGTTCCTTATGACTTCCCCTGAAATTGCTTCCTTATCATGGGGGCAAATGAAAGTAAAAGGCTCTAATACAACCTATAAGGACTGCAAAGTATGGCCAGGGGGTAGTCGGACTTGGGATTGGAGAGAAACAGGAACTGAGGTAAGATATTAGTCTTTGGTTGATACTACATGAGGCTGACCAAGTGATTTCCAACTTCCTAAGCTGCAATGACTAAGTGAAAAACTATTTCTCTTGTGTCTTTTTGAGATATAATTCATATACCATTAAATTCACCCTTTTAAAGTATGCAATTCAATGGACTTCTTACATTCAATGCCCCTGTAGTGACATTATAGTGACTTACATTCATAAACTTGTACAACAGTTACCACTGTTAGTTCCAGAATATATTTATCACCTCAGAAAGGAACCACATAACCACTACCAGTCAGTGCCCATTTACTACCACTCCTAGCCCCTAGAAATGATTAATCTACTTTCTGTTGTTATAGATATGCCTATTCTGGATGTTTTCTATAAATTACATCATTCAGATATCTTAGGTGTGTTCCTAGGAGTGGATTTCTGGGTTATATAGTGTTTAACCTTTTGAGGTACTGCCAGACTATCTTCCAAGGCACCTGCACCATTTTACATCTCCACTAGGAATATAGGAAGGTTCCAGTTTTTCCACATCCTCCTCAACACATTGTTCTTTTCATTGTTTTGTTTTTATTAGAACCATCTTATTAGGTGTGAAGTGTTGTTCTCATTGCGGTTTTTATTTGCATTTCCCTGCATTTCCTCAAGTATTCTCAGTGTGCCATTCCCAAGGTAGAGCCTCCTTTCCATGAGTGTAAGTTGGGCAAAACAAGGGAGCCTCTACCTTTTGACCCCACTCACCTGGGATGTAGCCTCAACAACAGAAAGATGGGGGCAGGATGAGAGGCACTAAAGTCCTGCTCCTCCTGGGAAGGAAGCCTTCCAGCTAGATGCTGAGGGGAGAAAGAGTCTTGTGTTCTTGGCTATGGCAATCTGGAGAGTAGTCTCTGCCTCACGATGGGGATGGGGCAGGAAGGCATTTATCTTGACGCCTCCACTGTACATGTGCACAGATTCTTACCTGTCTTACCAAATATCTCAATGAGTTCTGGCTTCTATAAAAAAAATTGTCATAGACTGAGTGCCTTAAATAATAAATATTTATTTCTCACAGTTCTGGAGACTGAAAGTGTGAGATTAGGATGCCAGCATGGTTCTGGTCCTTGTATTAATTCATTTTCATTAGTTCATTTTCATGCTGCCGATAAAGACATAACTGAGACTGGGGAGAAAAAGAGGTTTAATGGACTTACAGTTCCACATGGCTGGGGAGGCCTCACAATCATGGCAGAAGGCAAGGAGGAGCAAGTCACGTCTTACATGGATGGTGGCAGGCAAAGAGAGCTTGTGCAGAGAAACTCTCGTTTTTAAAACCATCAGATCTCATGAGACTCATTCACTATCACGAGAGCAGCACAGGAAAGACCCACCCCCATAATTCAATCACCTCCCACCGAGTTCCTCTCACAATATGCAGGAATTGTGGGAGTTAAAAATCTAAGATGAGATTTGGGTGGGGACACAGCCAAACTGTATCAGCCCTCTTCTAGTTTGCAGACAGCCAACTTCTCTTTGTATCCTTACATAGTGGAAAGAGAGGTAGCTAGCTTTTGGGCTTCTTATAAGGGCACTAATCTCATTCATGAGGGCTCTACCCTTAGGACCCAGTTACCTCCTACAGGCCCCACCTCTAAATAACATCACATTGGGATTAGAGTTTCAATATATACATTTTTAAAGGACACACATATTAAGTCCATTGCAGCAAATTTTTTTTTACAGTTTTTTCTTTCTTTCTTTGTTTTTTTTTGGAGACAGTCTCCCTCTGTCGTCCAGGCTAGAGTGCAGTGGTGAGATCATGGCGCACTGTAGTCTACACCACCTGGGTGAAAGGGATCTTCCTCCCTCAGCCTCCTGAGTAGCAAGGACCACAGGCATGCAATCACACCTGGCTTATTTTTTTTAGTTTTTATAGAGATGAGGTCTCACTACATTGCCCAGGCTGGTCTTGAACTCCTGACCCCAAGAAATCCTCCCACCTTGGCCTCCCAAAATGCTGAGATTACAGGCATGAGCCATCATGCCCAGCCAGATTTTGTTGAATACACGTTTATTCATTGGGTATTTGCTCTTAGGACCATTTCCAGAGGCTTTAGGGATTTTGTTTTGTTGTTTTGTTGAGTTCTTGGTTTGGGTTTTTCTTTGTCGTTATTATTAATAATTTTTCACATAGGAGTGGGTCAGTGGAGCGCCTCATGATGTAATGATGGAAGTAGATCCTTCATTTTTGAAGAATAGTTTGTTGGATATAGATTTCTTTGATCAATCGTCTTTTTCTTTCAGCACTTTCAATATGCCATCCCACCACCTTTTGGCTTCATTGGTTTCTAATGATAAATCAACCATTAGCATTATTAGATCTCCCTTGGACTTGTTGAGTTGCTTCTCTCTAACTGCTTTCAAAACACATCACAGTAATTTAACTATGATATGTCTAGGTATGGATATCTTTGAGTTTGTCCTACTTGGAATTTATTGAGCTTCATGAAGATGTAGATTATTGTTTTTTTAATCAAATTTGGGGAAGTTTAGAGCCATTATTTCTTCAAGTATTCTTTCTACTCCTATCTCCCTTTTCTTGTGACTCTCATTATGAATATATTGATAGGCGTTAGGGTGTCCTACAGGTCTCTGAGTCTATATTCTTTGTCTTCATTTTTTTTCTTTCCTTTGTCTCAGACTGGATAATCTCAATTGACCTATTTTCAATTTTGTTGATTCTTATCTGCTGTTGAGCCCCTGTAGTGACATTTTTATTTCCATCATTGTACTTTCCAGCTCCAGAATTTCTTTTTCTTTTCTTTTTTTTTGGTGGGGGGGATAGACTATTGCTCTGTCACCACAGCTGGAGTGCCGTGGCACAATTTCAGCTCACTGCAACCTCCGCCTCCCAGGTTCAAGCAATTCTCCTGCCTCAGCCTCCTGTGTAGCTGGGATTACAGGTGCACCCCACCATGTCCAGCTCTTTTTGTATTTTTAGTAGAGACAGGGTTTTACCATGTTGGCCAGGCTGGTCTCAAATTCCTGACCTCAAGTGATCCACCCACCTCGGCCTCCCAAAGTGCTGGGTTTATAGGTGAGCCACCACACCTAGCCCAGAATTTCTGTTTGGTTATTTTTAACAATCTATATTTCTTTATTGATATTTTTTATTTGGTAAGATATTGTTATACTTTCCTTTAGTTCTTTTGAACATGGTTTCCTTTGGCTCCTATTACATATTTAAAATCACTGATTTACAGTCTTTCTCTGTAAGTCCAATGTCTGGGCTTCCTCTGGGATAGTTTCTACTGTCTGTTTCCCCCAATCCCCATATGGACCTGCCTTTCTTTTTCTTTCTTTCTTAATGTCTTTGTTGTTTTGTTTATATTTCTCATTTTTTTTTTTGAGAACTGGACATTTTACATAATATAATGTGGCAACACCGGAAATCAACTCCCCCTCCCATTCTGAGGGTTTGTTGTTGCTATTTTTGCAGTTATTTGTTCCTATGTGGTTCTATAAAGTCTGTATTCTTTGTTTGTGGCTTCTGAGGTCTGCTAATTTACCTTAGTGATGAGCTAATGATTTGACTGAGATTTCTTTACATTGCTGGAATCAGATGTTTAGATTTACCCATGTGTCTACCAGTTGCCTTTCTTATTATTCATTTTTGTAATTTAGATCTTTTGAGGTCAATTTCTTCTTTTAGAAAAATCAGTATCCAGCTGGGCATGGTGGCTCACGCCTGTGATCACAGCACTTTGGGAGACCAAGGCAGGCAGCTCATTTTAGGCCAGGAGATTGATACCATCCTGGCCAACATGGTGAAACCCCATCGTCTCCTCAACTTTGGGAGGCTGAGGCAGGCGGATCACCTGAGGTCAGGAGTTCGAGAGCAGCCTGACCAACGTGGAGAAACCCCGTCTCTACTAACAATACAAAATTAGCCGGGTGTGGTGGCACATGCCTGTAATCCCAGCTACTTGGGAGGCTGAGGCAGGAGAATCGCTTGAACCCGGGAGGTGGAGGTTGCGGTGAGCCAAGATTGCGCCATTGCACTCCATCCTGGGTAACAAGAGTGAAACTACATCTCATAAAAAGAAATTAGTATCCTTTAGAAGTTCTTTCAGTAAGGATTTCTTGGTGATCTCTCCCAGTTTTTATTTGTCTGAAAAGGTCCTTGTTTTTTAATTTTAATTTGTCTTGTATTCTAAGTTGACAATTTTTTTTAGAACTTTATTTGTAGGAACCCTGAATAATCAGACTATGCCATTTGGGATCTGTCCCATAAAGGAAGATTCATATTTGCTTCTTTTCTGTATCCTGTGTTACTCTCAATCTGGGATCACTTTTAATTTTTTGACTGATGGCTTCCAAAACTGGGCTGATAGTGTAAATTTGAGCCCCAAACTGATGTATGAGCAGGTTTATGGTTATAAATTATCAGGGAAGACATTTTTCCCCTCTAGAGCCATGACTGAGCAGAAATCTTTCCTCATCTTTTTCATTTGCCCACGGGTGGAATTTTTGGGTCTCAGAATGTGTGATAAAATGGAAGACTCTGAAAATGGCAGTGCCTTAGGGTAACTTCAATATCAGTTCACCATTTTGATTTCCAACTCCCCCTTCACTTTGGCCTTTGGGAATTTCCCTTTGCTTTCTGCAAGCTCAGCTATGTATTTCAGAGGATGTTTATTTTTATCTGGCATTTGGTTTAAGGAAACTTTGTAGGTTGTATAGTCTATCACATTGTTCTGCATTGTAAACAGTTATGCCTACAAAATTAGGCCCCACATAGAAAGAGAGCCCTAACACATATTCTTTGTTCATGCCTTGGTTTTGAACTGCATGCACTCATTGATGATTGTGACACCCAGTTACCAACCTAGATCATAATGGATGGAATATACCTAGATTGGTAAAAAGAATAGGAGGGCATGGAGATATAGAAGGGACAGAATGAAAGAAAACTGAGGAATAAGAAGCCTTAAATCATGTAGCCTACTTGAACCAAATGGCTCCATCAGAGTGAAGTTGGAAAATGGGAAGAATAGGTGGTGGTGTGGTTAATAGAGCATCTATATATGCAGAACTTAGTTTATATTGTATTCAGTTAATAAGTCATAACCACTTTAGCTAGTGTATTAGTCAGGGTTCTCCAGAAAAACAGAACTAGTAGGAGATACATATATATAAAATCAGGTTTACTATAAGAAATTGACTTGTCCGTGATCTGCTGTCTGCAAGTCTGAAGTCCTAAAAACCCCGGGAGCTGAAGGTTTAAATCCCAGTCCAAGAGCAGAAGAAATTGAGATGAGATGTCCCAGTTAAAATGGTGAGGCAGAAAAAAAGAGGCAAATTCTCCTTCCTCTGCTTTATGTTCTTTTCAGGCCCTCAATGGATTGGATGATGCCTACCAACATAGGGGAGGGTAGTCTACCGAGTCCACCAATTTAAATACTAATCTCATCCATAGACATTCTCACAGACAAACCCAGAAATAATATTTAATTTGGGCAGTCTGTAGTCCAGTTGAGCTGGCACATAAAATTAACCATCAAAGATACTTATGTGGGACAGTGATGTGTCTGACAAAGGTTATCCAGACTGTGGTTTAAGTTATACTGGAGCACAAACTTACATGGCTTCCACACTTGAGAGATCCATTTCCCTTCAGAAATGGCTTTAGTGCTGTATATTTCTATTTTTCCCACATAAGACCATATGAGTTAATATTACCATTAACCTCATTCTTTTTTTTTTGAGACGGAGTCTTGCTCTGTCACCCAGGCTGGAGTGCAGGGCGTGATCTCGGCACACTGCCACCTCTGCCTCCCAGGTTCAAGCGATTCTCCTACCTCAGCCTCCCGAGTAGCTGGGATTACAGGCACCCACCACCTCACTTGGCTAATTTTTTTGTATTTTCAGTAGAGGTGGGGTTTCACCATGTTGGCCAGGTTGGTCTCGAACGCCTGACCTCAGGTGATCCGCCTGCTTTGACCTCCCAAAGTGCTGGGATTACAAGTGTGAGCCACCGTGCCTGGCCAACCTCATTCTTTATAGAAACTTAAGCACAGAGAAGTTATATAACTTGTGTAGGCACAGAGCTATAAACGTGTGAAAGCAAACAGTAAGCTCAGGTCAGATTGTAACTTGCTTTCCTGTTTCTTTCTACTACATATTGTTATCCTCTTATATCCACAACACTGTCTCCCAAGCTGGAGTGCAGGGTTGTAATCATAGCTCACTGCAACCTCAACCTCTTAGATTCAAGCGATCCTCCAGCCTGCTCTTATCATCCCAACTAGCTAGAAGTAGAAGTATGTGCCACAATGCCTGGCTAATTTATTTTTATTTTTTGTAGAGACAGAGTCTGTCTATGTTGGTCAGGCTGGTCTCAAACTCCTGGCCTAAAGTGGTGCTCCTTTTTTTTTTTTTTTAAAGATGGGGTCTCACTTGGTCCCCCAGGCTGGAGTGCAATGGCGCCATTATTGTTCACTGTAGCCTTGATCTCCCAGGCTCAAGCGTTCCTCCCACCTCAACCTCCTGAGTAGCTGGGACCACAGGCAATTGCCTCCATACCTGGCTAATTTTTTATTTTTTATTTTTATTTTTATTATTTTTTTGAGACAGAGTCTTGCTGTGTCGCCCAGGCTGGAATGCGGTGGCGTGACCTTGGCTCACTGCAACCTCTGACTCCCGGGTTCAAGCGATTCTCTTGCCTCAGCCTCCTGAGTAGCTGGGATTACTGGTGTGTGTGACCACGCCCGGCTAATTTCTTTTGTATTTTTAGTAAAGATGGCTTTCACCATGTTGGCAAGGCTTGTCTCAAACTCCTGACCTCAGGTGATCTGCCCATCTCGGCCTCTCAAAGTGCTGGGATTATTGGCGTGAGCCACTGCACCCGGCCTAATTTTTTAATATTTTGTAGAGACAGGGTCTCACTCTGTTGCTTAGGTTGGTTCAAACTCCTGGGCTCAAGTGATCCTTTTGCCTTGGCCTCCCAAAGTGCTGGATCTGTTTTTTTGTGTGTTTTTTTTTAATTATGCAGTTCCAAGTTATCCTTTCACTCTCCTATATTTCATAACACATATTTGAAGACCTAGCTATTCCATATCAAATTCTTTTTATCTTCCAAACCTGTCATGATCTTTCTTTCCTCTGCACCTTTGCTAAAACTATTTCCTTCTGTATCTGATGAAATCTTATACATTCCTCTATTCTTGGCTTTTGCATTATCTCCTCTATGAAGCATTTTCTTAATCCTTCTGAGAATGAGATGCTTACTCCCTTCCCTTATTTAATACTCTGTGCCTCTATTATAGCACTTAGCACAGTTCACTTGTATTATAATGAGGATCTGTTTCCCCCACTAAGTGGTAAACTCCCTAAGGTTAGCAAGAACTATGCATTTAACACAGTGCCAGTAAAGCAAGAACTCAATAAATGTTTGCTGAATTGAAATTTTCATTATAAATGTCATTAAACAAACTGTTTTTATCCTTTTTAACATTCCCTCTGAGATAGGTTAATGTTATAATTCCTTTTTCATTAGTTTAAAAAAGGACAGAGCAGATTTTGTAGTGATTACAGAATGGAAACGTAAGAAAATGTAAGGTCTTCAAGCAGTATCCTGAAATAATAATTAGTATAAACTCCAAAATCTTTACCAGTCATTAAAACAACTAGTATGTACCTAGTCAAATATAACTTTTCCAGGGTCACATAACTAATAATTTTTGGAACCAAAATTTGAGCATAAGTTGTTCTTTCTCTAAAGCCCATACTTTCCTTCTGTTTTATACTGCCCTTGCTCATTTCTATCCTAAGGCAATAACTATCTTATTATAGAAGAGTTTTCTATATGGAAACATGCATAGATCATCATTCATGTGTCCTTTTTGTTAGACTGAAAGGGGTCAAGAATGAAGGTATAAAAATATAAGTATAAAATTAAAGAAAAACCAATTAGCAGCCACACAAAGAAAACTAAAGGAACTATGGAAATGTTTACCCCAACTTTTTATTTTGAAAAATGTTAAACCTACAGAATAGTTATGTGAATAATATAATACATTTCCATATATCCTTTACCTAAATCCTCAAGTTGTTAACATTTTACCATGTTTGTTTCTTTTCTCACTCTAAACACACACACACATACACACACATACACACACACACACACACACATACACTCACACTTTGTCCCCCTGTCATTTGACAATAAATCACAGATACGACATTTCAGTATTTCTCTCCTAAGGACATGAATATTCTCCTCTATAACTACAATTCTATTGTCAAAAACAAGGATATTATCATTGATACAATAATATCTTTTTTTTTTTTTTTTTTTTGAGATGGAGTCTCGCTCTGTGGCCCAGGCTGGAGTGCAGTGGCACGATCTCGGCTCACTGTAACCTCCACCTCCTGGGGTCAAGCAATTATCTGCCTCATCCTCCTGAGTAGCAGGGATTATAGGCACATGCCACCACGCCCGGCTAATTTTTGTATTTTTAGTAGAGACAGGGTTTCACCATCTTGGCCAGGCTGGTCTTGAACTCCTGACCTCGTGATCCACCTGCCTCGGCCTCCCAAAGTGCTGGGATTACAGGCGTGAGCCACTGCGCCCGGCCGATACAATAATATCTAATATACAGTCTGTCTTCAGATTTCCCCAGTGTCCCAAGAATGTTCTCTATAACTTTTGTTGATTCTCAGAGAATTGTACAATTGACCAGGCTAGAGTTTCTTCTGCTCAAGACAGTTCTTCTTAAGGAAAGATTGATGAGCTGTTCCTAGCTGTTCCTTGTGTTTTTGTTTGCTTTTGCTTTTGTTTTCCTATTCACCTTCTAAAGCTGGTTGTTGTGGAAGGCTGATATAGTTGGATATTTGTCCCCACCCAAATCTTTTGTTGAAATGTAATCCCCAATGTTGGAGGTGGGGCTTGGTGGGAGGTAATTGGGTCATGTGGGCAGTTCCCTCATGAATAACTTAGTGCTGTCTTGGTGATAGTGAGTGAGTTGTCAAGAGATCTGGTTATTTAAAAGTGTGTGGTACCTCCCCCAACCTTGCTCCTGCTTTCATCATATGACATGCCTACTCCCACTTCACGTTCTGCCATGGGTAAAAGCTCCCTAAGGCCTCCTCAGAAGTCAAGCAGATGCTGGTATCATGCTTGTACAGCCTGCAGAACTGTGAAGCAATTAAACCTCTTTTGTTTATAAATTACCATCTCAGGTATTTCTTTATAGCAAAGTAAGAAAGGCCTCTGTTGAACTTCTTGAATTTGAATATTTTCAAACTGTGATCCAACAAATTATAAAAGAAATAGAATAAACAGTTGCATACCATCAATTCAGATTCACTAGTTGTTAACATTCTGCCACATTTGCTTTATCTAGTCCTCTGTGGCCCTCTTCTCTCCTTCTCATAATTATTTTTACTAAATAATTTGGAAGTAGTTGTGGGCAGCCATAGTGGCTCACATCTGTAATCCCAGCACTTTGGGAGGACGAGGGACGAGATGGGAGGATCACTTGTGCCCAGGAGGTCAAGGCTGCAGTGAGCTTCACTCCAGCCTGGCCAACAGAATGAGACACTGTCTCAAAAAAAAAAAAAAAAAGAAGAAGAAGAAGAAGTTCAAAGAAAAAGAAAGAAAAAGTCACTGAAATTAATGATCATTTTTAATGTTGTCAATTTGACATACGGAATTTGGTTTATTTGTTTCTGTTGGCATACAATTTTAGATGCCTCCCATTTCCTGTCTGTCTTGATTTTAACTTTCTGAATCATGTAAAATATTTACATGATTCAGAATTCAAACTTCAAACTATGACAGTCACTTGCTGTTCACTATCACCAGAACAGCAAGAGAGATATCCACATCCATGATCCAGTCACCTCCCATCAGGTCCCTCCTCCAACACTGGGGATTACAATTCAACATGAGATTTGCGCAGGGACACAAATCCAAACCATATCATAGATACACTTAGAAAGTCTTATTCACCTCCCTATCTCTTCCATCACATTCCCACCTCACTCCATGTAGGTAATTATTTTGTATTAGTTTCCGGTTTATCCTTTTTTGTATTTTTCTGGAAAAAATAAGCAAATACAAAAATACATATATAAATAATTTTTTTTCTTTTTTTCCCATTTTCCATACGCAAAAGGTAGCATGCCTTACTTCTTTATATTCTGTTCACTTAATATATACAGAAAATCATGATATCAGTTCATAGAGATATGTCTTTTTCTTTTTTACCACTGTATAGTAACCAACTTTGTGAATGTAATATTGTTTATTCACTTTAGTCCTAAGGGATGGGTACTCGATTGCTTTCAATATTTTAGTACTATAAACAATACTACATTGAATAACCATGTACATTTTTTTTTGTATTGTTGAAAGTGTATATCCAGGGTAAATTTTTAGAACTGAGATTGTGCTTAAAGAGTAAATGTAAATGTAGATTTGTTAGATATTGCCAAATTCCCCTTTTTGGGGGTTGTACCGTATTTTAGTATTACTAACAATTTATGAAAAGGCCAATTTTAAAATGTAGAAATGTTTAAATTTGTTAGTAAAAGTGAACAGTATTTGTATTAGTCCATTCTTGCATTGCTATAAAGAACTACCTGAGACTGGTTAGTTTCTAAAGAAAAGAGGTTTCATTGGCTCAGGTTTCCATAGGCTGTACAGGAAGCATTGCTAGGGAGGCCTCAGGAAACTTACAATCATGGCAGAAGGCAAAGAGGAAGCTGGCATGTCTTACATGGCCAGAGCAGGAGGCAGGAGAGTGGGGAGGTGCTATATACTTTTAAACAACCAGAACTCATGAGAATTCACTCACTATCACGAGAACAGCAAGGGGGATATTGGCCCCATGATCTAGTGGCCTCACACCAGGCCCCTTCTCCAACACTGGGGATTATAATTCGATATGAGATTTGGTCAGGGACACAAATTCAAACCATATCATTCTGCATCTGGCCCCTCCCAAATCTCATGTCCTTCTCACATTTCAAATTACAGCCATGCCAGGCAGTGGCTCACCCCTGTAATCCCAGCACTTTGGGAGGCCAAAGTGGATGGATTGCTTCAGGTGAGGAGTTCAAGACCAGCCTGGCCAACATGATGAAACCCTGTCTCTACTAAAAATATAAAAATTAGCTGGGCATGGTGGTGCACCCCTGTAATCCCAGCTACTTGGTAGGCTGAGGCAGGAGAATTGCTTGAACCCAGGAGGTGGAGGTGGCAGTGAGCTGAGATTGCACCACTGTACTCCAGCCTGAGTGACAGAGTGAGACTCCGTCTCAAAAAAATAAACAAATAAATACAACCATGCCTTCCCAACAGTCCTCCAAATTCTTTTTTTTTTTTTTTGAGACAGACTCTCGCTCCGTTGCCCAGGCTGGAGTGCAGTGGTGCCATCTTGGCTCACTGCAACCTCCACCTCCCAGGTTCACACCATTCTCCTGCCTCAGCCTCCTGAGTAGCTGGGACTACAGGCGCCCGCCACCACACCCAGCTAATTTTTTTTGTATTTGTAGTAGAGACGGGGTTTCATCGTGTTAGCCAGGATTGGCTCGATCTCCTGACCTCATGATCCACCCGTCTCAGCCTCCCAAAGTGCTGGGATTACAGGCGTGAGCCACCGTGCCCGGCTATCCTCCAAATTCTTAACACATTCCAGCATTAACTGAAAAGTCCACAGTCCAAAGTCTCATCTCATACAAGGCAAGTCTCTTCTGCCTATGAGCCTATAAGATCAAAAACAGTTAGTTACTTCCAAGATACAATGGGGTTATAGGCATTGGCTAAATACTTCCATTCCAAAAGTGAGAAATTATCCAAAACAAAGAAGCTACAGGCCCATGCAAGTCTGAAACCCAGCAGGGCAGTAATTAAAACTTAAAACTCCAAAATAATATCCTTTGGCTCCATGTCTCACATCCAGGTAACACTGATGCAAGGGGTGGGTTCCCAAGGCTTTGGGCAGCTCTGCCTCTGTGGCTCTGCAGGGTGCAACCCCTGTGGCTGCTTTCGTGGGCTGGCATTGAGTGCCTGCGGGTTTTCCAGGTGCATGGTGCAAGCCGTTGGTGGATCTACCATTCTCATGTCTGGAGGATGGTGGCCCTCTTCTCACACCTCCATTAACCACTGTCCCAGTGGGGACTCTGTGTAGGGGCTCCAACCCCACATTTGCCCTCCATACTGCTATTGTAGAGGTTTTCCATGAGGGCTACGCACCCCCAGCAGACTTCTGCCTGGACATCAGGCATTTCCATACATCCTCTAAAAACTAGGCAGAGGCTCCCAAGCCTCAATTGTCACACTCTGTGCACCCACTGGCTTAACACCTCATGGAAGCCACCAAGGCCTATGGCTTGCACCCTCTGAAGCATCAGCCTGAACTGTACCTTGGCCCCTTTTAACCATAGCTAGAGCTGGAGTGGCCGTGATGCAGGGTGCTATGACCTGAGGCTGCACAGAGCAGTGAGGCCTTGTACCTGTCCCACAAAACCATTATTTCCTCCTAGGCCTCCAGGCCTGTGATGGGAGGAGCTACTGTGAAGGTCTCTGAAATTCCTTCCAGGAATTTTCTCCATTATCTTGGTTATGAATATTTGGCTCCTCTTTACATATGCAAATTTCTACAGCTGGCTTGAATTCCTCTCCTGAAAAAGTTTTGTTTTTTTCTTTTTTTGTTTTGAGACAGAGTCTCACTCTGTTGCCCAGGCTGGAGTGCAGTGGCGCGATCTCGGCTCACTGCAACCTCCACCTCCCAGGTTCATGCCATTCTCCTGCCTCAGCCTCCCAAGTAGCTGGGACTACAGGTGCCTGCCACCACACCCAGGTAACTTTTTCTTTTTTTTTGTATTTTTAGTAGAGACGGGGTGTCACCGTGTTAGCCAGGATGGTCGCGATCTCCTAACCTCATGATCCACCCGTCTTGGCCTCCCAAAGTGCTGGGATTACAGGTGTGAGCCACCACGCCTGGCCTTTTTTTTCTTTTATGCCACATGACCAGGCTGCAAATTTTTCAAACCTTTATAATCTGCTTCCCTTTTAAATGTAAGTTCCAGTTTTATGTCTTTTTTTTTTTTTTTTTGCTCAAGAATATGAGCATAGGCTGCTAGAGGCAGCCAGACCATGTCTTGAGTGTTTTGCTGCTTAAAAATTTCTTCCACCAGCCAAGTGCAGTGGCTCATCCCTGTAATCCCAGCACTTTGGGAGGCCAAGGTTATGAGGTGGGCCAAGGTGAGCAGATTGCTTAAGTTCAGGAGTTCAAGACTAGCCTGGGCAACATGGCAAAACCCTGGCTCTAGCAAAAACACACAAATTTCACTGTGTGTGGTGGTGTGCACCTGTAATCCCAGCTACTTGTGAGGCTGAGGTAGGGGGATTCCTTGAGCCCAGGAGGCAGAGTTGCAGTGAGCTGAGATTGCCCCATTGCACTCCAGCCTGGGTGACAGAGTGACACTCTGTCTCAAAAAAAAGAAGAAAGGTCTTCCACCAGATACCCTAAATCATCACTCTCAAGTTCAAAGTTCTACAGATCTCTAGGGCAGGGGCACAATGCCCCCAGTCTGTTTGCTAAAGCATAGCACAAGTAACCTTTACACTAGTTGCCAATAAGTTCCTCATCTCCGAGACCTTCTCAGCCTGGACTTCACTGTCCATTTCACAATCAGCATTTTGGTCACAACCATTCAACAGGTCTCTAGGAATTTCCAAATTTGCCCTCATCTTCCTTTCTTCTTCTGAGCCCTTCAAACTATTCCACCCTCTGCCCATTACCTAGTTCCATAGCTGCTTCCACATTTTTTAGTATCTTTATAGCAATACCCCCTTCCTGGTACCAATTTTCTTTGTTAGTCTCTTCTTGCATTGCTATAAAGAGCTACCTGAGACTGGATAGTTTCTAGAGAAAAGAGTTTTAATTGGCTCACGGTTCCACAGGCTGTACAGGAAGCATAGCTGGGGAGCCTCAGGAAACTTACTATCACGGCAGAAGGTGAAGAGGAAGCTGGCACATCTTACATGGCTGGAGCAAGAGGAAGAGAGCAAGCAGAGAGGTGCTATACACTTTAAACAACCAGATCTCACTCACTATCATGAGAACAGCAAGGGGGATACTGGCCCCATGATCCATTCACCTCCCACCAGTCCCCTTCTCCAACATTGGGGATTACAATTCGACATGAGATTTGGGCAGGGACACAAATCCAAACCATGTCAGTATTCCATATTTCATTCTTTACTGAAGTCAAAGTTGAAAACAGAATACAAGGTGGAAGCTCCCAAGAATGAAAGGACAGACTGGTGATTTCTCAGAGCATGTTAGAATCCTTCATTTAAACTCAAATATTCTAGCATCCAAAAATGAATTTGGATGTGTAGCATCATTAATTCACTATGAAGTAATAGTGCATATATCATCACCCAACATTAAAAGATATGTAGGTTCTGCTTACTGGCGTTGTCTTTAAGATAAATCACCTTTTCTGCCTTCAAGAAGCTCTATAGAGTAATTAAGCAAAAAGATAATTGTAATTAAGTGCCACGGTAGATGAACCAAGAGAGGTATAATGGTAATGAGAGGAAGGAATACCTAAGACTGCCTAGATCACTTAGAGGTATTCATCACAGAAAGTGGGATCTTTGACCTGACTCTTGAAGGAGAAGTTTCCCAGGTAAACAATGGTAACTAGCTTACTGGCAGGAAAAACATATGTCTAGATGTAGAAGTGTAGGAGAAAATGCTGGAGTAGAATCATGGGAAGAGCTCTTCAATTTGTCACTATCTATAAATATTTATTTTTATAGGAATATCTACAAATATTTATTTTTGTAGGAAGCTCTAAAGTCATATAATTGGTTGAGGCTAGATTGATATTTAAGATCCATCCAAGCCTTGGATCCTATGACTCTGATTATTTTGTTTTATTTATTTATTTATTTTAATTTTACTTTAAGTTCTCGGATACATGTGCAGAACATGCAGGTTTGTTACATAGGTATACATGTGCCAGGATGGTTTGCTGCACCTATCAACCCATCAACTAAGTTGTTTTTTTTTTTTTTTGAGATGGAGTCTCGCTCTGTCACCCAGGCTGGAGGGCATTGGCGTAATCTTGGCTCACTGCAGCCTCCACCTCCCAGGTTCAAGTGATTCTCCTGCCTCAGCCTCCCAAGTAGCTGGGACGACAGGTGCGCACCACCATGCCCTGCTAATTTTTGTATTTTTAGTAGAGACAGGGTTTCACCATATTGGCCAGGCTGGTCTTGAACTCCTGACCTTGTGATCTGCCCACATTGGCCCCCAAAGTGCTGGGATTACAGGCGTGAGCCAACGTGCCCGGCCATCATCTAGGTTTTAAGCCCCACATGCATTAGGTATTTGTCCTAATGCTGTCCCTCACAGGGTGACCCAGGCTGGAGTACAGTGGTATGATCATATTTCACTATAACCTGAAACTCCTGGACTCAAGCAATCCTGTCGCGTCAGCCTCCTGAGTAGCTGAGACTACAGTTGTGTGCCACCATGCCTGGCTAATATATATAATTTTTTTTTTTTTTTTTTGAGACAGACTCTTGCTCTGTCACCCAGGCTGGAGTGCAGTTGTGCAATCTCGGCTCACTACAACCTCCACCTCCTGCGTTTAAGCAATTCTTTTTTTTTTTTTTTTTTTTTTTTTGTAGTTGCAAGGTTTAATAGAGTGAAAACAGAGCTCCCATACAAAGGGAGGAGACCCAAAGAGGGTTGCCATTGCCGGCTCGAATGCCTGCTGTGCTCTCAGGCGATAGATGATTGGCTATTTCTTTACCTCCTGTTTTTGCCTAATTATCATTTTAACGAGCTCTCTTTGCTACCTGATTGGTTGGGTGTGAGCTAAGTTGCAAGCCCTGTGTTTAAAGGTGGATGTGGTCACCTTCCCAGCTAGCCTTAGGGATTCTTAGTCGGCCTAGGAAATCCAGCTAGTCCTGTCTCTCAGTCCCCCCTCTCAACAGGAAAACCCAAGTGCTGTTGGGGAGGTTGGCCGATGACCGCTCTAACTGCTTTCTGCTGAATTGGGGCATAGTAGGGGTTGTGCAGTTGAGATTTCCTTGGGAGGGATGCCTTTGATGTCATTAACATCAGAGCATGGGCTAGCAGGCCAGTCCAGGGGTCCACGGTAGGTCTTAGTCATGGACTGCATCGGGGACTCCATTTGAAGAACGATTTGTAGTTTTACAGCTTCGATTCTGGAAGAGATAAACTTAACAAGGAGGTTAGAGATACAGGGATTGAAATGCATGGCCTGCAGTGCAGGGGATTATTTCTTTGGCACACTTTACAGGCCCTGACTATCTGCTTGATAGTTTTGAAAAGGCCTGGTCCAGTAATGATTTGGCCATCTGATGGGTGTTATCAATGCCTAAGTGAAAGGTTTGGTGAAGGGTTTTAAATAATTTCCATTGGTTAGCTGCAGGCAAAAGTATTTTTCCTTCTTCAGTGGCTAGCCATCCTGAGGGGAGGAAACTATGTCCTCCTGAGGTTCCCCATTCTATTTCTTCTTTTGAGTACAGGGGCTTGGTTTCCCAGAGGGGATTACCCCATATTAGGGGTCCTTCTATAAGCATTTCTGATGGAGGGTCCTGCCTTGCAGCTCTTTTTGCTTCAATATCTGCTTGGTAGTTCCCTTCTATTTCCCTTTCCTTTCCTTTCTGATGACCCCAGCAGTGTAAGACTGCTACCTCTTTAGGTTTCTGTACAGCCAATAATAATTTCCTAATGGCTTCCTGATGTTTGATAGGTCTTCCCTCGGAAGTTAGGAATTCCTTTTCTCTCCATATTGCTGCATGGGCATGGAGGACTAGGTAAGCATACTTAGAGTCTGTATATATATTTACCCTTTTTCCTTCTCCTAATTCTAGTGCCCGAGTGAGGGCTATTAGTTCTGCCAGCTGAGCACTAGTTCCTGGAGTGAGGGGATTACTTTCAAGTATTCCATTATCACTGAGGCATACCCCGCATTTTGAAGTCCTTTTTCTACAAAGGAACTTCCATCAGTATACAAGTTGAGGTTGGGATCAGTCAAGGGAACCCCTAAAAGGTCCCCTCAAGTGGCATAGGTTTGAGCAATTACTTGTTGACAGTTATGTTCTATCTTTTCTTCATTGTCTGGAAGAAATGTGGCTGGGTTAAGAGTTGCACAAGTGCACAGTCGCAGCACTGGCCCTTCAAGTAATACAGCCTGATATTTAAGTAAATGGTTGTCTGACAGCCACAAGTCTCCTTTAGCAGTGAGTATGCCGTTCACATCATGAGATCACAGTAAGATCTCTTCACTGTATCATTTTAACTGCTTTAGATATTAAGACTGCTATTGCTGCCATTACCCATAAACAATGAGGCCAACCCTTTGCCACTACATCAGTTTTCTTACTCAGGTATGCCACAGGTTGCAAGCTCGTCTCTCAGACATGTGTAAGGACTCCTAGAGCTATCCCTGTTTTTTCTGTGATATATACGAAGTCTTGCCCCGTTGGCAAGCTTAACACTGGGGCTTGGGTTAGGGCCTTCTTTAGGGCCTGGAAAGCTGCTTCTGCTTCAGGTTTCCACCTTACTAAATGGGTATTGCTTTCTGAGTTTCCTTAATTAGTGTATATAATGGCCTGGCTATTTCACCATACCTGGGAATCCATATTTGGCAGAAGCCTGTTATGCTAAGGAATCCTCTTAGTTGCTTTAGGGTTTGGGATGAGGATAAGCCAGTGTGGGCTGGGTACATTCCTCACTGAGGGCCCTGGTGCCTTAGGATAATTTTAGCCCTAAGTATTTAGCCTGCTGTGAGCAGAGCTGAGCGTTTGGTTTGGAAACCTGGTAGCCACAGGTGGCAAGGAAATTTAAGAGCGCTTGGGTGGCTTGATGGCACAAGGTTTCTGAAAGGGCAGCTAAAAGTAAATCATCCATGTACTGAAGGACAAGAGTGTCCAGGTGTGAGAACTGGCTCAAGTCTTGGGCTAATGCCTGGCCAAATAGATGGGGGCTGTCCCTGAACCCTTGGGGTAAAACAGTCCAGGTGAATTGAGACATTGGGTTTGAAGGATCTTCAAAGGCAAACAAGAATTGAGAGTCAGGATGTACAGGGATGCAGAAAAAGGCATCCTTAAGGTCCAGGACTGTAAACCACTCTACTTCCTCTGGTATTTGGGAAAGCAGAGTACAACGGTTAGGTACAGCTGGGTATAAAGGGACAACAGCCTCACTGATAATCCTGAGATCTTGCACTAACGTTCACTGTCTGTTGGGTTTCTATACCCCTAAAATTGGAGTATTGCAGGGGCTATTGCATGGTTTTACTAGGCCGTGGGCTTTTAGGTTCTTAACAATTTTCTTGAGTCCTTGTTGGGCCTTGGGTCTAAGCGGGTATTGCCTTTGGTACGGAAAGGAGGCAGAATCCTTTAATTTAATTTGAACAGTATGGGCATTTTTTGCTCGTCCATATTGTCCTTCTGTTGCCCAGACTTCAGGATTAATTCCTTCCTCAAGCAGGGGACAACAAATGGGTGTTCTTTCTCCTATGTTCAGGTGTATAATGGCCCCTGCTTTTGCTAGAATGTCTCTCCCTAACAAGGGAGTGGGGCTTTCAGGCATAATTAGAAAAGCATGTGAAAAGAGTAAAGTTCCCCAGTCACAACTTAGTGGCTGAGAGAGAAGTATGTAGTGACTGGCTGTCCTAGGACCCCTTGGATAGTGACAGATCTGGAGGACAGTTGTCCAGGACAGGAGAGTAAGACTGAGAAGGCCGCGCCAGTGTCCAAGAGACAGTTAACCTCCTGGCCCTCAATGGTCAAGTATACCCGGGGCTCTGTGAGGGTGATGGCATGAGCTGGCACTTGCCCTGGGCACCCTCAGTCCTGCTGCTGGATCATTTGGTTAATGGCTTCTGACTCAGAGGACCTTCGTCCCCTGGGGCAGTGGGCCTTCCAGTGATTCCCTTGACATAACGGGCATGGACGAGGGGGCGGCTTATTTCTATGTGGACAATCTTTTTTAAAGTGTCCTTGTAGACCGCACTGGAAGCAAGCCCTATTAGGCATTCAATTTCCCTAGCCTTTCCGTGTTCCAGAGCCTCCAAAGTCCGCTTGCCTGAAGGCCATGACTAAAGCGGTGGCCTTTTTTTTATCCCATTTGTCCCGTTCTGCCTGCTCCTCCTGATCTCTATTACAAAAAACCAAGGTTGCCAAGTTCAACAGGGTTTCTAAGTTTTTTGAAGTTTTTTCTAATGTCTGCAGCTGACTGAGTGATAAACCTATCCTTTAAGATTAGTCGGCCTTCAGTACAGTCAGGTGACAGAGAGGTGTGCTTTCTCAATGCCTCCCTTAGTCTCTCCAGAAAGGCGGTAGGATTTTCTTCCTTTCCCTGTGTTATAGTGGACATAATTGAATAATTCATAAGCTTCTTCCTAGTTTTCCTTAGTCCTTCTAGCACGCAAGGTAGCAAATGTTTGCGGCACCAATCTGTATGTTCTGATTCTGTGTCCCAGTGAGGGTCTACACTGGGAACTGCCTGCTGGCCTGTGGGGAATCGTTCTCATTCCTCTGTTGTCATCCTATCATTGACCTGAGATACCAGAGATCGCCAAACTCTCGGGCTGCAGTTATGATGGCACTTCTCTCATTTGGCGTTAGTGTCTGATTTAGCAGTAACATTATATCTCCATGTCAGATCAGAGGATTGTCCTAACCCTTGTAAAACATCAATATAGCCATCAGGGTTATCTGAGAATTTACCTAGGTCTATTTTAATTTGCTTCAAGTCTGAGAGAGAAAAAGGTACGTGTACTCTGGCTGGGCCAAATTCTCCTCCTCCCACCACTTGGAGAGGGCATAATTGGGGAATATTGGCACTCTTTGGTTCATTGTTTACCCCTTTGTCTATCTCCTTTTGGATCGTTTAGGTTGAAGGGGTGTCCTTATTAGTTGGGGAAGCAGTTGGGGGGACACCGGAGTAGGGAGGTAGACTCGAGGGCTTCCTGTAGGGCATAAATCACACTTTTTACATAATTGCGAGTTGTCTCTTAATGAAAAGAAAGTTTGTACATATGGCACTTCACTCTTCCTTCTTTTCTACAAAAGAGGTCTAGGTGTAAGATGGTGTTATAATTTATACTTCCCTCAGGAGGCCAGGTTTCTCCCCCTTGAAGAGGATATCATGGCCAGGTGGTACTGCAGAAAAATATAAGTCGTTTCTTTCTTAGTGTCTGAGAGTCAAATTGGTCCCAATTCTCCAGAATATATCTTAGGGGTGTTTTTGCCTTGGGGGGAACGTTTCCCATTACTTTGGAGGTCCCTTCATGGTTGCCAAATGTTACCGGGGGGTCCTTGCTCCCAGAGCTCCTAATGTGGTGGTGGGCCGCTTCTAAGATGGTGGCAAGCCTCGTGTTCTCTGACCAAGGGTGCTTGGCCTCACGGATTCCAAGGAATGGAATCTTGGGCCATGCTGTGAGTGTTATAGCCCTATCAGAAGCCGTGGGTCACGGAAGAGAACCGTGGAACCCAGTGACTAGTGTTCAGCTTGATTAGGACGAACCCGGGCACTTAGCCATGCAGGAACAATGGCAAGCCTTTATTTAGCCCAATCGGGAGCGGCAATGGGCGCTCAGGAGCACAGCAGACACCCTGCCGGATCCGGAGGGATGGAAGTCAGCAGCGGGTCTGTGATGGCGGCAAAGAGCAGTGGTGGACGGTGAGCGAAAACTCAGCTCGAGCCATAACAAAACACGGACCAGAAGAGTGCAGTTGCAAGATTTAAGAGTGAAAACAGAGCTCCCATACAAAGGGAGGGGACCCAAAGAAGGTAGCCTGCGTTTAAGCAATTCTTGTGCCTCAGCCTCCTGAGTAGCTGGGATTACAGGCATGTGCCACTACGCCTGGCTAATTTCTGTAATTTTAGTAGAGACAGGGTTTCACTATGTTGGCCAGGATGGTCTTGAACTCCTGGCCTCAAGAGATCCACCCACCTTGGCCTCCCAATGTGCTGGGATTGTAGGCATAAGCCACCGCACCTGGCTGATTTTTTATGAGACGAAGTCTCACTATGTTGCCCAGGCTGGTCTCAAACTCCTGGCCTCAAGCGACCCTCCTGCCTCAGCCCCTCAAAGCACTGAGATGACAGGTGTGAGCCTCTCTGCCTACCCCTATAACTCTCATTATTGCAGCTAATATGGTGGACTTGAATCTTATTACGGGATTAAAATTTTAAAGTCAGCAATTATGATAAAATTTGCAAATAGTTTAAATCCTTCAAGATGATCCCTTTTTTTTTTGAGACAGAGTTTCACTCTTTTCGCCCAGGCTGGAGTTCAGTGGCGCGATCCTGGCTCACTGCAACCTCTGCCTCCCATGTTTAAGCGATTCTCCTGCCTCAGCCTCCTGAGTAGCTGGGATTACAGGTGCCTGCTACCACACCCAGCTAATTTTGGTATTTTTAGTAGAGATGGAGTTTCACCATGTTTGCCAGGCTGGTCTCGAACTCCTGACCTCAGGTGATACGCCCGCCTCAGCCTCCCAAAGTGTTGGGATTACAGGCATGAGCCACCGCTCCTGGCCAAGATGATCCCTTTAATATTAGAACATAATGATTATTCTTGGGCCCATCTCTACTAAAAATACAAAAATTAGCCAGGCATGGTGGCACATGCCTGTAATCCCAGCTATAGGCTGAGGCAGGGAGAATCGCTTGAACCCGGGAGTCGGAGGTTGCAGTGAGCCAAGATCAAGCCACTGCACTCCAGCCTGGGCAACAGAGTGAGATGCCATCTCAAAAAATAAAAAATAAAAAAAAGAACATAGTGGTTATTCTTGATTGAGAACCAGATTAATTAGTTGCCTTGCATTTAGGGTGTATATTATGTGAAAAAATGCATACTGTGGTTCTAAACACTAGAAATAAACTCAGTGAGTCAAAGGTTCATACTGGAAGCAGCAACTATGAAATTGACATAGAAGGAATAGTAGATACTTGTCTCCTATCTCATGTACAATCCAGGGCATATGTTCCTTGAATAGAATGACTGAATTGCCAGGCACAGTGGCTCACACCTGTAATCTCAACACGTTGGGAGACCAAGATGGGAGGATTGTTTGAGCCTAGGAGTTCAAGACAAGCCTGGGAAATATAGAGAGACCTCGTTGCTACAGAAAGTTAAAAAATTAGCCAGGCATGGTGGCACATCTGTATTCCCAGCTACTTGGGAGGCTGAGGTGGGAGGATCACTTGGGCCTGGGAGATTGAGGCTGCAGTGAGCCCTGATTGCACCACTGCCCTCCAGCCTCAGTGACAGAGTGAGACCCTGTCTCAAAAACAAAAAAGAATGACTGAATTACTCTATTTCCATAGTTCTTACTCTCTCCTTCTCTGGACCCATATAGTTGAATTCCCATAAGGTAAAGGCCCCTATAATATGTCTCCCTTGTATATATTTTGCAAATTAGACACAGTGTCTAATGTGGTTGAGTCCCCAACATTCATTCTACTGCACATGATTTGCCTAACTAGTCATGGTTTAGTTTAGTAATGGATTACTTAGCATGATTACTTAGTGTGAAGGCCAAGGTGTTGTAATAGAAATCTCAAAATTCAGTAGCATAAAGAAGATAGAAGTGTCTTTCTCTCATAAATTATTGTGGCCAGTCCAAACTGGTGGTAGGGTGGGAGAGATGTGGATAGCACAATTTCATTTAGGGGCCTAGGTTTTTTCTTTCTGTTGCTCTATCATCTCCTAGAACATTTGAATTGTAGGAACCGGTTGTAGGCATGGCAGGGCTCTAACTTGCAAGGAAGAGGAAAGAGAAGAAAAGCTCATGCCAAACCTATATATGAAATCATTTCTTCTGCTCATGTTCCATTGAATTTTATATTAGTGATAGCACAGTCACATGACCACATTTAACTGCAAGAAGTACAGAAAACGGAGTGTCTAGCTTATCAGCTATATGCCCCAGAAAATGGGCAGAATGGATTTTGAAAGAACAACTAGTCATCTGCCATTATGAGATGGGAGGGTAAGTTGGCTAGCAGACTTTTGGAAAAGATTTCCATTTTCCTAAACTAATAAAGAAGCACATATAATACTAGACCAAAAGTTTGTTGTTAATATTTTGATAATTCCACTTGTATGAAATGTTTCCTCTATAATCTTACATATCTTCTTTTGTGTATTCTAAAACATTATTCTGAGAAGGGGACCATCGGCCTCAATAGACTGCCAGAGGGGCCTGTAGCACAAAAACAGGCCTCTGCCCTGGCAGAGGCAGCAAGATTATTTAACAGCCTGTTAATTCAGACAAGCAATAATGAGAATGTGACTCAGGCAGTGTCCACAGGGGATAGATTCCAGAGATCCTTTAAACTTCACTCACAGAATCTGCTTTTATCAGCAATACAGCCAGATGATAGCATTGCTACTACCCATTTATGCTCACTTAATTTTGGCAGAAGGAAATACTTCTTTGGAAGAGTAGTTTAGGAATGTTTTCTTTTTAAAGTTAGCATGAAATAGGGAGAAATGTTCAAGACAGACAGGATGCCATCTTGTTGTTTAGCTGGCATAATGGATATTAGCTGGACATTTTTCCACAATTAATAGCTTCCCCCGCAGAAAAAACAATAAGCTTTTACCACCTTAGATCGTGTGACAGAAAGCCTCTTAAAGTAGAGGAACAGAATCAGACACTCAATAGGAAGAAGAGCCTTAGTGATTTGCCCTGAGGGATTGGAAGCAGCACAGGAATTGCTAGTGGCAGGTTGAGGATGCCTCAATAATAGTCTCAAGCTCCAATCCCATGGATCCACAGGCCCTTGCAGAGTTATCTTTCATTGCTTTGTACATGACACTGTGAGCCTGCAGTAAAGCAGCAGCAGCCCAGTTCATCACTTGAGTTCCATTGATCCAGCCACTCCAATGGGCTGTGGCTGTCTCCAGTCTAATCTCCAGAGGATTATGGGTTTGTAGTCTCCTATGACCTTACACTTGGATTTCCAGCAGTCAGTGGCCTCTTGTTTCATTTTACTAGAATGTGAGCTCTGGGTGAGAGAGTGAGACTCCATCTCGAAAAAAAAAATATTAAAAAAAATAAAACTGCACATGTAAATATGTAAGACATTATTATTACAGGATTTAATGAAAACTCATATTCATCCTCCCCATACGTTTCTTTTTTTTCTTTTTCCTTTTTTTTGAGACAGAGTTTCGCTCTTGTTGCCCAGGCTGGAGTGTAGTGGCACAATCTCAGCTCACTGCAACCTCCACTTCCTGGGTTCAAGTGATTCTCCTGCCTCAGCCTCCTGAGTAGCTGGAATTACAGGCGCATGTCACCACACCCGGCTAATTTTTGTATTTTTAGTAGAGACAAAGTTTCACCACCTTAGCCAGGCTGGTCTTGAACTCCTGACCTCAGGTAATCCTCCCTCCTTGGCCTCCCAAAGTGCTGGGATTACAGGCATGAGCCACTGTGCCCGGCCCCCATGCCTTTCATAAATATATAAATTTCATTCCTATCTCCATAACGTCTCATCTTCCTGAACTGGAAAACGCTTCTTTCTCTCGCCCATTTGTTATCTCTTTGATAATTTCAACAGCTCTTTTCCTATACCATCTCTACCATTAGAAGGTACCCCTTCTACAACCACTGCATTCAAGGCCTATTCATTTTCATACTTCGAGACCCAGTTAAAACAGCATGTCTTCCATGACAGTTTCCCACTTGGGTTTATTCACTCTGTCTTCTGAGATCCTCAACTCCATTTCTTCTCATCCTACTACAAATATTTGCACATTTTCACTAACCTTACCTGAATGAAACTCCATGGAACATTTGGTTCATCTCAGTATTGCTACTGCTTAGAAATACTGAGACTTGGCACAGAGTTAAGTTCTCAGTAAATGCTGGATGAATGAATGAAAGGATAGAGGTATATGGGTCAGGAAAGGAATGCTTTGTCTTTGGGAGCTTCAGTGCTAAAAGCATTGTCCTTGTGCAGAAACATAACAGGTGGAGCCCAGTAGGTTGGGCTGGTAGTTCCCAAACTCTAACTCCCATATCCCCTTTGCTGACACAGAGGTAGTTCAAGAAGCTACCATCCTTTAATGCTCAATTCATCTTTGTTAAACACATCACCTTAAATGTGCCTAGAAGACTGGGAAGACTTTTCAGAGTGATTGGTAGGTTTTAAAGCATAAAAAGAAGTTTCCTGGAGTTAGCTGGGAAGATTAGGAAGTTCAGAAAAAAAGTAACAATATAGAGATTGTTATGAAATTTTTCTAAAGTCAAAATTTTAGCATGCTATGCAAGTGCTTTCTTTTCCCACCTCATCTGTCACTCTACAAACAAGTTGTACTGACTTTAACTGTTCTTCTAGTCTTTTTCTTTCCTCTGAGCCTTTTTTTTTTTTTTTGAGACAGAGTCTCGTTCTATCGCCCAGGCTGGAGTGCAGTGGCACAATCTTGGCTCACTGCAAGCTCTGCCTCCCAGGTTCACGCCATTCTCCTGCCTCAGCCTCCCGAGTAGCTGGGATTACAGGCACCCGCTACCTGGCCCGGCTAATTTTTTGTATGTTTAGTGGAGACGGGGTTTCACCGTGTTAGCCAGGATGTTCTTGATCTCCTGACCTCGTGATCCACCCGCCTCAGCCTCCCAAAGTGCTGGGATTACAGGTGTGAGCCACCACGCCCAGCCGCCTTTTTTTTTTTTTTTTTTGAGATGAAGTCTTGGTCTTGTTGCCCAGGCTGGAGTGCAATGGCGTGATCTCAGCTCACTGCAACCTCTGCCTCCCAGGTTCAAGTGATTCTCCTGCCTCAGCCTCCCGAATAGCTGGGACTACAGGCACGCGCCACCACACCCAGCTAATTTTTGTATTTTTAGTTGAGATGGGGTTTCGCCATGTTGACCAGGCTGGTATCAAACTCCTGACCTCAGCCTCCCAAAGTGCTGGGATTACAGGTGTGAGCCACCATACCTGGCCACCTTTTTTTTTTTAATGTACAGTCCAGAGGTTTTTGTTGTTGTTGTTGTTGTTGTTGTTTTTTAACACAAATTATGGCGTGAATTCACAGGGAATAGGCTCCAGCAACTCAGGCTCCTTCCCACTGGTTCTTACACAGTGTGCTTCTCTGGGTGTAGCAGGCTGGCGCTTAATTTGAACCCGGGTACCTTTCTCTCTGGCTTCCTTCTTTTACTAAACATTTTCCTTCACACATTTCAGGAAGCTCTATTGGCTCTTAGTGTGCTTAATGTGCTCAATAGGCACAATTCTCTTGGCAAGAATCTGGCCTGTAACTTATTTGTTTACAACAATGCCAACAGCACGTTGGGTAATACCGTAGACTCTTCCAGTTTTGCCATGGTAACATTTGTGGGACATTCCTTTTTGAACAGTACCCATTCCCTTGATGTCTACAGTATCACCTGTCTCATAGATTCACATGTACCATGTGGCCAAAGGAACAACTCCATATTTTCTAAAAGGCCTAGAGGACATATATTGGGTGCATCTCCTCTTTCCCTTTGTATTTGTCATTTTGGCAAATTACTGGAAGATGGTTGTTCCAGCCAAAAGGTCCTGAGCCTTTTAAAATGCTTTTTCCTGTACTTGGAATGCCTTGTTTCCCGGATTTCGTTTATTTATCTCTTTTTCTTTTTTTTTTTTTTTTTTTAGATAGGGTCTCACTGTGTTGCCCAGGATGGAGTGCAGTGGTGCAGTCATGGCTCACTGCAGCCTCGACCTCCCAGGCCCAAGCAATCCTCCCAACTCAGCTCTCCTGAGTAGCTGGGACTACAAGCATAAGCCACCACACCCAGCTAAGTTTTTATTTTTTGTAGAGACACGGTCGGTCTCCCTATGTTGCCCAGGCTGGTCTTGAACTCCTAGGTTCAAGGGATCCTGCCTCGTCAGCCTTCCTAAGTGCCTTAAAGAGCCTATGAGTGATGCTTGGCACAAAGTGAACCTCAGTAGACATTTCTTGAATGAATGAATCCCACAAGAATGCCTATTGCAATGAAAGATTGAGAGCAGGTACCTGTCTACTTTCTCTTTCCACATCCAGCATTCTCCTGGTGTGCAGCCTGCAGATGTGAAGGAAGTTGTTGAGAAGGGTGTACAGACTCTTGTGATTGGCCGAGGGATGAGTGAGGCCTTGAAGGTAGGTGTTGGTATGCACAGCATTCCTGAGGACAGGTGGGGATCTCTTGGGCCTTTGTCTTACAGACTTGTCCTTCTTGGGAGGTCATCTTTATATATCATGTACCCTCATTTTGCTGACCCAGGATAGCAGTGGCTGCACACATTCCTCTGCCTCATCAGCGTTGGGCTCTCCAGTCTACCTAACCCTGAGACAGTGTCATTTCAACTATTTCTCAGAATCCCTCAAGTTCTACAAGGATCACTATTTGGTCCTTTATATTTTAATAATACTTTATATCCTCATAGTATATTTTATAGTACTTCTAATTTTTCTTTTATTGGACACATTTATAGTTTTCCCCTCTTCAGAAAAAAATTTAATTTAATTTTTTTTTTTTTTAAATATAGATGGGGTCTCACTATTGTTGCCCAGGCTGGTCTTGAGCTCCTGAGCTCAAATGATCTCCCGCCTCGGCCTCCCAAAATGCTAGGATTACAAATGTGAGCTACCACGTCTGGCCTATTTTTTAATTTTTTTTTTTTTTTTTTTTTTTTTTGAGACGGAGTCTTGTTCTGTCGCCCAGGCTGAGTGCAGTGGCGCCATCTTGGCTCACTGTAACCTCTGCCTCCCGGGTTCATGCCATTCTCCTGTCTCAGCCTCCCGAGTAGCTGGGACTACAGGCGCCCACCACCACGCCTGGCTAATTTTTTTGTATTTTTAGTAGAGACGGGGTTTCACCGTGTTAGCCAGGATGGTCTTGATCTCCTGACCTCGTGATCCACCTGCCTCAGCCTCCCAAAGTGTTGGGATTACGGGTGTGAGCCACCATGCCTGGCTTATTTTTTAATTTTCTTACAGAAATAATATATGCTCATTGTAAAAGATTTAAAAATTCAATGCAGAAATGTAGAAGTAAAAAGGTGGGAGATTCCCTTCCCAATCTTCACATTTGATGTATATTTCTCCAGTCTTCTCTGAATGCATCTGCAAATATATACACACTTACACATATAGATATACGTTTATATACTTATAACCATTTTACATAAATAGGTCAGTGCTATATGTATTCTATAACTTTTTCCCCCACTTACATTACTGTATTATGGATAGTCATCCATATAGAGGCCTACCTCATTCTTTCCTTTATAGATGTCTTACAGTCCTGTTCCTTACTGATGAAGGTGCCCCTTACATCTAGGGCTTTATATATATAGGGCACCTTCATCAGTAGGGCTCAAGCAATCCTCCCATTTTGGCCTCCTGAAGTGCTGGGATTAAAGGCTTGAGCCACCATGCCCAGCCTATTTATATTTTAAAATTTTAAACTAGTTTGTTTTCCCCATTACAATAATTCCTATCTGATAGGGTACTTTTATAAATCTCAAATATATAGAAAATATAGGGCATATTAAAAAATATTTCACTTGAGTTCTTTCTGAGGCAGAGTCTAATTAAAATCTATTTTTAAAAAATATTCAGGACAAGCCAGAGTTGAGAAAATATCTAATAATAGCTGTCACTATTAAGAACATCTTTTATATAAATTCATTTACAGATATTTATTAAGCATTTTCTATGGGTAAGGCACTATTCTAGAAACTGGTGACGGTGCGATAAACAAGACAAACAAGGTTCATGCCCCTCATGGATAATAAAAAACTAGACAACTTCAGATAATAATAAACGCAGTGAGGAAAATGGTGACTTATGCTGGGCTAGTAGGGGGTGGGCAAGAAAGGCCTTTGTGAGAAGACATTTGAGCTGCAGTGTACATACATGAGTCAATTTCATCCTCACACCAACCCTGTGATGTAAGTACTATTATACCTATTTTACAAGGGAAGAAATTGGGGCTGGGAGACTTTAAAGAGCTAGCCTAACATTTCTTAGCTAGCATGCGGCAAAGAAGAAATTTAGACTCAGTTTAGACTAACTCAAACATTTAACATTTATGGAGTTTGCACACCAAGGTAGATGTTTCACATACCCTTAGCTCAGTTAGTTGTCATACCAACCCTAGGTGTTAATGTCCCTAATTTACAGACATGAAAACAAAGACTCAGAGAATTTAATTTACTTACCCAAGGTTACAGTGCTAGTAAGGATGTAAATCCAAGGCTAACTGCAAATCCCATGTTCTTTCATTTCCATTTCACTTGAGCTTTATGCATGGGTATTATGATACCTCTGACAAAGAGGCCTTTTTGACTCATTGGGGCTCACTGCCAAATTTTGGACTGGTGATACACTGAGTGATCGTGAAGTGACGATTGTCACTGTCTAATTCTGTAGAGTACACCTGCCTCATGGCAGTAAAGGAACCCCTGGGGGGCCTTTCCCCCTACTTACTCATCTCTTTTCCACCTTCCCAGGTGCCTTCATCAACTGTGGAGTACCTCAAGAAACATGGCATTGATGTGCGGGTCCTCCAGACAGAGCAGGCAGTGAAGGAGTATAATGCCTTGGTTGCCCAAGGGGTCAGGGTGGGAGGTGTCTTCCATTCCACCTGCTGATGGAGCCTTAAGAGGAGAATAAATCACTAAGTGCCTATGCCTGTGACTGTCACTCACCATTCTCCAAACCAGCCTCCCCTAAACATTTTTGGACACCTACTCATGCCAGGTCCTGTGCTAGGCTCTTGGGATGCAGGGATGACCAAGACAAGGTCCCTGTCCTTGAGGGTGCTAAAAGAAAAAAAGATGAGACAGAAGTTTAATAATATAGTGAATGAACTGAGGGAACATCTGAGTAACAGGAACAGTAGGAGTATGCCCTGGGAGTTGGGTTCTAGACAGGCTGTTCTACTAACCAACCCTGAGACTGGAGCCAGATTGTTCTCTCTGGGCTTCAAATTTCAACTATAGGCCAGGCGCCATGGCTCACGCCTGTAATCCCAACACTTTGGGAGGCCGAGGTGGGCAGATCACTTGAGGTCAGGAGTTCAACCCCAGCCTAGCCAACATGGTGAAACCCCATCTCTATTAAAACTACAAAAATTAGCTGGGCATGGTGGCACGAGCCTGTAATCCCAGCTACTTGGGAGGCTAAGGCAGCAGGAGGATCACTTGAACCCAAGAGGTAGAGGTTGCGGTGAGCCGAAATGGTGCCACTGCACTCCAGCCTGGGTGACAGTGAGAGACTCCGTTTCAAAAAAGAAAAAATTCAAGTATAAAATGTTGGGGCTGGCTAGATGCCCTTTAAAGGTTCCTACTGGCTCAGATAGTCTTTGTTCTATTAAATACCGAGGTGGCCTTTGTGAAGCCTTAGAATAGACTGAGAGAACTACAAGCTATCAGCATCACCTTATTTTTAATTTTTCTTTCTTTTTAAAGAACTATGGGCTTTGGTGTCAAATAGCCTTGACTTTGAACTGCAGCTCACTGCCACTCACTGGTTGGGTATTTGTCTAATTTCTTAGTTTCACTGTTCTCATCTGTCAGATCAGGATAACATTAGCAGTACCTGGAGTCATTGTAGGTATTAAATGAGGCAATTCATAGAAAGTATTAACTCACTGCATGGCATTTAGTAAGGACTCAATACATTAAACCACTGTTGTCCTTATCTTTCTATTAATGGGGATACTGTGTAAAGCCAACTAGTTTCATTTTATGGTTCTTAATATAGCAGCTTATTATTTCAAAGAGCCATAGAATGTTGGAGCCCAAAGGAACTATCTCACTCATTTATTCAGTAATTCTCTTTCATATCCATTTACGGACAGCCTATTACTAATTTTCTTATGACCAGTTATTGTTGGGCCCTGGGGGAATAAGGATGAATGTTACAATTCCTGCCTTTGGGAATTATGTTGTATGAGAGAAAGACAAATAAGTAAACAATAATGATACAATGTTAATATTATAATAGTTACTAGGTCCAGTGGTGGCACAAAGAAAAGACTAATTTATCCCACTAGGATGGAAGGAAAATTAAGGAAGACATCACTAAGGAGATGACATTTAAGCTGAGTCTTAAAAAATGGAAGGTTCATTAATTCACTGAAAAAACACTTACTTGGCAGCTCTTTTAACTAGACATTTACTAGGTATGGTATTTATCACAGCCATAACTAAATAAAATCGCTCCACCCCAGCCATCACTGGAGCAGCAGCAGTGGAAAGATGATTTTTGCTTCACATGATCCTGCCACCTGACTACGTAGTTAGTTAGGCTTCTGACCTACAGGGACCAATCTATAGACTGGACAGCAACTTAAGATGTGGCTTGGCAAGAAAAGCTGAAACAGTATGGAAAGTGAAGGGATTTATTTTTTTCCAAGTTCTCCAAGTAAGTGGCAGACGTAGGATTAGAACCCAGCACTGTGTCTTTATCAGTTTATGGCATACACCTCCTTGCTCCCTAGAAGCAGACGGGAGTGAGTGCTTCACAGACCCGACACCCAGCATTGAAGTCTCGGAAGGATCTGCTTGGTGCCCTTTCCGCAGCCCTTTCATTTGTCAGATGACAGATCTTTCTAGATCTGTTCCCTTGGCTCATAAAGCCAGCCCTCTGTATAGCTAAGAAGGATGTTTGATAAAATTCAGACTGTTTCTCTAGTGATGCAGTCTTTTTTTTTTTTTTTTGGTCAAATGTAAGGTGAGACAGCTCTGGTGGGTGTTGAATTCAGTGTGGGTGTAATCATTCTTCCTAAGTGAGTTGTCTCCAATTAAAGAGAACTTAGTGTAAACTTCTTAGAGACAGAAGTATCTGTCAGTGACATTATTAAACTTTTAAGAAAACCTGCTAATACATAGCCCCTACTTTGGAACCTGGTGCACATGGTTAACGATGGAAATATGTAGAGCTTGAAGGGAAGCTGTTTCTCCACATAACTATACTTAGTCCTCTGTCTTAAATCATTAAAGCCTCTGAGTTAGTTTGTAGGTAGAACAGCCCTCAAGCTGCCCACAGGTCATTTCTTCTAGCCTGAGTGGTTAAGACAAGAAGTTGGCCGGGTGCGGTGGCTCACGCCTGTAATCCCAGCGCTTTGGGAGGCCGAGGTGGGCAGATCACCTGAGGTCAGCAGTTCGAGACCAGCCTGGCCAACATGGTGAAACCCCATCTCTACTAAAAATACAAAAATTAGCCAGGCGTGGTGGCACGTGCCTGTAATCCCAGCTAGTCTACTTGGGAGGCTGAGGCAGGAGAATCGCTGGAACCAGGGCGGCAGAGCCTGCTGTGAGGTGAGATCGTGCCACTGCACTCCAGCCTGGGTGACAGAGCAAGACTCCATCTCAAAAAAAAAAAAAAAGACATGAAGCTGGCCACAGCTAGGTGTGTACCTTTCTTCTCCATGATTGTGTTTGCTGAGTTCAATCATCTCAAAGCAAATATAAAGTCCTTTCAGAAACCTGAATCTTTTTTTGCAGCATGCCATGGTACTGCTACCTTTGCTCTGGAGACATAGAATCATTCTTTCCTTGCCCGGTTATGTGCCAGGAGTTGTGCTGGGCATACAGCACAGACATTCTTACAGTCCAGGTACAGATCAGTTGGAAGAAATAAGGCGTGTAAACATTACAGTGAGGATGTAGAAGTTGCAAATTGGCACAAATCTGCCTGGAGACATGTTTTGTTTGTCTCAGTAATTTTAATATTTACTGTAGTTACCAAGGTTTTTTAACTTTCATGAAAATGAAGATTTCTGGCTGTTTTGGAAGAATGGGAAGAACTGACACCACTAGGTCCACACTTATAAATGAAAATAACTGAGTGGAATGGAATAGCACCGCCTTCTCCAACAGAGAATGTGCTCTCTGATTCTTCCAATTGCTGTTATCTTCTAGGCCACTTTATTCCTTTACTTTTCCTGCCTACCTTTCTTAAGGGGTTTGCATTTGTGAACCTGCAATGCCATATTAATAAATACTATACTATGTGTGAAGAATATAGTATAGGAGGCTGTGGGAACATAGAGGAAATGTTCCAAGCCCATAAGAGACACAGATATGTCCTAGAACAAGGCCCAGTCCTGAAGAATGGAAGGAAAGAACCACAGGAGACAGTCTGAGGAGCACATTCCCAGGCTCAGCAGGTCCAAAGGCCTAGAGGTGACAGAAAAAGACTACAGGTAATTCTGTTCAAGTGGAGTACAGAGACAGTTTGGGACAGGGAGTATGAGGCTGGAAACGAAGCAGAGCCATGAAGAGCCTTCAAGACAGGAGTTCAGACTTTTTCCTGGGATGAGCAGTGATCCACTGAAAGGGACTGAGCAGGGGAATGGTGTGGTCAGATCAGCTCATCACTTAAGGAGGGCTGATGGTGGTTCCATCAGTATACAAACAGTATAAGAAGAGGACTAAGAAACATGAAGGAAGAGGAATCTAAAGGACTTGATGGCTACTTTTGTATGAGGGATGAGGAAGGAATCCAACGTGCCAAACAGGTTTCTGGCTCTGACTGCTGGGTGCATGCTAGACCACTCACTAAGAACAGACCCCTGTGATGAAAGTCACCTGGGGAAGAAACCAGAGGCCTGGGTTCCAGGCTTAGCTTCACCACTAACTCAGTCTCTCTGGGCCTGCGTATTCATTTGTAAATGAAGGTGCCACACTGGAGTGCTCTTTATGCCCCCTTCGAAACCTTTATAAAAAGGTCTTTTTTTTTTTTTCACTTCAGTGAAAAAGTACAGAATCAGATAGAGAAAAACTAAAATTCTCATGTTCCCCAGAACGTGAAAATTCAGGGTAAAAGCAATTTAAAAAGTTGAGCCCAACCCCGATACGATACTTGAATTGCTTAGCAACAAATTTGTCAGGAGCTTGTTCAACCTCTGCCCAAACTCATCTAGCCTGGAGAATTCTATACCCCCTAGTACAGCCCGTTCAATTCTTACACAGCTTTTAAAAATGTATTCTGATACCAAGCCAAAACCTGTCCCTTAGTGCATGTCTACCTTTGATGGAAGAAGTACTACATTTTGCATTTTTAAGACAGGATCAAGTCCTGGCTTTGTCCCTTAGGAGACAGACATTATCTCAAAGCCTCTGTTTCCTTACATGGAAAATGAGGGCTAACTTGGAGGATTTTTATAAAAGGGGTACTTATCTGAAAAATATCAGCATATTCTTCCCTTAGAAGGTTTTCTATAATTACAGCACGATGGGCTCAGGCAGCAGCCATGGTTCTTCATGTTTTTGTCTAGGCTCCAACCCAGCAGCTGCCATCAGGTGTTCATGTCAGGGCTGTGGTACAATTCCACCTGGCTACAGCTTCATGGCACATCCTTGAGAGATGCAAAACAGGTAAGCACACTAGAAAAGTCAGCTCCCTGGAGTTAATCATTCTTCCCCTAGTCCCTCTTTCGCACTCATGACCTCGTGGAAATAGACTGCCTGGAAATAGACTGCCAGATCTGTCATTTCCTAATTGTGTGACCTAGGACAGGTTACTTATTTCTCTCAACTTCAGCTGCCTTGTTTATAAAATGAAGATAACAGTACCTAGAGAGTTAATTAATTAATGTAAAGAGCTTACAACACTGCCAGGTACACCCAAGTACCTTAAACCAAAAGTTAAAACATGCTTGAATTTAAATTCCAGCTCCACCTCTGAGTAATTGTATTATCTTGCTATTATTTTTATAAGCTTGCCAAGTGTCAAATATGATCAAGACTGGCTGCAGGTTCAGATTCTACCAATTGTTATTTAATCCATCCTACTCAACCACTGTTGAGGTCCAATTATCTTCGTTTCACAGATGAGGAAACTGAGGCAGAGAGAGCTGAAGATTTGAAGGCTTTTTCCCATATACTTCCCCTGAGGTGGTATAGCTTAGACCTTTGGGATCTTCTTGGATTTGAATGAATACAGGCTTTATTACTTACTGTACAGTAATAGCCTCATTTGGCTATTGTGAAGATTAAATGACAGGTAAAGTACATAGCACAGGCAGTACCAAAGGTTAACCTCTCTGGAGCACTGACTGTTATATCACACTTGCAATTTTTTTTTTTTAAACAGAGATGGGGTCTCGCTATGTTGCCCAGGCTGGTCTTGAACTCCTGGGCTCAAGAAATCCTCCTGCCTCCTATAATCCCAAAGTCCTGGGATTATAGGCATGAGCCACAGCCCCCAGCCCCATGCCTAAAACTTTTAACTCACATGCAGCATCAACTCATCAGAGATGCTGCAGTAAATTACTTTATTTCTTGCACTGGACCCCTGTTTCCCATAATCTTGATTTCTTTTGTAAAATATAGCTCTTCTATATTATTTATTTAAAGCCATAGAGGTCCTAAGAATAATGGCAGGCAAGATCAAGAATTTCCTTCAAAGCAAGGCGCGGTTGCTCACACTTGTAATCCCAGCATTTTGGGAGGCCAAGGTGGGCAGATCACGAGGTCAGGAGATCAAGACCATCCTGGCTAACATGGTGAAACCCCGTCTCTACTAAAAATACAAAAAATTAGCAAGGCGTGGTGACAGGCGCCTGTAGTCCCACCTACTCAGGAGGCTGAGGCAGGAGAATGGCTTGAACCCAGGAGGCAGAGGTTGCAGTAAGCCAAGATCACGCCACTGCACTCCAGCCTGAGCGACACAGCAAGACTCCATCTCAAAAAAAAAAAAAAAATTTCCTCAAAGATGAAAATGATTCATTCTCCAGCTATTCAGTCCTTGGCCCAGCTACTGCCTGCATTAGGGAAGAGGCTTCTTAGCAAGGTTAACACATGTTTAAGGTCCTTCAGCAACTGTCAATGGTAAAAAAAAAAAGTACAGCTGTTAAAGCGGCCTTGGAGTTGCCCTGACAAACACACCGTCACTTTAAGAAATAAGACTATAGCTCAAATAACCAGTTATCAGGAGGTAACTGGATCTTTGTGTTTCACACCTGAGGAATAGCATGTAAGCACGTAGTATAAAAGCTGAAGCTATAGCCACACGCATTTCTTTACAGACCAGGAACTAGAACAGCTTGGTGTTTTCTCAACTTTATTGTGGACAGGAGAAGGGTAAGTAGACTTGAAGGTTTTTTATTTTTTAATGAAGAAACAATTTATCCTGTGTTTGATACCAGATGAGACTGTAAGGGTCACATACTCCTTAAGCCTACACATCAATTCCAGGTGAAGTGCTTCAGGCTTGGCTCATTCTGACACCTAAGAAGGGCCCTCTAGGCCACGGTTGGGAAGACTGTTTTTGCCTTAGCGCCGTGCAGGTTTGGGCATTATATAAACTTTTACAGGCTTGCTGAAGGGAATGGTGCCCTCGATGCTGGTTTCCACCTGTGGTGACATCTCACCACCCTCCATCCAGGGGCATTTTGGAATGCGAGCACTGGAGTTGTAGGCCAGCAGCAGCCTCACTTCCACCTGGCATGCCTCTGAAAAAAAGATAAAAGAAATCCTCTATAACTAGGCAACTGCTAGGAATGAGGATGAAATGTGAAGTTAAAGAAATATCAAAATGGAAGCAGTAGGGAGAAATTTCTTCATCCGTCTACATTCCCTCCCCTTACCCTCACCAAACAAAACACTGAGCCTGCAGATGTGATGCTGTTCCATCACCTTCCCCTTGGGCTCACTGTGGCACAGAGCCAAAGCTGCTGAGGCAACTGGAGAGCAAGCTAAAAACCCTTCCAGGAAGATAATTGCTTCATGATCTGCTTTATGAACTGGGCTCAAATTCTTATGCAGGTGTGGATTTGGGCAGTTTCAGAAGGTGCATGTGGCTTATTCTGATACCCAGTTGGGCTCTTCCTGCGCAGTTCCATCTCAAGCCTCAGGGCTGCATGTACCACAGACTACTTTATTAGTGGAGAGGAAGCCTTTGAATAGGAAGTGGTTCGCCAAAAAGTTTCTGGCCAATGAACAGGAACATGTCTCAGGGACCTAAAATGTCTGAAAACATCTCATTCTTTCATTACATTATCTTACGATATAATCATCTAGTGTCTCTATGTGGCAGGTCCTAGCAAGAATAATTAAGAACTCCCCTCAAGTTGCCTGCTGTTTGGTTGAGGAAACAGATAGTTGCAATGGAGTACAACACACGCTCTAACCAAGCCTGCAAGAAGTACTGAGGAGGAGCGCAGGAAGGCTTTGGAATAGAATATCCATTCTATGCCAAACAGTTAACCCCAAGAGTTCTTATCCTGCTACATTATGAAAGAAAGACTGTCACAATCTTGGCAAAAATCCCAAGAATCAGATAGGTTCTCAGAGACTCCCCAGATGCACACCTGGGTAAGAATTTGAGCCCAGTTCATAAACTGAAGCAGTTACTCATTCTATTAACCACAAGCTTCTATAAAGAAGAGGGAGAGAATTTCAGAAAAATGTAAGGGCAAGTGCAAAGGCCAGGAATGGAGTGAGCTTGGGATGTCTCCTTAATTTGGTGCAACCAGAGCAAAAAGTGTAAGTTGAAGATGATCCCAAGGCTAAGAAGTTCAGAGGGTAGGAATGAAGGCTAGATGGATCTAAATTAACAAGGGCAGAGACTCCAGGACTTCTCAGTGCCTCCCCAGACCTCTTCCTGGTTACATCCAAGCTTCTCTCTATGGGTCAGAGTAGAGACTGGATTGCTGTCCTCCAGGAAGGGAAAGGTTTGCAGTCAGCCCAAGGCCAGAGCAATCCAGTGCACCTCAGATTTCAGCATGAGATCTAAGTGCAGCCTCATCATCAAGTACCAGCCATGTGATAAGCACACACTCACATGACAACATGAGGGTCATGCAGCAGCCATGAGTGTAACTGTCATGAAACTAACACTGTTCTCTGATACCAGGCTCCAGATGAATCTCCCACTTAGGGTGGAATCAAAATAGGTACCTATATCTGCTTTCCTGCCACACTCTCCCATTCCATCCCAAGTGGCAGACCACAACCACAGCCCCAGTTGGCATAGCACTTTCAAGAAGCCAAATCCTGGTAAGAGCTGGATAAGGCTCAAGCCTATAATCCCAGCACTTTGGGAGGGCAAGGCAGGAGAATCACTTGATCCCAGGTGTTTGAGACTAGCCTGGGCAACATAGTGAGACCTGTCTCTACAAAAAATAAAAATAATTAGCCAGGCATATAGTCTCAGTTACTAGGGGGACTGAGGTGGGAGGAACCACTTGAGCCCGAGAGGATCACACCACTGCACTCCAGCCTGGGCAACAGAAGGAAACCCTGTCTCAAAACAAACAAACAAACAAACAAAAAAACAAAAAAACAAATAAATCCTGCTAAGGTCAGAGGGAGTTGATGTAGGACTCAGCCCTACAGGGTCATTTTGCATTCCCTTACCAACATTTGATAAGAATGGCAATTCAAGGCAATGCCATAGGAGTAAAGCGGAGAAGAGAGAAAACAAGAAGGAGGGGAACTTGGGAGAAGGAGACAAGATCATCTAGGATAACTCAAGCAACTTCTGCGTCATGCCTGGAAGAATATTTCTCCTAGCAGGTTTATATTCTTATTCTCATCTTAATGAGACAGGGAAGTAAAATAACTTTCTCAGGATCACACAGCAAAGGAAGCAGAATTTGAAACATGGTCTATGACTGAGCTTCCTACGTGGCAGCATCCTGCCTCCCAGAGGAGAGGCCCCTCCCTGGTGGGGAGCTACTGAGGGATTGAAGGAGCTCCCTAGAAACTCCAGGCCCCATCACCTAGATTAGGAGAAAGAAACTGCAAGCTCATTTACAATGAGACATATTTCACTTCAGTGCCCCAAACCGGAAGGGACATAGCACAGTGAGGGCTGGGAAGGGTGACTGCAGCTTTAGCACTGTCACTGATCAGGTATGTGGGCCTCCATTTATGTATCTGTAAAATGAAAAGAGAATACTAATTTCCACTGCAGAGTTGGTCTAAAGATTAAATGAATTTTTATTGCACATTTAAAACCTTGTATTCAATTTTCATTATTTGTTGAGTGCCTACTACATGTCAGGCACTAGAGACACAGGCTACTAAAACAATGGAGATACAGAGGCAAAGACAAGCAAGTTCCCTGCTCTATAGAAGCCTACATCCTAATGGGAAAGTCAGTAAGTAATTAAATGTGAAAACACATCTGAAACCAGTACGCACTATATATAAACAATTAAAACAGGGATTTGTAATAGTGACTGGGTAGCGACCATTCAGAGGAGGTGATCTTGTTTTCTTGTTTCTGATGGTTTTTTTTTTTTTCTTTTGAGTCAGGGTCTTGCTCTGTTACCCAGGCTGGAGTGTAGTGGCATGATCAGGGCTCCCTGCAGCCTTGACCCCCCAGACTCAAGCAATCTTCCTGCCTCAGCCTCCTGAGTAGCTGGGACTACAGGCACATGCCACCATGCCCAGTTAACTTTTTTATATATCTATTGTAGAGATAGGGTTGCCCTATATTGCCCATGCTGGTCTCAGACTCTTGGGCTCAATCGATCCTCCCACCTCAGCCTCCCGAAGATTACAGGTACAAGCCACCAGGCCTGGCTGTGATCTTGTATAAGTTAAAATTATTCAGGCTCAGGATCGCCTGGCAATACAAAACAAGGAAGTCTGCAATGAACTAGGATACCTTAAGAGGAAATGGGGCCTAGGAAAAAGAACCTTGAGCTTGGGGGCAGATCAGCTGAGTTCTAACTCTGGCCTTGGCAATGACTTGCTGTGTGACCAGGGACAAGTCAGACCCTCTCAAGACCTTCCACGATCTTTGGAGCTACAGCATACTGTAATTTGCTTTCCTGAGCCTTGTCCCTCCCAAAACAATACTGTCCCACAGCATTTCCTTCCCCATGTCCGGGATCCCTTCAGCAGAAGATATTAGAATAAGGAATCTATTTTCCTGTGGGGCCAGTGGTTTGGCAAATAGTGCAAAAACATTCCAGGCAGCCAGATTATGGAATGAGGAATACTCAGGGAAGCACGTCCTGGGTAGCAGAACTGCTGGATGCTCCCTCAACTACACCAGGCCTACCACCACTAGAACCCCAAAGGGGCTGCCCTAACATCCAACAGCTTCATAAAGTCATCATTACCCATCTAACACCCTGACAGAGGGAAACCATTAATAAAGGCCCAGCGCAGTGGCTCATGCCTGTAATCCCACTACTTTGGGAGGCCAAGGCGGGTGGATCACCTGAGGTCAGGAGTTCGAGACTAGCTTGGCCAACATGACGAAACCCTGTCTCTACTAAAATACAAAAAAATTAGCCAGGTGTAGTGACGTGCACCTGTAATCCCAGCTACTCGGGAGGCTGAGACAGGAGAAGCACCTGAACCCAGGAGGCAGACAGAGGTTGCAGTGAGCCGAGATTGCACCACTGCACTCCAGCCTGGGCAAGAGCAAGACTCCGTCTCAAAATAATAATAATAATAATAATAATAGCCTTATAATTATGTGTTTAAAAACACAGAGTGAAAGAAAATTCCAAAAGGCATTCCCTATCTCTAAAATAAACCAAATTTGGTGGCATTAAACACCTCCAGTAACAGTGCTCCTGAACCATCTCCAATTATTTGGGAAACACCACTGAGGCCAATTCTGCCCCCTATTCTAGGTTCTGCAGACTGAGGTCTTCTTAAGTTTTTTAAAGCAGGCTTACAGGCTTGAAATGTAATCTCCTTTGTACTTGTATTCTCCCATTTTATCCTCACAATTCAGACATAAGTTGGCAAATGAAAAAAAATATTTTTAAAAATCCTCACAACTAATTTGTAGGTTGAGAATTATTATTGTCATTTGGAAGATAAGGAAAAAGACTCAGAAAGGGAGAGACTTGTCTAAGGTGACCAAGCAAGTCGGTGGCAGTTAGGATAAGAATAATCTCCTGGTGTCCAGACCAGGGCCCTTTCCATGAGACTCCATTCTATCATAATCGCCTGTATATCTTCCAACAGAATCTTATCTCTCATGCAATCAAAGCACTGTAGCAAATTAGCCCAAATATACCCAGTTTTTTACCCACTTAATGAGTGCTTATAAACTCATTAAGTTCAATTCTTACAAGGCCTGATTCATCCATGTATTTTTTTCAAACTTTAAAAACCAAACGCTTAAGGGTAGGTGTGATCTCCAGCAGCATATTTCCCTTCCCACCCTGGTCCTGACTCCTTACCTGTCCAAGCGGTGTGGGAGAGATAAACCTGAGTGATGAGCCGGTGCCGCCCTGGGCCAGGATTCCGGAAGTCTGCAGGCTTGGGGTGAATCATCTGAGCCTGGCCATCTGGATATAAGACCTAAAGGGTGACAGAAATGAGAAAAAGGCAGAAGCGAGAGGAGCATTTAACAAAATGGATGATGACATCTGTTGTGAACCTCAAAACACAAGAAGAAACATGACACCAACTTTACTAAGATTGAGCCTTGGGGGTAGGTCAACACTGTAGACATCTCTATTCCCCTAATCCAGCATGAAGCAGTGTTCAGTAAACATTTCCTGAATTCATGGTGAATAAGTAATATGAACAGAGTGTCTCTATTAAGCGCAAAGACAGGTAAGAATATTAATTCTTATTATGAAAAGTGTTCTCAGGCACCTTCACCAGAAGAGCACTCCCTCCCTGGCTCTGAATCATACCATGGCCCAGCATCCATCACCAACCACCAGTATTTGGAGTTATTTTGTAATTGCATTCTTTCCACTACATTGCAAGCAGCTAGGAAGTCATTTATCTCTCTCTCTACGGAGAGACGGCTCAATGAAGAGTCCACTCAAATCACTGGCCAGTTCTTTAAGGCTCATAAACTGCAACAGAGTTCTTTCCTCAGCATCCTGGGGGACCTCCCAGCTCCCTGTGTAGACAGCCTACTATACTGCAGCGCACAAAGGAACTAGAGGAACAAATGAAGCTTATCCTAGGACTAGGACCTGCTCTATGTAAATATACTTATGAAGGCAGAGTAGGGAACCACACAGGTCTTCCAATGTTGAAACTGTGGTCAATGTTGAAACTGCGGAAGGCATGTCTCACCCACTTGCCCTATAATCCTTCATCTCTCCTCAGGTCATGGGGCCTCCCCCTGATTCTACACTTCTTTCTTTCTTTTTTTTTCTTTAAAACAGGGTCTTACTCTGCCACCCAGGCTGGAGTGCAGTGGCACGATCATAACTCACTGAAGCCTCAAACTCCTGGGCGCAAGTGATCTTCCTGCCTCAGCCTCCTGAGGAGTGGGGATTACAGGCACGTGCCACCACGCCAGGTAATTTTCTTTTTAAATTTTTTTGTAGAGACAAGATCTTGCTATGTTGCCCAGGCTAGTCTCCAACTCTTGACCTCAAGTGATCCTCCTGCCTCAGACTCCCATAGTGTTGGAATTACTGGCATGAGCAATTGTGCCCAGCCTACCCTTATTTCTTTTTCTTTTTCTTTTTTCTTTTCTTGAGATAGTCTCACTCTGTCACACAAGCTGAACTGCAGTGGCATGATCTCGGCTCACTGCAACCTCCGCCTCCCGGGTTAAAGTGATTCTCCTGCCTCAGCCTCCCAAGTAGCTGGGATTACAGGCGCCCACCGTCATGCCCGGCTAATTTTGTATCTTTAGTAGAGATGGGGTTTCACCATGTTGGCCAGGTTGGTCTCGAACTCCTGACCTCAGGTGATCTTCCTACTTCAGCCTCCCAAAGTGTTGGGATTACAGGCGTGAGCCACCACACCTGGCCTACCCTTATTTCTTAAAGCTGCTACTCCCCACTCTAGTTCTAGGCTCCAAGCTCCCAAACCTACTATAGGAAAAAAATGCAGGTGTCTCAGTTTCCTGATCCTTATTATCTTTAAAGACAAGTGCTTGGGCTTCATTTTTTTTTAGAAAATGAAGGGGAGGGCCGGGCACAGTGGCTCACACCTGTAATCCCAGCACTTTGGGAGGCTGAGCCAGGTGGATTACTTGAGGTCAGGAGTTCAAGACCAGTCTGGTCAACATGATGAAACCCCTTCTCTACTAAAAATACAAAAATTAGCTGGGTATGGTGGCGTGTGCCTGTAGTCCCAGCTACTTGGGAGGCTGAAGCAGGAGAATCACTTGAACCTGGGAGGCAGAGGTTGCAGTGAGCTGAGATCGCTGCCACTGCACTCCAGCCTGGGTGACAGAGTGAGATTCTGTCTCAAAAAAAAGAAAGAAAGAAAGAAAAAGAAGGGCAGAGGGGGGCTGAAACAGCAATGATCATGGGAAAAACAAATGAACAGGGGCCATAATTTCTGTGTTCAGCAGGTGCAGTGGCTCATGCCTATAATCCCAGCATTTTGCGGGGCTGAGGCGGGAGGATTGCTTGAAGACAGGAGTTTAAGACGAGACTGGGCAAAAAAGTAAGACCCCCCAATCTCCACACAAAAAAAATTAAAATTAGCCAGGTGTAGTGGTGTGTATCTCTAGTTCCAGCTACTCAGGAGGCTGAGGCAGGAGGATCCCTTGGACACAGAAGTTTGAGGTCACAGTGAGCTGACCATGCCACTGCACTCCAGCCCAGGCAACAGACAGAGACCTTGTCTCAAAAAAAAGAAAAAAAAAATTCCCAGCATTCTCAGCAAAACTGTCCTTGGTGAAAGGCCTTCACTCCTCTGTGAAATGGTTGCTGGAAGCCTTCTTTCATTTGTCTACTCCAAAAGTGGAGCTTAGAAACCTGTGGCCCAAGTAGGTCAGAGGAAGGAAATGGCCAGTATGAATGATCATCAGGTAGAATACAGTAACCTAGATTAGGCTTACAAGAGTTAATAATCGCGAAGGCCCGCGGCGGGTGTTGATGCCATGTGATTTCTGCCCAGTGCTCTGAATGTCAAAGTGAAGAAATTCAATGAAGCACGGGTAAACGGCGGGAGTAACTATGACTCTCTTAAGGTAGCCAAATGCCTTGTCATCTAATTAGTGACGCACATGAATGGATGAACGAGATTCCCACTGTCCCTACCTACTATCCAGCGAAACCACAGCCAAGGGAATGGGCTTGGCGGAATCAGCAGGGAAAGAAGACCCTGTTGAGCTTGACTCTAGTCTGGCAGGGTGAAGAGACACGAGAGGTGTAGAATAGGTGGGAGGCGCCCGGCGAGGGGGCGGGGCAGGGTCCGCAGGCCTTGCTAAGAAACTCACTCAAAACCGCTCAACTACATGGAAACTGAACAACCTGCTCCTGAATGACTACTGGGTACATAACGAAATGAAGGCAGACATAAAGATATTCTTTGAAACCAACGAGAACAAAGACACAACATACCAGAATCTCTGGGACACATTCAAAGCAGTGTGTAGAGGGAAATTTATAGCACTAAATGCCCACAAGAGAAAGCAGGAAAGATCCAAAATTGACACCCTAACATCACAATTAAAAGAACTAGAAAAGCAAGAGCAAACACATTCAAAAGCTAGCAGAAGGCAAGAAATAACTAAAATCAGAGCAGAACTGAAGGAAATAGAGACACAAAAAACCCTTCAAAAAATTAATGAATCCACCACCAAAAATCCTCAATAAAATACTGGCAAACCAAATCCAGCAGCACATCAGAAAGCTTATCCACCATGATCAAGTGGGCTTCATCCCTGGGATGCAAGGCTGGTTCAACATACGAAAATCAATAAATGTAATCCATCATATAAACAGAACCAAAGACAAAAACCACATGATTATCTCAATAGAGGCAGAAAAGGCCTTTGACAAAATTCAACAACCTTCATGCTAAAAACTCTCAATAAATTAGGTATTGATGAGACGTATCTCAAAATAATAAGAGCTATCTATGACAAACCCACAGCCAATATCATACTGAATGGGCAAAAACTGGAAGCATTCCCTTTGAAAACTGGCACAAGACAGGGATGCCCTCTCTCAGCACTCCTATTCAACATAGTGTTGGAAGTGCTGGCCAGGGCAATTAGGTAGGAGAAGGAAATAAAGGGTATTCAATTAGGAAAAGAGGAAGTCAAATTGTCCCTGTTTGCAGATGACATGATTGTATATCTAGAAAACCCCATCGTCTCAGCCCAAAATCTCCTTAAGCTGATAAGCAACTTCAGCAAAGTCTCAGGATACAAAATCAATGTGCAAAAATCACAAGCATTCTTATACGCCAATAACAGACAAACAGAGAGCCAAATCATGAGTGAACTCCCCATTCACAATTGGTTCAAAAAGAATAAAATACCTAGGAATCCAACTTACAAGAGATGTGAAGGACCTCTTCAAGGAGAACTACAAACCACTGCTCAATGAAATAAAAGAGGATACAAACAAATGGAAAAACATTCCATGCTCATGGGTAGGAAGAATCAATATTGTGAAAATGGCCATACTGCCCAAGGTAATTTATACATTCAATGCCATCCCCATCAAGCTACCAATGACTTTCTTCACAGAATTGGAAAAAACTACTTTAAAGTTCATATGGAACCAAAAAAGAGCCCACATCGCCAAGTCAATCCTAAGCCAAAAGAACAAAGCTGGAGGCATCATGCTACCTGACTTCAAACTATACTACAAGCCTACAGTAACCAGAACAGCATGGTACTGTTACCAAAACAGAGATATAGATCAATGGAACAGAACAGAGCCCTCAGAAATAATGCCACATATCTACAACCATCTGATCTTTGACAAACCTGACAAAAACAAGCAATGGGGAAAGGATTCCCTATTTAATAAATGGTGCTGGGAAAACTGGCTAGTCATATGTAGAAAGCTGAAACTGGATCCCTTCCTTATGCCTTATACAAAAATTAATTCAAGATGGATTAAAGACTTACATGTTACACCTAAAACCATAAAAACCCTAGAAGAAAACCTAGACAATACCATTCAGGACATAGGCATGGGCAAGGACTTCATGTCTAAAACAGCAAAAGCAATGGCAACAAAGGCCAAAATTGAGAAATGGGATCTAATTAAACTAAAGAGCTTCTGCACAGCAAAAGAAACTACCATCAGAGTGAACAGGCAACATACAAAATGGGAGAAAATTTTCGTAACCTACTCATCTGACAAAGGGCTAATATCCAGAATCTACAATGAACTCAAACAAATTTACAAGAAAAAAACAAACAACCCCATCAAAAAGTGGGCAAAGGATATGAACAGACACTTCTCAAAAGAAGACATTTATGCAGCCAAAAAACATATGAAAAAATGCTCATCATCACTGGCCATCAGAGAAATGCAAATCAAAACCACAGTGAGATACCATCTCACACCAGTTAGAATGGCTATCATTAAAAAGTCAGGAATCAACACGTGCTGGAGAGGATGTGGAGAAATAGGAACACTTTTACACTGTTGGTGGGACTGTAAACTAGTTCAACCATTGTGGATGTCAGTGTGGCAATTCCTCAGGGATCTAGAACTAGAAATACCATTTGACCCAGTCATCGCATTACTGGGTATATACCCAAAGGATTATAAATCATGCTGCTATAAAGACACATGCACACATATGTTTATTGCGGCACCACTCACAATAGCAAAGACTTGGAACCAACCCAAATGTCCAACAACGATAGACTGGATTAAGAAAATGTGGCACATATACATCATGGAATACTATGCAGCCATAAAAAATGATGAAACTAGAAACCATCATTCTCAGCAAACTATCACAAGGACAAAAAACCAAACACCGCATGTTCTCACTCATAGGTGGGAACTGAACAATGAGAACACATGGACACAGGAAGGGGAACATCACACCCCGGGGACTGTTGTGGGGTAGGGGGAGGGGGGAGGGATAGCATTTGGAGATATACCTAATGCTAGATGACGAGTTAATGGGTGCAGCACACCAGCATGGCACATGTATACAGATGTAACTAACCTGCACATTGTGCACATGTACCCTAAAACTTAAAGTATAATAATAATAAAATAAAATAAAATGTTAATGAATGGAGTTCTGCAGGGTTTGCTTTAAAGAACAGATCTACAGTATTTTAATGGGGAATGTAATCTCAGTGTCATCTCTGAGGCATGTTTACTGCTATATCTCTATTGAGCACCTGAAGTAGTGCCTGGAACAGAGGAATGACTCCGGGTGTGGTGACAGGACTGGATGGCACTTTCAAACCACTGGACCTGTCCCACGATGGGGCAGTGAGTTTCCTGTCCCTCTACCTATAAGGTATCTAAAAGGTTTAGCCTTGCGTGTGGTAGAGGTGCTATGAAGGGGGTTTTTTAGGAGACAGTCTAGGAGATGACCCTTAAGTAACCTGCCTACAATCTCCTTTACGCTCAGGTGATCAGTGAAGTTTTTTTCAGGGACAATGTAAAACAGTAGTTCTGCTAGTATCACTGACTACGTATTAGAATCACCTATGAACTCTTAAACACTAGTGTCCATAGGCCCTATTCTCAGGATTTTGATTTAATTAATGTAGGCTGACACCTATTCATCTGTTCTTCTTAATGCTTTCTGAGTAATCCTAAAGTGCAGTGAAGGTGGACAACCACTAATGTGGAAAAAAACAAACAAACAAACAAAACACTCCAATATGCAATACAACTTCACAGCTAGCTCAGAACTAGTTCTCTGCAGGTCTCATAATTTTTAATAATTCCTGCTTGGAAGCCAGAAGGCCTGTTCCTCTATTGTCACCATAGCCAAAAAGCATAATCTTCAAGGCCTGATTCATCCTTACCTCCTCCAGGAAGTCTTCTCTGCCTGTTCCAGCCTATTTTTCTGTCCCCTTATTGTACTTCCTGCCAGTGCTTGCATCCCTGCTTTGACTCATATCCCTTTGGCCCTTCTCTCATATCCCTTGTGCCCTTCTCCTTTCCTTTCCTGAGCCTCCACCACACTCCAAATTGAATACTCTAAAAGGTTTAGCCCTGCATGTGGTAGAGGTGCTTTGAAAGGGTTTTTTAGGAGACAGTCTAGGAGATGACCCATCCTGTGCATGTCTACTCACCAAACCCTGTTTTATAATTGCCTGCCCATTTGTATGTCTCTCAATGAAACTGTGCACACCCCGAGAGGAAGAACTGTGACATATTTACCTTGGCAACCACAGCACTTAGTGCATGCAATAGAGTAAACACGATTGCACAGATGGATGGAAGGAAGGATGAATGAGTGGACAGATGGATGAATGAAGTAGTAGTACTCTTTGTGGGGCTTAATTGCACTGTCTGAATTGATTAGTGTCTCTACTACATTTCTCATGTGTCTCTATTACATCTATGTAACTTGGGAAAGAATATTTCCTAGTAATTGCTTTTTCCCAACCATAAATTTTATCTGCCAGCCGACTGACTCATAGCCTGAAAGGAACTTGTTTATTACAGTTTTCTGTAACAAAAGACCAAATCTTAACGTCACATTACAAGATTAGAAAAGGTCTTATCATTTAGTGAACCCTTACTGGGTCCTGGGGGCTTTAAATACATTATCTCTTTATGTCAACTCCTCCTATTTGTCAGTTGTAGAATCTGAGACTCAGAGTTTAAAGTAACTTGCTCCAAACCACACTCAGCAGTAGTTGAGATTCAAGCCTAGGTTCTTTCCCACAGAGGCTCATTTCTTCTCCTGTCCCAGTTTCTGTCCCTCAAGTAGAGACTACAGGGGTGCTAACATTAAATACTTCAACACAATGTCAGTCTAGAAGCTCCATGAGGACCCAAACCCGACAGACCTGGACCTTAACAGTGTTCTGAGGATCCTGCACATGCTCCAGGGTTGCATCAACATCCAGGGCAACCACCAACCCAGAGGTAAACCGCAAAGGGTTGTCTGACTCGCCCGCTGGCTCGATGATGGTGGCTGAGGCTTTGTGGATCTGTAAGCAAGAGGAAAATCCTATGATTTTAAAGCCAGGTCATTCCTGGATGAGAAAACGCATCTTTTTTCTGTCTCCTTATCTAATGAGTGGGCATGTGGGAGCCACTCAGAGGAACAGCCTAGCCCAGCTGCTCCACTGGTCAAAGAAGATCACCAAGGTAAAGATTTTTGACCGTCTGGACAGATTTGGCCTACAGGGGCCAAATAGACCCTGACCTGCTCTGGAAGCGGGAGATGCAGAAAGGCACTCTGTCGCAGCATGGTCTGTAGAATTTTGACCACTTCTGCAGGTTTGGATGTCATGAGTCGGGGCATAAGGTCAAGGAGTTTGTCCACAAAGCTGTCCTGCAAGTGGGGCAAATCAGCGATGAAATACCTGGAGGAACAAACAGAAGCAACTGACTCATTCAACTGTGCACTCATTCACCACAGGCTGGGCCCCAGACACCTATCAAACCCTGAAGTAGGAAGAATGATGAAGTGAGAGGAGCTTGCAGTTTACGACCAAGATAGACTGGTACCTATACAATCATGCCTCAGTCACATGATCATCAGAAAGGCCTCTGTTTATTGATAACCATTATGTGCCAGGCATACTCTTAAGTGTTTTACATGATCTTATTTAACTTCCAGCAATCCTATGCATCATTAGAATTTTTATTTTCGTATTATAGATTCATTAATTATTTTAACAAATACATTTTTAAGACCTACGAAGCGCCAAGCACTATTTTAGGTTCTGGAAACACAGTGAACGGAAGAGAAAAAAACGATTGCTTCAATGGAGCTTACATTCAAGTGGCAGAAACACTGAGACTCAGAGGGGATGATGCCTCACTGAGGCTCAGAAAAGTTAAGTACGTTACTCCTGGCTCAGACTGATCCAATTTTGTGCCTTGTGCCAGTGGATAGTCAAAAAATATCTCACTGAGGAGGTGATATCTGTGCAGGAACTCAAAGGATGAATTAAGAACATCAGATGAAGAACTTTGGGGATTCAGAGCTCTCATCTTCCCAAAAATCTTTTCAACCCAACTGTGCAAAAACAGACTCTCTACTTTAAAGAAACTAAAGCAAAAGTAAGGCATGAACTTATTTCAGATTCAAAACTAGAATTTTTTTTTAATTTTCTTTTTGAGAAGGAGTCTCGCACTATTGCCCGGGCTGGTGTGCAATGGCGTGATCTCGGCTCACTGGAACCTCCGCCTCCCGGGTTCAAGCAATTCTCCTGCCTCAGCCTCCCGAGTAGCTGGGACTACAGCTGCCCACCACCACGCCCTACTAATTTTTTGTATTTTTTAGTAGAGACAGGGTGTCACTATATTGGCCAGGCTGGTCTCGAACTCCTGACCTCGTGATCCACCCGCCTCAGCCTCCCAAAGTGCTGGGATTACAGGCGTGAGCCACCGTGCCCAGCCTCAAAACTAGGATCTTAAAAAGCCAAGCTAGATGGTAAGTTTGCTAGAGAGTATTACCTGCTGGTGAAGGTAGTGTTGCAACTCAGCCCTGTAAGAAGCTATCATCACCCCAGTGACAAGTACAGAGTCATAAAAACCTCAGGTTTGGTGAACTTCATGAGGGCAGGGACAATGAGCGGAAGAAATGAAACAGACTTCATCAGTGCTTTAAGATCCTATGTCTTCTCCCAGTATTATTCTGCCAGCATACCAGAAGTCTGGTCACTCCCTCGACTCCTATTTCTTCATCAAGCTTTCCATTCAACTACTGCATGTGCTTTAACGGATTCATTCCATATAAAACTCTGAAAAAATACATGTATTCTACAAAATAAAATTTACCTACAGAATTACAAAACAATTGTAGATTATAGAGAAATATGCAAGTGTAAGAACAGTGTGGGCCTGGTGCAGTAGTTCACACCTGTAATCCCAATACTTTGGGAGGCAGAGGCAGGAGGATCTCTTGAAGCCAGAAGTTTGAGACCAGCCTGAGCAACACAGCAAGACCCCATCTCTAAAAAAAATATATTAAAAATTATCCAGGCATGGTGGCACATGCCTGTAGTCCTAGCTACTCAGGAGTCTGAAGTGGGATGATAGCTTTAGCCCACGAGTTCAAGGGTGCAGTGAGCTGTGCCAGTCTGGGTGACAGAGTGAGACCCTGTCTCAAAAAATAATAATGAGGTCAGACACGGCGGTGGCTCACGCCTGTAATCCCAGCACTTTGGGAGGCCAAGGCAGGCAGATCACTTGAGGTCAGGAGTTAGAGACCAGCCTGGCCAACATGATGAAACCCCGTCTCTACTAAAAATACAAAAATTAGCCAGGTGTGGTGGCAGGCACCTGTAGTGCCAACTACTTGGGAGGCTGAGGCAGAAGAATCACTTGAACCCAGGAGGCGGAGGCTGCAGTGAGCCAAGACTGCACCACTGTACTCCAGCCTGGGTGACAGAGCAAGACTCTGTCTTAAATAAATAAATAAATAAATAAATAAATAAATAAGAATGGTGTGAACGAACAGTGTTGAAAAAAACAGATGACTAATGATTTTTTTCAACAAACGTATTTACACGTTTTCTTCATATTACTTGTCTTTTTATGGCCTAGCTGAGTGCTAAATGCAAGTGATTCCTGGTAGGTTTAGTTTTGAAGCTCCAACTTCAAAGAAGTTTCTATAACATTAAGGAAAAAAACCAAATTAGGTTCTTTTTTTCCTAATTTAAGGTTAACGACATGGCCACAGATGATAGCTTGGCTGCACAAGCTAAACCAAGGAATGTGATTTGTGATTGTTCCTATTGCCTGCAAGTGCTATACTCCATGTAACCAAGATTTAATAAGCCAGAAGAGTTATAAAATACTTACCTCTGAAAAAAGTCTACTTCCTGTAAAAATTTTTCACACATCCCAAATAAGGGGTCAAGTCTGTAGAAAAGAAATGTAAAATAATTTGCTTGTGAAATCTGCAAACTGAGGAGGACCAAAAGTCCCAGAAACCTGAGCCTAAATTAAAGGAAAATTAGCATATTATACTATAAAAATGATCTCTAAAAGTAACAGAAGACTCCTAATGGACCTGGGGGAAACACCTGTCGGGATCCCAAGACCTGATTAAACCACTGCAGTGCCCATTAAGCTCAAAGAATATTAAAAATCAAAGAGTATCACAGGCTACACTTGGCACTAGACTCACTACGAATACAGGAGAGAAGCATAGCATGTGGGCAGTACAGTGTCAAGTTCCCCTTCTGCAGGAGTCCTTGCTTCATTAGCATCTCAGCTAGTATGGTCTCTATACCTACCTGATTTAGATCTCATCTCCTTGCACATGAGCTGTCAGCATTGGGATGAAAGCTCCCAGATAGCTGTGTGGACTGCTGCAAGATCTATCCAGTTTCAAGAATCACTGCACTCAATGAAGCCTACAGCCATTGTATCGGCATCTGGAAACTAGTTCATTTATATTTCCTTCTGGTCTACATGCAATTTACTCAGAGATCATTTTTTCCATAGCGGTATAGCCTACTAATGTAGTTGATACTGTAAGGGCTCCAAGAAACATACCTAAAAAGTTAACTAAATTCCTGTGCAAGAGGGGAAAAGGTTTTGTTACTATTTTGGCGACAGACATAGATGGTGTTCCTTCCTCTCTATCTTGAATTACTTGGCCTCACAGTACTTGAGAACATTTCATTTCACTAAAAAGTTATTGCATACCTAAATAATCCAGGCAACATGCTAGGTCAGTATGACTTACTAAGTTTTGACCTTTGCATATTTTCTTCCTATTTCTTGTATGTAATTTCTGCATGAAATTTCCCACTTGTTTTCTTTAATATATTATTCATTGGAGGAATAAAGTTCCCACCAAGATAAAACAAATACTCTTTCCTTATGTAAAAATATTTAAGAGAATGATGTCAAGGTTTAGTCTTTTTATTAAAATATAGTCTCCATGAGTAGACTTTGTATTCTTCATCATATATTTCCTAGCACAGGCAGCAGTCAATAAGTATTTGCTGAATGAACAAAAAATGGGGCCGGGGGTAGATGGCAAATGGAAACCTACTCTGGAAGCAACATTCATTCTAATTCTTTTCCTGAAAAAAAAAAAAAAAAAAAAAAAAAAAAAAGTAGCACTTGAAAGTTTTTAAACTAATCTTCTACCAGAAATGGAAGTGAAATTTCATAGTGAGGTTACCCACCAAACACCACAAGGAGTGAGAGGGCTAGAAGGGAGAATTCCAGCCAAGCAAGGGCACAAAGGAAAGCAATTTGGCCAAGCAGTGACATTTCCTCATTTGTTTGCCTGATTATATAGAGAATCATCTTGGAGAGACTCCAGGAAGTAAAATACAAAAAGATTTGGGAACTCTCCCCAAACGTCAAAAAAGAGCAGGCATCCTCATCAACAGGCCATATACATGAAGTAGGCCTCTAAGAACTCCTACTTTTCCTTTGGTGTGAGGGAAGGAAAGCTATGAAAGTGAGGCTCACTCGGGGGCTAACAATCATTAAAGAATACAAATTACCAATTTAAACTAGTCTAGACTTTCATTGTAAGTAGGCAAAGACAATGGAAAATGACTAGGTGTTATAAACGACAATCAGGAGCTGTAAAGGAGACCAAGCAGTCCTCAAAAAGAGTTAAGTCAAGGCAAGAAAGCACAGAAAACTTTTTTAAAAATTCTAATCAACAACCTCGGTGAGAGTTAACAGGGGATTTAAAAGGATATTACATTGACAAAGCAAGAGAAACTGCTACAGAAACAGCAGATGACAAGAAGAGAAACTATACAGAAAAAAAAGGAAAAAAATAGTAGAGAAGCACACTTGGAAATAAAACACATAATAATGAAATCAAACTCAACGGTTCAGAACAGTGGAATCAACAACAATGTAAACTGAAATGATAAACTAAAAAAAGCATATTAAAGAATTTACTGGCCAGGCACAGTGGCTCACGCCTGTAATTCCAACACTTTGGGAGGCTGAGGCAGGCGGATCACCGGAGGTCAGAAGTTCAAGACCAGCCTGACCAAACATGGAGAAACCCTGTCTCTACTAAAAATACAAAATTAGCCGGGTACAGTGGCGCATGCCTGTAATCCCAGCTACTTGGGAGGTTGAGGCAGGAGAATCTCTTGAACCCGGGAGGTGGAGGTTGTGGGGAGCTGAGTTTGTGCCATTACACTCCAGCCTGGGCATCAAGAGCAAAACTCCGTCTCAAAAAAAAAAAAAAAAAGAATTTACTCAGAATACAGAATAGAAAAACAAAGAAATTGAAATTACAAAAGAAAAGGTATAGGAAAAATAGATCCAGAAAATCCAACATTTAGTATAACAGACTAGAGTGTATAGAAGAAGTAAAGAAATAATGGAGGAAAAAAAAAAATCCCTGAGCCAAAAACAGCTGATACTTCAAACTCCCACCGAAGATCAGCAAGAATATTGAAAGAAAACACATACCTAGACATATCCTGGTGAAATTAAAAACAGAAAGAAAATTTTAAAGGTTTGAGCATGAAAAATAAGCTGTAGGGAAGAGAACCAGACTGACATAAAACATTCAACTGTAACATTAAATACTAAAAGGGAACATAGCAGAGGCAGAGAGTCTCTATGAACCTATTCTGGTGTGGCGGGGGTTGCCCAATAAAATAAATAAATAAAGGCACCATAGCAATATGGAAATAATTGGAAAAGAATTCCATTTATGTATGAGAGCAAAGGAATTTAAAAGGCGACAGAGAACAGTGGTGGCAAAGTTGGAGCTAAACTTATAAAGATTATAAGTGGTGGCTCACGTCTGTAATCCTAGCACTTTGGGAGGCCGAGGTGGAAGGACACTTTGAGTTCAGGAGTTCAAGACTGGCCTGGACAACGCAGTGAAACCATGTTTCTATTATTTTTAAAAATAAAAAATATTTTATAAAAAAATTAAAAATAAAAATAAAGAAGGATATACAAGGATTATGTACTTATAACTTTAAAAGATTATATTTATAAACATAAAAATTAATAGAAGCTACATTATAAAAACATAATCAGCTGAAACAAACCTCCAAGTTATTATTATTATTATTTTTTTTTTGAGACAGAGTCTCACTCTGTCACCCAGGCTGGAGTGCAGTGGTGGGATCTCAGCTCACTGCAAGCTCCACCTCCTGGGTTCATGCCATTCTCCTGCCTCAGCCTCCCGAGTAGCTGGGATTACAGGCACCTGCCACCACGCCCGGCTAATTTTTTTTTTTTTATTTTTAGTAGAGACGGGGTTTCACCATGTTAGCCAGGATGGTCTCAATCTCCTGACCTCGTGATCCACCCGATTCGGCCTCCCAAAGTGCTGGGGTTACAGGCGTTAGCCACCGCACCCAGCCATATTATTGTTATTATTTTTAAGACATAGGGTCTTGTTCTGTTGCCCAAGTTGGAGTGCAATAGCATGATCATAGCTCATTGCAGCCTTGAACTCCTGGGCTCAAGGGATCCTCCCACCTCAGCCTCCCAAGTAACTAGGACCACAGGTGCACACCACCCATGTCCAGCTAATTTTTGATTTTTATTTTTTAGAGACAGGGTCTCATTATGTTGCTTAGGCTGGGGTCAAACTCCTGGCTGGACTCAAGCGATCCTCCTGCTTTGGCCTCCCAAAGTCTGGGATTACAGGCATGAGCCACTGCATCTACCCCAAATTGTTATTATTATTTTTTGCTCAGTAAGAGGCCTTAACTGGCCTAAATTATTATTATTATTTGAGACAGAGTTTCACTCTGTCACCCAGGCTGGAGTGCAGTGGTGCGATCTCGGCTCACTGCAACCTCTGCCTCCTGGGTTCAAGCAATTTTCTGCCTCAGCCTCCCGAGTAGCTGGGATTACAGATGCCCACAACCATGCCTGGCTAATTTTTTGTATTTTTAGTAGAGATGGGGTTTCACCATCTTGGCCAGGCTGGTCTTGAACTCCTGACCTCGTGATCCACCTGTCTTGGACTCCCAAAGTGATGGGATTACAGGCGTGAGCCACTGCGCCCGGCCAACTGGCCCAAATTACTTAAGCAGTAAGAGACAAACAAAAGCATACTAAAATCTTCATCTTCATCTTAGATCATGTTTATCTATTAGATCACCTTGATCTTAGAGAGGTGACCATAAATTCTGTTTAACTTTTTATGCTGATAAATATAAGTTCAATATGTTCATTAAAAATATAAGTAATAACAGTATTACTAAAACTAATATTAGTTAACATGTATCAAGTATTTATAATGGATGTGACAGACACTATTTTAAAGGCTTTGCATACAATAATCCAGCCAGGCACGGTAGCTCACGCCTGGAATCCCAGCACTTTGGGAGGCCAAGGCAGGTGGATCACTTGAGGCCAGGAGTTTGAGACCAGCATGGCCAACATGGTAAAACCCCATCTCTCCTAAAAATAAAAAAATTAGCTGAGTGTGGTGACATGTGCCTGTAGTCCCAGCTACTTGGGAGGCTGAGGCATGAGAGTTGCTTGGACCCGGGAACCAGAGGTTGCAGTGAGTTGAGATCGTGCCACTGCACTCCAGCCTGGGTGATAGAGCAAGACTCTGTCTCATAAATAAATAAATAAAATAAATAAATGGTTTTGCATATAATAATTCAATAACCCTTACAATAACCCTGTGAGGAAGAGATAGGTACTACTATTATCTCAGTTTAACTTATGGGAACAAACTGAGGCCAAGAATTGTTAAGTAACTTGTCCAAGGGTTACTCAGTTTGCAAATGGTAAAGTCAAGATGTGAACCCAAGCAATGTGGCACCACAGCCCTCTTAACCAGTATGTTCTACTGCCTCTCACTTGAAGAGTTTAGAATTAGGGTGCATAACTTTCAAACCCCTGGAGGAAAAAAGAAAACAATCTAGCAAAACCTAAGAAAGAAAAAAAAGAAAAAAGCAGGAATGCATACAAATGAAAAATATAGGCTGGGCTCGGTGGCTCACGCCTGTAATCCTAGCACTCTGGGAGGCCGAGTCGGGTGGATCACCTGAGTTCAGGAGTTCGAGACCAGCCTGGCTAACATGGTGAAACCCGTCTCTACTGAAAATACAAAATTAGCCGGGCATGGTGTTGCATGCCTGTAATCCCAGCTACTTGGGAGGCTGAGGCAGGAGAATCGCTTGAACCCAGGAGGCAGAGGTTGCAGTGAGCTGAGATCGGACCACTGCACTCCAGCCTGGGCAACAAGAGCGAGACTTTGTCTAAAAGAAAAAAAAAAGAAAAATATAAAATATTATAGCATGAGTAAAGACCTAAAAACATTAGTATCTTTATATAATGACATGACAAGATAAGCATATTATAATGCTCGGTGAAAGGAATAGGAGGCAGAACAGCAAAGTATGGTATGATCCCCTTTATGTTATTGTACACATCTTTATAATCTATGTTTATATGGTTTGGGAAAATCTGGAAGTATACACATGAAATGCTGGCAGCTGTTTTCAAAGTGGTAGATTACCAGAGAACCTTCACTTACCCTGTAATATTTTAATTTTTCTAACAATTATATATAAACTAAAAAAAATCTTTTTTAAAAAACAGTATAGATGCCATCACAAGCACCTTTGTTTTTTCAGCTATAACTGGCACATAGTAGGGATTAAACATTTGTTAAATGAATATATGAATATCTTTTTTTTTTTTATATAAAGATGGAGTCTTGCTCTGTTGCCCAGGCTGGAGTGCAGTGGTGTGATTTCGGCCCACTGCAACCTCCACCTCCCAGGTTCTAAAGATTCTCCTGCCTCAGCCTCCCGAGTAGCTGGGACTACTGGTGCATGCCACCATGCCCGGCTAATTTTATGTATTTTTAGTAGAGACAGGGTTTCACCATGTTAGCCAGGATGCTCTTGATCTCCTGACCTCGTGATCTGCCCACCTTGGCCTCCCAAAGTGCTGGGATTACAGGTGTGAGCCACCACACCCGGCCACATATGAATATCTTTAAGATTAAATGATTCTTTGACTTTATGAGGTCACTATCAAGATACGTGAAGAAATAAAATATTTTATTTTTCAGGATGTTATTTCTGACCTAGTATGTTTCTGTGTTTAAGCATTCATATTTATATCTCTATGGCACTTTTTTTTTTTTGACACAGGAGCTGGACTGAGCATCAAACATGTCTGTGAGCTGGCAATGAGTCACCTAAGTACTTTTTTGTATCAAATCTATGATGCCATCATTCTTAAGATGCACCTTTATTTTATGAAATAGTAAGAAACAAAAAACACTATGGGACACCATCAAAATATCTGATTTCAGAGAAGTTACAATAATAAAAAATGTGTATCTTGGAATCAATGAAATGTGGCAATTCCAGTTATCTGAAAGTCTTACAGATATAATTACACTGAGCTCTTATTACGTATCAAGTACCATGCTAAGTGTTTTTACATGTATTATCTCATTTATTCTTCATAGAAATGCCATGAGGTAGATGCTGTCTTCATTTTCATTTTGTACAGGGAAACAAGGTACAGAAAGGTTCATAACCAAACAACTAGTAAGTAGAAAAGACAAGATTTGAACAAAGTAGTCTGACTTCCCAGTACATCCTCTTAATTTATCCTTATTGCCTGAGAAAAAGCTTATTAGTCCCTTCAGAACAGAAAAAGTGGTCCCTGGCACTAAATTCTTAAGGAAATCTATCAAGTAGGAGGATACAGAGTGTCCTTATTGCCAGATAAAGTCCAGTGTTGTGCTATATGTAATGGAGAGTCACCAGAGGGTTTTTAGCAAGGGAGAGACACAATTGGATTTCCAAGGGTCTAATCTGATCCAACAACAGAATTTGTAATATCTGAAAAAAATGAATAGATCACACATTCCTTAGCTAGTCTTTCCTAAATTTCATTTCACTTATCATTAACTTTCGTGTGATGTCTGAATGCATTTGAAGTATCTTTGAAAGGAACATGCCACATATTTTGGCCAACCCCACATCTTACCCTCGTGTAGTTCGTGCTGTTACTATAAGTTGCAAAGCTTTGGCCTGCAGCCTCATGTGATGTATAATCACCACCTGCTTATTCTCCACACCACTGTACATGAATTCCATTTTGTAGGTCTCTTCCATAATCTATAAAGGAAAGATAATTAACAATCAATAAAAATATCATAGTCTTACTTGAGAGCAGCATAGAATTCTACTGTTAAATGACCTTAGGTGAAACTCTTAACTGAGATTTTACATCCTTATGCTTTTAAGTGTTGAAAGAAATTAGTATAGTATGCCTTGTAAAAAGAGAATAAATTATTTTGCCTACTTAAAAAGAAGACTGACCTGGTAATAAAATCATCTTAGTTGATGATGTGAAGATAAGAAAGTTTAATCACTAAGCAAACTGCAAAGCACTGAAAGCACTGCTTCTTACCCTAAATGAAGCCCACTCTGCTGTGGGAACAAATTAATATATATTATGTATGGAAACCCAATCCCCACAAAGTCCTCAAGAATTAAGCATCAGGAACTATTAACCATATGTTAGTTATCCTGACAGACTGTTCCATGGGCCTGGTCTGAGGGAGTTTGGGACAGAAATAAGTGCAAGAAAACATTTGTCTATGACCCCAGATCAAGTCCCCGATCTTGCTCGGTTCTATCCAAATAAGCGATTTTCATCAAAATGATGCTTCTCTTTTCCTTCTGTGCTTGCCTCCCAGTGAACACTCTAGGGTCACGGAAATGACTCCAGACTCTCTTACAATTGGCAATAAGACAAGTTAAATTACATGAGTGTCTCAATCCCTTTCTGTAAACAGGGAAGAAACAGTACCAATATCATGAAGTTTCAAGTATCAAATGGAGCATGCAATGTGTTTATCACAGTATCTGGTATACAGCAATGGTAATTCCTTTCCTCTTTTCCTTCCAAATTATTGCTCCCTGGTCCCATCCTTCCAATGTGGCTCAATTATCGGGTTCTAGTCATTAAATTCTACTCTTCTACAATAAGCCACATACCAGGTCTGAGAAAGAGTCTGGATCAGACAAGAGTTCAGCACTGTAGTAGAAAACAGATTCTGGGTATCAGAGGATCTGGTCTCAAGTCCTGACTGTATTACCTATAGCTCTATGAATTTAACCTTGCTGAGCCTTAACTGCCTCATCTCTAAAACAGACTTAATACTTATTCCTATCTAATGGGATTATTATGAGGGTTAATTAAGCTAATAGACTTGAAATCATTTAGTGAACTGTAATGTAACAATAACAGTCACCATCATTAGCTTCCTCCTGGGTCATTTACAGACTCCCTATCTGGAAGACTTGACCTGCAAGAGATCACCAAGTCTCAATACTCAGGTGCAAAGGGGAATGACTCAAAGCTAAAAAGAAATAAACTAGAGACAAATAAAATTAAAGCCTACTTAATGAACTACCCAGGACCTTTTAACGTTGAAGAGATGGTACAGGCTAAAGATATAAACAACCTTAACTGAGTTGGGCTACATTTTCAGATGAAAGATTCATGATAGTAGAGACAGCGTTTCACCATGTTGGCCAGGCCGGTCTCAAACTCCTAACCTTAAGTGATGTGCCCATCTCAGCCTCCCAAAGTGCTGGGATTACAGGTGTGAGCCACCGCGCCCGGCCCAACTGCCACATTTTATAGAAGAGAAAAAATCCAGGGAATTTAAGTAACTTGCTCAATATCACTCAGCAAATCAGAGGAAGACCTGGGACTAGGACCCAGGTCCCCTGAGTCCAAAGTGAGTGCTGTGTCTCCTAGTTATGCTCCTTCTCATATCACTAACTTCTGTCATAGCCTGAAATTAGGGAGGCCACAGCAGAGGTATAGAGCTACAGGAAGGCCTCTGGCTCCGCCTTGGACCAGACAATTCCTGGACAGAGACCTATTTGAAGGGAAGGTCTGAATAAGCTTACCTGTGTTGCTGCTGCTGAGGCCAAATCACTCTGCTTCAAATACAAAGGGGCAGCTACATGCCACAACTTTTCCTGCAAGGCCTACACAGACAGAGCTATAGGAAGGCCTCTGGCTCTGTCTTGGACCAGACAATTACTGGACAGAGACCTATTTGAAGGGAAGGTCTGAATAAGCTTACCTGTTTCGCTGCTGCTGAGGCCAAATCACTCTGCTTCAAATACAAAGGGGCAGCTACATTCCACAACTTTTCCTGCAAGGCCTACGCAGACAAATCAGGAGGGAACAGAATACCGAGGTCACAAAGACTGGCCTATCATTTGGGATTTACATTTTTGTTTTCCTTTGAAAGTCTCCCATGAACATGACTTCTCAATTGATCTTATTCTTTTAACCCAATAAGCTGTATCTATTATGGAGAAAGATGAGACCAATGGTTTGGGCTAAATGAATTCCCACCCATTTGATCCAATTCTTGGCCCAAAGGCTCTGTGTCCCAGATCAGTGCTTCTGGAAGCAGAGGACAGGAACCACGAAAGCTTCACCAGAATGCGCAGGCAAGCCAGCTTCCGGGCTCTAGGCACTCCTTGTTCCCAGAGCTACTGGACTAACCCAAGCCACCTAGATACTTCTTCCTTAACTGTGGTTCTTTTTTCTTTTCCCCTATGCTCATTATGTTGTAAGCCCCAACCACTTTATCAACATATTCAACTAGAAATCAAGCAGCTTTCCTAGATTTCTCCCTCTTTCAATCTTTCTACATTCAAAACCACCACTAAGAGCCATGATTTTACCTTCCATCTCTCTCCTCACCTATCCATCCACATGACCTCATCCCTTGCACAAACTTCTGTGACAGCCTCTTATTTTCTCAGTCCTTCTGAATTACAGATGTAATCAAATGACATTACAGAAAACCTAGACTAACACTGTCCAATAGAAATATAACATGAGCTATATATAATTTTAAATATTCTCGTAGCCACGGTTTTTAAATTACAAAGATGTAAGTTAATTTTAAGATACAAAGACTAAGTTAATTTTTTAAAAAAGTTTATTTAACCCAGTATATCCAAGATATTAACATTTCACCATGCAGTATTTTTTAAATTATTAATTAGTTTACATTTTCTCTTCATACTAAGTCTGAGAAATCCAGTGTGTATTTTGCACTTAATAACACATCTCAGTTTGGACTAACAACTTTTTGAGTGCTCAAGAGTCCCATGTATCTGGTGGCTATCAAATTAAACAGTGGTAGGTCTAAACTGTAGATAAAAACTATAGGAATTTCTGGAATATTTACTTCTAATCATTTCTTGTATGCATGTTTTTTGACAGTTGTAGTCAGAAAGCAGAATTAAGTTTGGGGATTAGATCATAATCCCAAAACATACAATCCCAAATGTTGAAATCCTCACATCCAAATTCTGGGGAAGTGATTAGCGTGTTTTGGGTTGTATGCAGGATAGTTGCATCATGTTAGTTGTATCATGTTAGGCACAACTATTACCATGTTATTGTCTTTATTTGGAAATTAAATATGGCTTAAGGAGATGCGTATGAGTGCCAAGCTGACAAGGGGTGGACTTGTGGACCTAATTTTAGATATCAGCTTGACTAGATTAAGGAATATCAGAAACCTGGTAAAAGATTATTTTGTTTTACACATTGAGGGTGTGTCTATGAGAGTGTTTCCAGAAGAGATTAGTGTATAAATCTGAGTGTACTAAGTGGAGACTATCTGCCCTCAATGTTGGCGGGCACCATCCAATCAGCCAGTGGCCAGGAGAGAACAAATACTTAAGACGAAATGGGCTGGGAGTGGTGGCTCATGCCTGTAATCCTAGCACTTTGGAAGGCCGAGGTGGGTGGATGACCTGAGGTCAGGAGATGGAGACCAGCCTGACCAACATGGCAAAACCCTGTCTCTACTAAAAATACAAAAATTAGCCAGGCGTGGTGGTGCACACCTGTAATCCCAGCTACTTGGGAGACTGAGACAGGAGAATTGCTTGAACCCAAGAGGCAGAGGTTGCAGCAGTGAGCCGAGATCACGCCACTGTATTCAGCCTGGATGATAAGCTGAGACTCTGTCTCAAAAAAAAAAAAAAGGCAATATAGCAAAACGGACTCTCTGGGTTCTGCTGCTTGGATATCAGAAATCTGACTCCATGAAAGTGCATCATCACAATACTGACTTTGTGTATAAGCATTGAGTGTGTACACAAAATGTTGAAACTTCCTCGATAAATGAGATATCCTTTTCGTACATCTGCATTTGTGAAAGATAAAATTTCTTGAGATCTCAGCTCTTTGGGTGACTGCATATGCAGTGGTGACCCAGCACAGTTTCCATCAATCTCGTCAAAAGACTTGAGGTTGTTGGGCACAGTATTTCAGATGACCACAGTTAAAAAGCTGGGTATACACAATTAACAACCAAAGTGATATGCATTTATACCTTTCCCTTTATGACCAATTTCTTTATAAATATGGCTCATCTGCTCATAACTGTTAGACCCACCCAACTGTCATTAGTAACCTGAGTGTTTATGCTTGCAAAAATGTATGTTGTTATTGTCTGTTTTATTATATTAAGTGATGTATAAAGTATTCTGTTGTGTTTTTATGTTTCTCAAATAAATTCCCCTTTAAAAAATAAATATCTTTAAATTTTTTAAATTATTTCTTCCATAATTATATTTTGGGGATTTTGATATTTTCTGGGCTGTGGTTTTTGGGATTTTAGACCTTAGGGATTTTAGTCTTTTGGAATTTAAACAGTTTAGGACTATGATGTTCTGGACTATCTTTTGGGATTATGATTGGCTCCCCTTCTTTTGGGTACATAACATTACACCCTAAATATTTTGTCATGTTGTTGTATAATTCTTCATAAAGAATTACTGACTACAGAATATACTGCTAGGTAGCTGTACCAAAATTTATTTAGCTTTTTTCCTGTTATTAAACACACTTGCCTTGGGTTCTGGCTCTGGGCCCCTCACCTACACTGTCACCCCTTGTCATTGAATAACCAACAATTATGTGTTCTTTTTAGGAGTAATCACTTCTCTTTCCTCACCCATATTTTGCTACTATAGAAAAGTGGATTCTTCTCCATGGCCTCCTTGAATTCCTGGGGTTTCACAGAGGCTTGGAAAAGCCAAACAACCTTGCAAAGGGGCAGGAAGGAACTTCTTGGAGTGATGAAAATGTTCTACGACTTGCCTATGGTGGTGATTACACAGATATATACATTAGAAAGAACATATCTAGCCTAACAAGGACCATTTAAGTGCCAAGTATACATACGCACCTTTACATGTATAGGCACACCTGCACAACTGTAAATATAACATTTAGCACAAGTTCACACAGTAGAAAATAACTTTTGACTCCCTGATTTACTCTGACTTTAGCCAAACATCATTAATCACTTTGAAAACAAAGAACACTTTGAACTAGGGCCAAGATAAAAGTTCGTCAAGTGAGAAGGGCTCTCCTAAATTCTGTGCCAAAATTTATAGTAAAATTCTGCTACAGAAGCTGAAAGATACTGAACTCATTTAATTGTTTTTTAACTCAGCAAAACTAAATAGATTCTTGGGTACCAATTCTGTGTATAGCTGACTACTGAGTAAGAAACGCCAGCAAGCTGGTCTTTTTAAAAGCAATGAAATCAACCTTTTAACTTTGATGAAGTGCAGTGAGTTTTTTTGTTTGTTTGTTTGTTTGTTTTCTTTAAAGACAGGATCTTGGTCTGTCATCCAGGCTGGAGTGCAATCTCACTGCAGCCTTGACCTCCTAGGCTCAAGCAGTCCTCCCAACTCCAGCCGAGTAGCTGGATATACAGGAATGCACCACCACACCTGCCTACTTTAAATTTTCTTGTAGAGATGAGGTGTCGCTATGTTGCCCAGGCTGGTCTCAAACTCTTGAGCTCAAGCGATCCTCCTGCCTTGGCCTGCCAAAGTGCTAAGATTACAGGTGTGAGCCACCGCACCTGGCCTTCAAATGAGCATTTTAAGAAGATAGTCTAAAACTTCATACAATTCCTTTGCTAATCAAATTATACAAAACATTTACAACCTTGGGATTCTAACTAAAATGATTATCCAATCTGCTCTAATTATATTATGATAAAAGAATTCTCCCCAAATTTACAAATTCCTATGAGTTAATATTTCGTTAATTAGAGACAAATGTAATCACACTGCAGAGTACATATTTCTCCATTGTCAAGTGGTTGCATTAAGACCATAAGTTTTATAACTTATGGCCTCACACACTGCTGGATCCACAAAGATGCATTTTTAGCAACACAATCATAAATGGAATGGATGCAAACCAACCTTGATGAGAAGTAGTTGACAGCGAAGATAGGTGGCAGAGAAATCAGCTACTCCTGCCAATTCAGATTGAAGTTCTCCAAGTCTTTGCAGATCCCTATAGTAAATAAAACCCCCAAGGCAAACACAGGATAAGGATAATGCCACCAACATAAAGATCATGTCAAAAGCATTTTATCATTTTATACCTAGTAAACAGTCATACATTTTTAAATGACGACACTGAATGCTGGAGTGGTTATAATAAAATTGGTTCACTCACACTGTGATAGTAGTTTAAGCTGATGTAACCCTTTTGGAAAGCAAAACCGTACTGTTATAAAGGCACATATATGGTAAAATGTTTGATTCATAGCTTTACACTGAAAAGTATACTAAGAGAAATATTCAACAGAAATGAAATGCTTTATGGGTCATAATATTCATTGTTATGTGGACTATTATAGTAAAAACTCAGTAGCTACTTATTCAATGGTGAAAAAAATATTGAGTAAATTATGATGCATCCAATCAAGTAAATTTTTTTTTATTATACTTTAAGTTCTGGGGTACATGTGCAGAACGTGCAGGTTTGTTACATAGGTATACACGCGTCATGATGGTTTGCTGCATCCATCTTTTTTTTTTTTTTTTGAGGTGGAGTCTCGCTCTGTTGCCCAGACTGGAGTACAGTGGCGTGATCTCGACTCACTGCAACCTCTGTCTCCTGGGTTCAAGCGATTCTCCTGCCTTAGCCTCCTGACTAGCTGGGATTGCAGACGCACACCAGCACACCCAGCTAATTTTTGTATTTTTAGTAGAGACAGGGTTTCACCATGTTGGCCAGGCTGGTCTCAAGCTCCTGACCTCGTGATCTGCCTGCCTCGGCCTCTCATAGTGCTGGGATTACAGGCGTGAGCCACCGCCCCCGGCCCAAGTAAATATTTTGTAGCCATTAAAATATGGAATGGTTAATAAGGTGTATGATCTCAACTATGTAAAAACTATATAGAGGAGAAAAATACATTGAGGTGGTTTTCTGGATAATGGTAATAGGGTGCTCTTTAGTACCTTCTCCCAACTATGCTTTATTTTCCGAGTTTTTAAGACAATGAACAAGTATTTTTTTGTATCAGAAAAAAACATTATTTTTTAAAAGGTATTATGGTAGACACTGTTGGTTGCCTGTCCAGTTAGCCATTCTCCACTTCTTTATTACTAATTGAACTCTGATTTTGTTCAAGGGAACATGTCCCCAAGCCCAATTCCAAGTAGTATCTGATTGAACTAAGCCAATTAGTGCACATTGTCTGTCTGGATATGTGACCTGAGTTGACCTTATCAGTTCAGTTGAAAGTACTTTATTCCATGCTTACAACAAATTGGTGTGTCTGTCTGTCTCTCGCCGGACTGGGCAAGGATGTTTATAGCCCTGATTGCCATTAGCAGCATACTGTAACTCTAAGGGAAAAACCCTTAAGATAAAGCCAATGCTGAAGACAAGAAAAGTCCAAAGAGAAATAGAGAAACTAGGTCCTCAATGATATAAATAAGCCACTTAATCATACCATATCTCCAATTTCTGGACATCTGGAAAAATATCTTAGTCATGCAACTGCTATAACAAAATATCATAGACTGGGTGGGTTATAAACAACCGAAATTTATTTCTCACAGTTGTATAGGCTGGGAAGTCCAAAATCAAGACACCTACAGATTTGGTTTCTAGTGAGGGCTCATTTCCTCATAGGTTGCACCTTCTACATGTATCTTCATATGGTGGAAGTCACAAACGAGCTCCCTTAGGCCTCTTTTAAAGGTTATTAATCTCATTCATGACCTAATCACCTCCCAAAGACCTCACTTCCTCATAACATCACCTTGGGGTTAGGATTGCAGTATATGAATTTGGGGGAGACATAAACTTTCAGATCATAGCAGGAAATAAATAGCCATTATAAGCTAGCTTGTGAAAAGCATCCTAACTGGATATAAGTATAGACACAATGACTGTAACCATATGAAAACATATCTGCCTATAGTAAGAAATTAGAAAGTGTCATACACAAATAAAATAGTTGTGCTAGAATTATTGGTGATTTAAAACATTTAGTTTTCATATTTATGCAGCCAAAAGACACATGAAAAAATGCTCATCATCACTGGCCATCAGAGAAATGCAAATCAAAACCACAGTGAGATACCATCTCACACCAGTTAGAATGGCTATCATTAAAAAGTCAGGAATCAACACGTGCTGGAGAGGATGTGGAGAAATAGGAACACTTTTACACTGTTGGTGGGACTGTAAACTAGTTCAACCATTGTGGAAGTCAGTGTGGCAATTCCTCAGGGATCTAGAACTAGAAATATCATTTGACCCAGCCATCCCATTACTGGGTATATACCCAAAGGATTATAAATCATGCTGCTATAAAGACACATGCACGCATATGTTTATTGTGGCACTATTCACAATAGCAAAGACTTGGAACCAAGCCAAATGTCCAACAATGATAGACTGGATTAAGAAAATGTGGCATATATACACCATGGAATACTATGCAGCCATAAAAAATGATGAGTTCATGTCCTTTGTAGGGACATGGATGAAGCTGGAAACCATCGTTCTCAGCAAACTATCACAAGGACAAAAAACCAAACACTGCCTGTTCTCACTCATAGGTGGGAATTGAACAATGAGAACACATGGACACAGGAAGGGGAACATCACACCCCGGGGCCTGTTGTGGGGTGGGGGAGGGGGGAGGGATAGCATTAGGAGATATACCTAATGCTAAATGGTGAGTTAATGGGTGCAGCACACCAACATGGCACATGTATACATATGTAACTAACCTGCACATTGTGCACATGTACCCTAAAACTTAAAGTATAATAAAAAGAGAAAATGTTTCTTTAAAAAAAAAATTTAGTTTTTTTGAATAGTTAATACATACTTAAGGTATAGCTTTCAAAGGATATACAATTAAATTAAATTAAATTAGTCCCCCTTCCTACGCCTGTGCCCTGTAGCCCTGCCACCCTGTATACCTTCCCAGAGGCAACTACTATTACCAGTTTCTTTTGAATTTTGAGATATGCCATGCATTTACAAAAAGTACTGGTTTTCTTTGCTTTCTTCTTTTTTAGGGGAGGAATGTGAGTGTGTGTGTGTTTGTGTATTACCTAACCATCTCAGCATTCATAGAAAGCTGCCTCATTACTTTTTAATAGCAACATTAAATTCTGAATAGAAATGGAAACTGTGGGAAACCTTAAGGTCTGAGTCACTTGGGAAGCTGTCTGTTTCAGGGCCGGCATAACACATCAGGTTTCACAGTAGCCTGGAAAAAACCGTCCACTGGACTATGACACTTCCTCCCATCTCATGCTCGGCAGGTAACGTTACGATAGTTAACGATGCCTCCTGGGGACTTTGACATCAAGAAGGAGATGCCTACAAAGGGGCAAAGAGTAAATTACTCTCAAAGTGATTGAAGAATTAATGTATGATATATATCACTTCTTATTCGTTTGGGTTGCTTGAACTGGTCCTGGAGGGCCTACCCAAAGTGTGGGAACCCAGCACAATGAAAGCCAAGACCATAGACTAGCTAAGCCCAACTGTGAAGTGTGAGTTTGGTGGCCAGATGGTCTCTTCCTTTCGCTTCTCTGATTTTTCTCTTGCAAGAGACAGCCCTGAAGTATTCTACTTCAGAAGCATTTGTGTTTCCTCTCCAGGAAGATTCTGCCTTCTATGACAATTATACAGAATACAGACCAACTGACTGTACATTAACTAACTGATTCCAAATGTTACTTTATTCCCCTGCCCCGGAATTGTAGCAGTTGTTCTGAAGTGCACAAAACAAGATGTAACCCAATCCAACACAATTAGCCATAAGAAATCTGAACTTCTGTACAAACAAAAATGGAAACTTGTTAGCTCTGGGAAAAATCCTGTGTCCCAGTGTTACCTCTCTTTATCTCTTTATGCTCACAATTCTCAGGAAGCCTCAGTCTAGACATCCATCAGGAGACTATGGGCTCTAATGAGAAAGGTAAACTGAGCACATTCTATGTGCACTGTACTGTGCTGGCTGTTTCCTTACTTGAGCTCACTTAATCCTCACAATATGAATTGCAATTAATCCTATTTCACTGAACAGGAAACTAAAGATCAAAATTTAAGTGGCTTGCCTAAGGTCACAGAATAAACAACAAAACAGGACATGAACTAGACAGAGTCAGCTCTGACTCCAAAAGTATTTTTTTAACCATATCATATTGCATCTCATTTATTTATTTGCTATTAAACTCTTTTCATTTATTTATTAATTACATCAAACACAGATGAGACCAAAACTAATTTAAAACTAGATACGGCTAGGCGCGGTGGCTCACACCTGTAATCCTAGCACTTTAGGAGGCCAAGGTGGGTGGATTGCCTGAGCTCAGGAGTTCGAGACCAGCCTGGGCAACACGGTGATACCCCATCTCTACTAAAATACAAAAAATTAGCCAGGTGTGGTGGAGTGCGCCTGTAGTCCCAGCTATTCAGGATGCTGGGGCAGGAGAATTGCTTGAACCTGGGAGGCAGAGGTTGCCGTGAACCGAGATTGCACCACTGCACTCCAGCCTGAACGACAGAGGGAGACTCCATCTCCAAAAAAAAAAAAAAACAGCTGGATACACTGGGCCACTTTTCTTTAGATGCTATCAGGCAGAGCAAAACAGTTCCTCCCAGGAACACACACATTAGCAATCTATATGATGCCACTATGCCACTATGTGTAAACACATTTACATATAGTGATTCTTTTTAAGTTTACACAATAGGCTGAATTAATTATTTAAATCACTATTAAAGATAGTCAAAAAGATTCTGGATGTGCAAATCAAATGTAGTTTATTTTTTTCAATCTCTTAGAATCTCTAAAAATCAAATTTATAATTAATGTCTCTTAGTAGCTTAGTAGAGCAAAAAGGAATGTTAGGAAATACAAAATAAACACAAAGTCTTGGTGACCTCTAAAACGCGATCTTTATTCCTGCACCTAGATGATGACAGATTACAAACGTGTATTTCTACTCTTTAATTACGAGACCAGTTCCAATACTACACAATAGGTGCTCTACCTAAAAGACAATAAAAGTTTCAACGCAAAAAGAGGATTTTAAATAATTCAACTAAAAAATCCCATGTTCTTCATTGGTTAGTGTGTAAAAGAATTCCCATCAGAAAAGTAGTATATTTCTTTCTATCTCTGATAAATGAAGCCCCTTCTGTTTCAGGTAATAATGAGCTATTTTACTCCAAAAGAACAATTCTCTATTATGGAACACTTCTAAGGTGATATGGTTCCTGAAACAACACTGTGTATAGCAACAGCACTTTCATGGACTTAACACAAAAATGTAAACTTTGAAAAACAGGAGGTCACTATTCATACTGAGAAATAGCAGACAAATGACTGCAGCATTCCTTAAAAGACAATCCCCTTCAACCCTGCCTGCTAGTGAGTTTAAACATGATTACATTTATAAAATTTGATTTAGTTACAAAATGTCAAGAACATGTCCAGTATGTTAAATAAGCCAGTTAGTTTAAATTTTTTTTTTTTTTTTTTTTTTGAGATGGAGTCTCACTCTGTCGCCCAGGCTGGAGTGCAGTGGCGTGATCTCTGCTCAGCACAAGTTCTGCCTCCCAGGTTCGCACCATTCTCCTGCCTCAGCCTCCCGAGTAGCTGGGACTACAGGCACCCGCCACCACGCCTGGCTAATTTTTTGTATTTTTAGTAGAGATGGGGTTTCATCGTGTTAGCCAGGATGGTCTCGATCTCCTGAGCTCGTGATCCGCCCACCTTGGCCTCCCAAAGTGTTGGGATTACAGGCATGAGCCACTGTGCCCAGCCAGTTAGTTTAAATTTTAAAGCAAACATCCATAAATGTCCAACTATTATCTATGTAACTGATATTCTCAAAATGCTTTTGCCACATATCATTACAATAATCTTCGCAACAGTTCTACAGGTGCAAGCCACAGCATCTGGCTCATAGGTGAGATCTTCATTGGGTTAAATGGCTGTTTGGATTACAAAACAGGGCACTGTGTATGACAGTGAAATTTGTTTTACACTCATACTAACAAATACATGGCTCCAGTCCTCATCAGAGAACCTTCTGTATGAAAGGCTAACATTTCACTCCATAACAACTCAGAAAGTGTAAGTTGTGGAGAACCCCAGGGGTCAACTGATCTAATCTCATGTGATACAGGAATCCCCTGTAAATCACTGCACATCACAGAATATGGATTTTAGAGTTGACAAAGCTGAACTCAAATCCTGCTTCTGCCTCTTCTTAGCAAATTACTTCATGTCTGCAATGATGGTTGTAAAACATCGCAGGTGCCCTCAGTGCTATGGTCCATCTGCTTCCCTTTCCAGATTTTTCACCATCCTGCCTATGCTCCTGAATACACACTCAAGCTAGAAACACAGAGCCCCAAACTTAGGACAGTGATCTGGCCGGCCACTGCCTAGCAAGACTATCATCTCAGGAAACCCAGACCATGAAGGCGAGTACCTTCTAAGAGCCAGCACTGCAGCTGATCACCAAATTGGCTAGCTTTTGTGCCTTTTGCACTTGCTTTAGTGCCAACAGGATAAAACTGTCAAGGACAAAATCTAAATGTTTATTTAGGTGGGGATGAGTCAGGAAGTAGACTGTATTTTACTGGGCTCAGGGCCAACAACCTCATTCAGTGGCCTCCAAAACTAAACACTTTGTTGAGGGAGAAGAGAAATCGCTTCACAAGAGGTATAGAAAGGACTGGAATCTCCGCTTACAGAGCTGTGGACTGCCCAGAGCTTACAGCAGGGTCAGCAAATTTTTTCTGTAAAAGGTCAAATAGTAAATATGTTAGCTTTTACAGGCCGTATGGTCTCTGTGGCAACTACTCAACTCTGTGATTGTAGCATGAAAGCAACTATAGACAATACCTAAACAAATGAGCGTGGGTGTGCTTCAATCAGATCTTACATACAAAAGCAGGCAACAGGCCAGCTTTGGTCCACAGGCTGTAGTCTGGGGACTCCTAGTTTAGAGTACTGTTACTGGCACATCACAGGCACACAATAAATATCAAGTATATGATTCAATGTACAGTGGCAAGAGAACAAACTGCCATGCTAAAATCATTTCAACCTAAAAAATAATTCAGTTTTCCCTATCTTTTATTGTTACTGATTACAGTGATGGTATTCAGGTGAACACTCTGCCATTTGGAATATCATTTAGGCTTAGCCTGTGCAGCTAATGCAGCTTCTTCACACCACACAGCCATCTTTGACATATTTCAACTTGTTAACGATTCATGTTCTGCAGCCCTTTTGGCTGATGCTATCACTGCAAAGCAGTGATATGTGTGAGTCCATTCATTACGGTAACAAGCTTTCACTCAAGCTTTGTTTCTTGCAGTATCTATCATTTCTAGTGTGATCTCCTCCACTGATTTTTAAAAATCCAGTCAACAGTAGGATTTTCTTGTTGAACTGTGAAGGCCTGTGCTAGGTAGGGACTTTGTGAATCATCCCTGCTTGGGTCCCAGAGCTACTGGGGGGCCCATCACTGGAGTGGCTGGTGAGACCCTCCAGGGCATGAGAGTTGCTATGGGCCTCTGTGTGGCTTCTAGAGGCTTCCCAGGGGCACAAAGACTAAGTGACCCAGGTGGAAGCTCAGGAGGCTCACGCTGGACACATGCTGCACACTCTGGCTCTCCTGTGGCTGCAGCTGCACCCACCTACCCAGCATTCTCCCCACGACCTGTCCAGCCCAAGCCCACGGCACTCCCAGGGGAGCCCAGGACACCCTCAACTTTTTATTGGATTACTAGAGTATCAGACCACCCATTTATCTCTCAGTTCCTCACTCCCACCCCTGCACCCAGCAAGTCACCAAGTCCCCCAGGTGAGTAAACTGGAGCTAACAGCAGTTGGTACTTATGGCATATACTGGATTTGGCTCACTCACTCGTGGTATTCCTATCTTCATCTACTGTATCTTCCTAGACTACATAAGCTGCAAAGTTAAAAACTGCATTTCTCAGATTCCCTTGAGCTAGGTTCCAGACATGATTTATTATCAGTCAATCAAACACATTCGCATGAGTTTTGCATAGGGAATAATGTTAAGTGGGAAGAAAGGCAGAATGCAAGACATGGTTCTGGAGCCAGCAGCTTTATTGGTAGCATCCTGACTCAATAGGCAGCTTTCCTGATCATAGCAGGAACATCAGCCTCCTTGGTGGCCCACTCATTGTGTGGCTCTGGAAATCATTCCTGGATATTCCACCTAGTCTGTTTCTTTAGCCTTCCCAACAACTCTGTGAGCCATGTAACATTCTGTAATAAATTTCTTTCTGCTTAAATTAGTTAAAAGCCTCTTTTGTTTTCTGCAAATGAACCCTGAGCAATAAACTTGACTAAGATCAAACAACTACAAGTCATGTGTTGTTTAACGATGGAGATACATTCTGAGACATACACTGTTATGTGATTTTGTCTCACAAACATCATAGAGTATATTTACACAAATCTAAATGGTATAGCCTACTACACACCTAGGCTATATGGTATAGTCTGTTGCTCCTAGGCTACAAATCTGTACAGCATGTTACTGTACTAAAGACTGTAGGCAACTGTAACACTGGTTACAATGGTAAATATTGGTAAATATGGTAAACAATGGTAAATATCTGTATATCTAAACATCAAAAAGGTACAGTAAAAATATAATCATGGGACCACCACAACGTTGTTATTCAGTGCATGACTGTATTAGCTCAGACGTTAAACAAAATGAGTCTGCCCTCAAAGCTCCATTCACTCAATCACTATACTACACCACTGCAGTTCTGGGAGGCTGTTCTCCCTCAGGTCTCCCAGCTCTTCTAATGTCTGCTGAAGTTGGAACTGTCTTCTGCACATGGACTACGAAACTGACATGCTCAGTTATCATTTCATACTAGCTAAAGGATCTTCTCCTTTGTGAAGCATCCCTCACCACCACTACCGTGATGGGTCGGGGACTTTCATCTGTTTTTCCACAGCATCTATGCTTCTCTTCACTGTATCATTTATCAAATTGATGATTTCTGGGTCCTGTAATAAACAGTGAGTACCTTAAGAACAAATGTCATTTCTTATTTCTCTCTACCCTCAGCAACTGGCTTATTAGAATAAACAAATAGTTAATGCTGCTAAGTGAATGAATGACCTAATATAATGGGAAAACATAACTTGGAGGATGGTTCAGTTGGCTGGCTTTATAACATGTTAAGATGCAATAATGGACAGGAAAGCATGAACAAAGTACAAAGCGCTGTTATCCACCATCATAAGTCTTTGTCTATATCCATCTTGTCTACATGGGCTCTCTAAGGGCAGAATCCTAGCTAGCTGATCTGTATCTAGCACAGAGCTTGTTTCTTAGTGTATGGAATGAAATCATCCACTAAAAATTATTAATTGAATGTGGCTGGTACCAAATACTCTTCCGGGCAGATCAAAAGAGATCTCAACTAAGATACAAATTATATAATATAATATTTTTCCTTCTTTCTTTTTTTTTTTTGAGATGGAGTCTCACTCTGTTGCCCAGACTGGAGTGCAGTGGCGCAATCCTGGCTCACTGCAAGCTCTGCCTCCCGAGTTCAAGCGATCCTTGTGCCTCAATCTCCCAAGTAGCTGGGATTACAGGCGCGTGCCACCACACCTGGCTAATTTTTGTATTTTTAGTAGAGATGGGGTTTCACTCAACGGGGCTGGTCTTGAACTCCTAGCCTCAAGTGATCCTCCCGCCTCAGTCTCCCAAAGTGCTGGGATTACAGGCATGAGCCACTGCACCTGGCCGATATAATATTTTTCTCTTTTAAGAGCAAACAATAAAGAATTTAAACTCATTTGCTTTTAGCAAAAGCAGTACTGTTTGCTCCTCAAAGATATAATTTTTTAATCTTTTAAGAGCAAACAATACTGCTTTTGCTAAAAGCAAATGAGTTTAAATTTTTTTCATATCATTCAGGCCATTTTGAGGAAGGTCTGGCAGAGCCTTTTGGTTGTTCCCCAATATCTTTCTCCCATTCTTCCTGAGTATTAGAGTCATCGCATGTAAACCAGGCATTAGTCACCCAGAATAAAGACTGCATGTCCTCGCTCCTTGAAGTGAGAGATGGCCATGTGACTTAAGTTCTAGTCAATGGAATGCAAGTAAAATTAGAGTGTACAACTTTTGGGAAGTGTCTTTAAACAAACCACAGGGTGGAGATGATACCTTTCTCTTCCTGTTTCCTTTTCCCCACAGGATGGAATACAGGGGGCACAGTTAGATCTGAATTGTTAAGCAGAGGCTGCTTGATGCAGAAGATGAAGACAGAAGAAAGAATGAGCCTAGGCCGGGCACAGTGGCTCACGCCTGTAATTCCAGCACTTTGGGAGGCCGAGGCGGGAGGATCACTTGAGCTCAGGAGTTTGAGACCAGCCTGGCCACCATGGTGAAACCTCGACTCTACAAAAAAAAAAAAGCCAAAATTAGCCAGGTGTGGTGGCATATGCCTGTGGTCCCAGCTACTTGGGAGGCTGAAGTGGGAGAATCACTTGCAGTGAGCTGATATTATGCCACTGCACTCCAGCCTGGGTGACAGGGTGAGACCCTGTCTCAAAAAAAAAAAAAAAAAAAAAAAAGAGCAAGCCTAGATCCCTGATGGTCATCTCAGCCCTGTCCTGCCTATGAGAAAGAATTAAACTTTGCTCCTGTTTTAGCCACTGTTACTTTGCATTTTGGTCACTCATCCTAATATATAAAATTAAAAAACTAAAAACAGGTTCTTTGTAACTATTTCTGTTGTGTACTAATCATCAATCGAGTCATGAATATAAAGAGCTCTTTTAAAAAATATGTTCAAACCACAATCTAATCCAAATATAAACAGACCATAAAACCGTGTGTGAATGTAGACCAATAAAGTCAGAATATCAAGCCTAGTAACCAACACCAGAATTCAGAACAGTCAAGCTGAGTGTAACAGCACTAACTCTGTCAGATGAAGGGATGATTACCCTACCTGATGGTGAATTCCAGCAGCTCCTGGGCTCCCTGAGGGTCCAAGTGCTGAAGACTATACACTCTTTCAAGGCTCTGCTGCAGGAACTGCTGGGAAGGATCCTCTTGAGGTATGATGCTGGGAGAAACAGCTGATGACACCAGTTTTCTACCTGGTAACTAAGCAGAGTGGGATTACAGAGTCATTAAGTTTGGTGGCTCAGCTTTTGGTAACACACACACAAACACATAAAAGCACATTAAAAACGTGAGCTAAACAAAACAAAGGGGAAAAAAGGCTAGGATATTCTATAAATAACATTTCTCCCCTTCCTCAGCAACATTGGGAGTTAAAGAGAAAGAGACAAAATGCAAACATGGTCTACCCAATACAGCCACAGCTGCCAGGAGAAAAACAGAAAGATATAATATTTTCTATTGCTAACTGAAATAAATGGGCCAACCCTAGGAAGGAGACTAAAAATTGAACTGTTGTTACATTTTTTTTTTTAGACAGAGTTTCACTCTTGTTGCCCAGAGTGCAATGGTACCATCTCGGCTCACTGCAACCTCCGCCTCCCAGGTTCAAGCGATTCTCTTGCCTCAGCCTCCTGAGTAGCTGGGATTAGAGGTGGCCGCCCCCACACCCAGCTAATTTTGTATTTTTAGTAGAGACAGGGTTTCTCCATGTTGGTCAGGCTGGTCTCGAACTCCTGACCACAGGTGATCTGCCTGCCTCGGCCACCCAGAGTGCTGGGATTACAGGCGTGAGCCACTGCACCCGGCCACATTTATCTTTAAAACACTATCTTATCTTTCACTTGAAGGAAGAATAATGATTTATTCCCAAATAAATTTATATAGCATATAATTTTTTCATGAGAATAATTTTTTTTTATTTTTGGCCTAGCCCTACAGATATACTTATTCTTACTGTTAAAAGTGGTTACCTTTTAAGATGGATGGGGAGGAGAGAGCAAAGAGTATTTCACTTTTCATTTTGTATCTACTTGTCTTTTGTTTTTTTTGAGATGGAGTCTCGCTCTGTCGCCCAGGCGGGAGTGCAGTGGCGCAATCTTGGCTCATTGCAACCTCTGCCTCCTGGGTTCAAGCAATTCTCCTGCCACAGCTTCCCGAGTAGCTAGGACTACAGGTGCCCACCACCATGCCCAGTTAATTTTTGTATTTTTAGTAGAGATGAGGTTTCACCATGTTGGCCAGGCTGGTCATGAACTCCTGACCTCAGATGATCCACCCGCCTTGGCCTCCCAAAATGCTTAGATTACAGGTATGAGCCACCGCACCTGGCCTCATTTTGTATTTTCTATAAAGTTTAAATTTTCTAACCATATATATATATACACATATATATACATATACATATACACATATATATACATATATATACACACATATATATACACATATACATACATATATACATATATATACATATATACATATATACACATATATATACACATATATATATATACACACATATATATAAATGTTCCTCTAAATAAACACATATTACTCCAAATAAAGTGATTTGGAGTCACCCAAGCAGGGATGAGTTAATGCAAATAGAGAGATTGGAAGAGTACCTGAGCCACAGCATTCACGAAGTGTTTGCTATTATTATTATGATCTATTTTTAAATTTTCTTCTATATAACTCTAGGTTTTAAAAATAGTAAAGGTTTTATTTTTAAAAAATAAGCACTTGTGGAGAATCATAGCTATATGTAATAGTTAAAATATAACAATTTAGGCTGGGTGTGGTGGCTCATGCCTGTAATCCCAGCACTTTGGGAGGCCGAGGCAGGCAGATCACGAGGTCAGGAGATCAAGACCATCCTGGCTAACACGGTGAAACCCTGTCTCTACTAAAAATACAAAAAATTAGCCGGGCGTGGTGGCAGGCGCCTGTAGTCCCAGCTACTCGGGAGGCTGAGGCAGGAGAATGGAGTGAACCTGGGAGGTGGAGCTTGCAGTGAGCCGAGATCGTGCCACTGCACTTCAGCCTGGGCGACAGAGCAAGACTCCGTCTCAAAAAGTAATAATAATAAAAATAAATAAATAAATATATATATATAACAATTTAAATTCTTGATCTAAAATATAATCTATTGTTCCAGGTTCCTTTCTTCTTGCCTAATATCAATAACCCAGGGACACCAAAAAAAATGAATCATCTTAAAAGGTAAAGGATACAAAAGCAAAAGTATAAAACAATGGCAAAGAGCCCAAGAGAGAAAGAGAATGAACAAACAAGTTTTCAGAGAATATATGGACTGCTTTCTACTATTTAATAACCACAAAGCACAAAAAATAAAAAGCCAAAAACAAGCTGCACACAGTGGTGCTCACCTGTAATCCCAGTGACTTGGGAGGCTGAGCCAGGAGGATGGCTTAAGCCCAGGAGTTTGAGACCGCCCTGGGCAACATAACAAGACCCCCATCTCAAAGGAAAACATGAACAAAAATAACCCTACCCCATGCAAAATAAAAACAAGGACAACAGATGTTTTCAACATACCCTCAAGGCAGGAACAAGATGAGAAAGACTGTCTCGGAGGTAGGCATAGTGCCTGAAGGTGTGATCTGAGAACAATGCTGGCATTGTTGGACAGGTTTTAGCAGCATTGAAAATAAGTACCAAAACTGCAATATCTGATAGATGACTGGGTTAAGTAAACTTGGAAGTATAAAAGGTTGGCCAGATTCTGGCACTCTCACTTTCCACCTCCAAAATCTCCATCAAGAGACTATGATTTTCTAATAATCAAAGAAATGCAAATACAAACAACAAAATACATTCCCCTACTCCACCCACACCCCCAATTACCAAAGGTTTTTAAAAATGCCAGAGACTGCCAAGAATACAAAAAATGGAAATGATTTTGCCTATAAAGTAAGCAACTATATTGCCTATCAAAGTACATACTGGACAGGCATGGTGGCTCACGCCTGTAATCCCAACACTTTGGGAGGCTGAGGTGGGTGGATCACTTGAGGTCAGGAGTTTGAGACCAGCCTGGGCAACAAGGTAAAACCCCGTCTCTACTAAAAATACAAAAATTAGCCGGGAGTGGTGGCAGGCACCTGTAATCCCAGCTACTTGGGAGGCTGAGCCAGGAGAATCATTTGAATCCGGGAGGCGGAGGTTGCAGTGAGCTGGGGTGGTGCCACTGCACTCCAGCCCAAGCAACAGGTTAGGAATTTGAGACCAGCCTAGCCAACATGGTGATACCTCATCTCTACTAAAAATACAAAAATTAGCTGGGTGTGGTAGCGGGCGCCTATAATCCCAGCTACTCAGGAGACTGAGGCAGGAGAATTGTTTGAACCCGGGAGGCAGAGGTTTCAGTGAGCCGAGATCAGGCCACTGCACTCCAGCCTGGGTGACAGAATGAGACTCTGTCTTCAAAAAAAAAAAAAAAAAAGAAAGAAAAGCAAAGAAAAGAAAATTCAGACTACCCTAGCTATACTGCAGAAGGAGATGCCAAAGCTGCCTGCCAACACATCAGGGCCCATCCTAAGCACAGAGGATACAAGCTGGATCATCCATGTCTGGTTCAGCTGTGTCAAAAAATGGGTGGGTGCTCAGAAGCTCTGGCACCAAGGGAAGCACCAGGGTTGGATGCCGACTTCCCAGAAACTTCAAGCACCTGAAACAAACAAATAAGAATGCACATCAACAAATTAGTAAAGTTAGTCCTTTGAAAAGTACTAGGAACTGGAATCAGAAAACCTGAACTGGAATTGGAAATTCTCAACCATATACTTTTGCTAACTCTATGACTTCAGATAAGTCACCCAGTTATTCTGGAACTCGGTTAATTCATCTAAAAAAACTGGTTATTATAAAGATAAAAGAACTGGTTATTTAACCAAGAGCCATTTCCCCCATCTTTCTTCCTGAGAGAGCCCTGATTTTACTCAGGTATCAGGCAGGCAGCAAAGTGCTCGGAAAAGGCAGGTCCAGCCCAAGAGCTGAACCACTATTGGTCTAAACCCATCATGGCAATCCCATTCCCATTTTCCAGTGACTGGTTTGCTGGTGGGCAAGTAAGCCAGTTCTAGACAATGGAGCACGAGAGTATGCTGGCTGGGGAGCTTCTCAGGGATGTTTTTGCAAATCAAAAGAGCAATGCATGAAAGGGAATGACCCTTCCTTTCTGTCTTGAGATATTATCTTATGAGGCAGCCATCTTACAACTATGAGAAGAAAGCCGGCCGGGTGTGGTGGCTCACGCCTATAATCCCAACACTTTGCGAGGCCGAAGTGGCTGGATCAGGAGGTCAAGAGATCAAGACCATCCTGGCCAACATGGTGAAACCCCATCTCTGCTAAAAATACAAAAATTAGCTGGGCATGGTGGCACGGGCCTGTAGTCCCAGCTACTCGGGAGGCTGAGGCAGGAGAATCACTTGAACCTGGAAGGCGGAGGTTCAGTGAGCCAATATTATGCCAATGCACTCCACCCTGGCGATAAAGAGAGACTCTGTCTCAAAAAAAAAAAAAAAAAAAAAGCCAAGAGAACTGCAGAGAAACCAAAGAGAGCCCTGGTAACCTGTTGAATGACGAATCCTGAAACCAACCTTCTGACCACTTGTTATGAAAAAACAGACTTATTGGCTAAGATATTTTTAATCAGATTGTCTTTTTTATTTGTGGGCAAAAACATTCTGATTGATATCCTGGGTGAAGTCCTGAAATCACAGATCTGTCTGAAACTAAGTAGCCTTATGCAAGTAAATTTTTTCATCTACAAAATGAGATTAAAAGTCATTACTTCATAGAGTTGCTATACGCATTAAATAACTAACATAAAGTACTTAGCAAAGTGTCTGTCACATAGTAAGAACTCAATGTTAGCTATTATAACTACATGAGGGCCCTTTATAAACTATAAGGAACTATAAAAGCAAGGTAATTATATATTTTTATTATTGTTTATGGTTTTTTTTTTTTTTTTGAGACTGAGTCTTGCTCTGCTGCCCAGGCTGGCATGCAGTGGCACAATCTCGGCTCACTGCAACCTCTGCTTCCAGGGTTCAAGCAATTCTCCTGCCTTCGCCTCCCAAGTATCTGGGATTACAGGCGTGTGCCACTAGGCCCGGCAGATTTTTGCATTTTTAGTAGAGATGAGGTTTCACCATGTTGGCCAGGGTGGTCTTGAACTCCTGACCTCAGGTGATCCACCCGCCCCAGCCTCCCAAAGTGCTGGGATTATAGGCGTGAGCCACTGCACCCAGCCAATTTAGTGCACCTTCTAAACCAGAACTTAATGAATAAAAAATAATAAGGCCAGGCACAGTGGCTCATGCCTGTAATCCCAGCACTTTGGGAGGCCGGGGCAGGGGGATCACCTGAGGTCAGGAGTTCAAGACCAGCCTAACCAACATGGTAAAACCCCATCTCTACTAAAAAAAAAAACAAAAATTAGTTGGGGTATGGTGGCATGCAACCTATAATCCCAGTTACTCGAGAGGCTGAGGCAGGAGAATCGCTTGAACCCAGGAGGCAGAAGTTGCAGTGAGCTGAGATCACGCCACTGCATTCTAGTCAGAGTGACAGAGCGAGACTCCGTCTCAAAAAAAAAAAGTAACAAAACAAAACACTATATAGGAGAAAGAGGAAATCTAATTAATTTATTTCTATACTTGTAACAGCTACCACAAGGGTTGGTGCATAGTCAGCACACAGCAGGCACATAATATTTGCTAGGTGGATAGATGCACAAATTAGTAAGTAATCTAAAATGTGATACTCAGCTTAGGAATCAGATTCCTGAGAGTTCGGTTAAGTTGAATCAGGTTTCTAAAGTAAAGGCAAAATTCAGGGCCGTACTATCCTCAATCTATAAGGACGGAACAAATGTCAGCATTATACATTTACCACATTATGGGACTCAGTGAGTAAATGGGCAAAAAAGTCATTACTTCCATATGGAGTCCCTATCAGTAGGGTACTTGGTTAAATTTTTCAGCAGCTCCACCAATGCAAGATGAATCCCTTCTTTGGTTGAAACATTAGTACAGCATAAGAGTTCATGAAGAGCCTCTCGAATATCTCTGGATGAATCCTTTTAAAAAAAAAGTAATAATAACAGTAGTTACTGTTGGTTAGCAGACTCAGCCTCTATCTACCATCCCCTTCTACCCAGCCACCTTCCCATCTAGGGTGGCCATGTAACAAAGTATGTGGAAGTTTTTTAGCTGAAATTCCTGAAATATCTTTCATTTTATTGATAAAGGACCAGAGGCAGTAGCTTTATCCCCTTTGTTCTTTAACCTTCCTTTTCCATCCTATCTGGAACTCAATCATGATGCTGAAGGTACAAGAGCCTTTTTGCAACTAGGAAAAAGGACAGGCTAAGAAGAAAGGCTAAGAGAGAGGCTGGGAATGGCCAGTTAGCAGAACACTCAGAACACACATACTTATTAAGTTTGCCATCTTATACAGGCACAGTTTGTGGCATCCCAAAACAATTACAACAGTAACATCAAAGATCACTGATCACAGATCACTGTAACAGATGTAATAATGAAAAAGTTTGAAATATTGCAAGAATTACCAAAATGTGACACAGACATAAAGTGAGCACATGCTATTGGAAAAATGGCACCGATAGACTTGCTCAATGCATGGTTGCCGCAATCTCTCAATTTATTAAAAAAACACAATATCTGCAAAGCCCAATAAAGAGAGGTATACCTGTATGTGTTAAATGGAGGAGTGAGGGAAAAAGTCAATCTATCTGAAGTGAATTTCAAGATTTCAAGAATGAGAAATATTAAAAGAGAGGCAAATCGAAATGTCACTCCTATCCATAAAATTCTGCAACAGTTTTCCATAATGTTAGAATAAAATCCAGACATCTTAAAATGGCCTACAAGGCTCTCCACCTGTCCCTAATCCCCTCTCAGACTTCATCTCATGCCACATTTCTACTTTCTCACTGTGGTTCACTCCTACTGGCTTTCTCTCTATTCTGCAAACACAACAAAGCTCACTTGTGTTTTAGAGCCTTTCCACTAGCTGTTGCCTCTACCTGAAGTTATTCTCCCAGTCTTCACATAGCTAGCTTCTGTTTATCATTCAAGACTCAACTTGAACATCATCTCCTCAGAAAGTCTTTACTAACCACTCAAATTACAGAGAAATTCCCCATTCCTCAATCATACTGTTTATCTTCTGCAAAACATTTATCACCATCTGAAATCATTTTGTTTGTTTACTCCACCTCTCTTTAGAATATAAGTTTTATGACAGCAGGGATCCTGCCTGTTTTGATATCCCTATATTTCTAATACATAGACAGTGCTTGTTGAATAAAGAAGTGAATTTTTCTAGGCAGGGTAGGATCTTGACATAGCAGGAAAAAAAAAAGGCAAATTCCAGCTGGAAGGGTCAGCAAGGTAAGGCTCAAAGCAATGAAGCCCAGTGACACAGAAAATATAAGGGAGAAGTACACAGCAGGGTGGAAGAATAGTCTACTGTAAGTTTATATTGGTCTGAACTCCTGAAAAGAATTAAAAGGCAAGGATTCTTTGTGAGTTATATACATAAGTACTCACAAATAAGCATACCTGTGAACAATTCTGTACATCAAAACATAGCTTGGAACATAGCTCAGCTACTCAGCAAACACTTACCGAGCACCTAATTGTGCCAGACACTGCTGCAAGACATTGGTAATAAAAAAATGAAGAGTCAGCCGGGCACGGTGGCTCACACCATAATCCCAGCACTTTGGGAGGCCAAGGTGGGTGGATCACTTGAGGTCAGGAGTTCGAGACCAGCCTGGCCAATATGGTGAAACACGATCTCTACTAAAAAAAAAAATATATACAAAAATTAGTATTGTGGTGCGTGCCTGTAATCCCAGCTGCTCGGGAGACTGAGGCAGGAGAATTGCTTGAACCCAGGAGGTGAAGGTTGCAGTAAGCCAAGATCGTACCACCGCACTCCACCCTGGGGAACAGAGCGAGACTCAGCCTCAAAAAAAAAAAAAAAGGAAAGGAAAGGAAAGGAAAAAGGAAAGGAAAGGAAAAGAAAAGAAAAGTCAAGACACCTTGAGGAGCTCACAGTCTTATGAAATAGAGAATTACTGAAAAATGCTACAGCAGTATACACAGGGTGCTATGGGAATAGAGTGGTGGCATTTAGCCCACCCAGTGCTGGGAGTAACAGTTAGGGAAGGCTTCCTGGATATGTTACCTAATATAGGCTGTGGGAATAAGTGGACGTCTCCTGGGTTAAAGTGGCAGTTTTGCAAACTGTGGGGGAAAATTACATTGAAGGTAAAATTGTGAGGAAAAGCAATATGTGTAGGAAAGTGACTTCAGCATAAAGTTCAAGGTGAGGAATGGTGGAAAAGAAAGCTAAAAAGGAAAGGAGTGGCTAGGCTATGTATGAGGCCACCCATGAAGAACCGCACATAGAATGTAAACTTATTTTTAGGAAAAAATACATGAAAAAATTATAAAGATTTATAATTCAGGAAAAATCTCAGTAGAAGTGCTAAGCAGCTGAGAGAATGGTAGGGACCTTCAAAACCAAAGCACCAGCTATTCTTTAAAGTACGCAGTAGAAATCTGTTACAAGTGTTCTAAAAACTAAGCACCTAATCACTATCCCTTTCACATCTGAACCCCATCTTCCCCAAAAAAGGAAACCAGAGGACAAACCCCATTTATGAATACTCTGAAGAACTTGAGTAGTTGCAATTAAAATCCAGACATTTTAGAAAAATAATACAAGAACCACCTAGAGCTGTATGGCCTGGGAAGCAACTCTCTGTTTACATTCTGGTTCAGCCACTAACTCAAACAACTTATTTTTTTCTCTATAAAATTCCCAGGGTAGAATGAATCAATCCCTAAGATCACTTGCTGCTATAACAGCCTATGATTCACTACAAGAATAAAATCAAATTAAAGGTTGAAAAGAACTCTTCATTATTTAGCCCCTACCTTATCTATAGCCACGTCCTCCACTCTTCCATCTCTTCAACTCTACACTATCATTATAATAAACTCTTTTTAGTTCCTTGAATATATCATATTCTGTCTTATCTCTGCATCTTTAGACATTGCTCCCTCTGTCTGGTACCCTTTCATCCTACCACCAGTGTCACTTCTCCTTTAAAAAAGATGCACTTCAGCCTGAGTGACAGAGTGAGACCCTGTCTCAAAAGAAGAAGGCAAAAAAAAGCCTAGTTAAGTCCTACTCCTCCTTCAAGTGTCCACTACAGCACTTCCTCCTTCTTCCCAACCTCACCTCAGCCAATTCAGGTTAGACACTATGTATTCCCTAGGCATCCTATCCTTTCTTGATCACAGAAAGACCAAGCTTATTCAAATTTCCTGTTTCACAGTCAATTTCTTCCATCTTAGGGAAGGGGTATGGTGAGAAAACAGAACTGTGCTCCCTGATATAGTGTTCTGTCACCAATGCCTAGCACAATACCTGATTTTAACAGGGGGGGGTGAGGGATGAAGAAATGAGTAACAAATTAGAAACACTCACCTCTAGCACAGCCAGGACAGTGTCAAGCTGATCTTCTCGGAGGGTGATGTTGTTAGAGATTTTTCTCATGGTATGTATAGACTGCAGACGTACTTCCTCAATTTCATCGTTGAACATGTCAACTAGGAAATCAAGGCACTTCTCAGCAAAAGAGGGTGAAGACTGGGCCAACATGCAGAGGGCCTCCACAGCAGCAATACGAACCTCTAGAAAAAAGAACAAATGAAATTGCACATCAGGCTGGGCACAGTGGCTCACGCCTGTAATCCCAGCACTTTGGGAGGCCAAGGGAGGCAGATCACTTGAGCCCGCCTATGCAATGTGGTAAAACTCTGTTTCTACCAAAAATATTAAAAAATTAGCTGGGTGTGGTAGCGTGCGCCTGTTGTCTCAGCTACTTGGGAGGCTGAGAAGGGAGGATCACTTGAACCTGGGAGGCAGAAATTACAGTTAGCCAAGGTCATGCCACTGCACTCCAGCCTGGTGACAGAATGAGACCCTATCTCAAAACAAAACACACAAAAAACAAATTAGCCAAGTGTGGTGGCACACGCCTATAGTCCCATCTACTTGGGAGGCTGAGGCAGGAAGATCACTTGTGCCCAGGAGTTTGAGCCTGCAGTGAGCCATGATCGTGCCACTACACTCCATCCTGGTGACAGAGTGGGCCCCTGTCTCAAAAAAAAAAAAAACTCCAAAAACAAAAAAACAAAAACTGCACATCAGCCAGGTGCAGTGCCATACACCAAAGTCCCAGCTACTCAGGAAGCTGAGGTGGGAGGATCATTTGAGCTCAGGAGTTCAAGGCTGGCCTGAGCAACACACTGAAGCCCCATATTTTATATATATATATAAAGTAACTCATATCAAATTAAGAGCCATGGGATAAGTCCAAGATGGATTCCTTCTCCTTCAGGCTGTCTTCTATTCTCTACTCCTCTCATTCTATAAACTCTCCCTGGGAGATCTCTATGCCCACAGTTTCACATACCACCCACCTTAACGTCGATCTAAGAACATGGACTTTAGTATCACAAGGACTATGGCTTAAATCTGACACCACATATATGTGATGAAGTCACATGTCTGTCTACATTAACTTCTTGAAAATTAAATTGTCTTACTTATCTCAGTATTCTGACCACAGTACTTTTTAAAAAGTCAGTTAGTAAATAATGTTATCATTAAGATTAAAGTAGACTAAATATCATTGTTCGAATTTTAGAGGTAAGATTCAGCAATGTGGATTCACTTGCCTCAAAGTGAATGAGGGCAGGAATAGGACCAATACTCAGGTCTGTTGATTGTAGGCTAAAATCATATAGTAGTTAAGGATACACGCTTGGAATGATAGAGGTCTCAGAGCAAACTGTAGTGAATGATCCCTCCACTAAGTTGGAGGGTGATCTTGAATAAGTAACTCAACTTCCTGGCACCTCAAATTTCTCGCCTGGTAAGTGGAGATAATACTCATTTCCTTACAGAGTTGTTAGGACTAAATGAGATAATACAGGTAAACCACATAGGGACCCTGCCTGGCATATTTTAAGGGCTCAGTAAGTATCACCTAGGGTATAGGTTTGGGTTCTGTAAAGTACCCTGAAAACAGAGGCATGTTTTCCACCCCTTGGCATGCTCAGAACATGTAAACAATAAAGCCACTGATCCGAGGAAGCCCTTTCTTGATTCACTAATAAGTGGGTCCTGAACACGTATTATATGCTAGGTGCAGTACTAAGGGCTAGGATACAAAGATGAGAAATGAGTAAGACACAGAAAATGCTCATAAGACTTCTATACATGGTTGTTTTTTTCTAGTGATTCCCATATGCTTCTGTAACAAAATGGACTATTCCAAAACAAAATAAAACAAAAAGTACCTAAAGTTGTGGTTAAAACTCACAAACACAATTTCCTCTTTGTATAAAGAAAGGTTTTATAGACATGTTAAAAGTAGAGTTACTACATTAAAGACAGATGATTCAGGTTTTTCTTGGTAGTTATGAATTCCTCCTTTTTATCAGAAGAGAACAATTTTCTTCACTTCACAATAATATAATTTAAACATGAAATTGCTAATTATAAGGCAAGCTAGAGATAAACCCAAACATGTTAAGTGCTGGCTCTTCCTCCTAGAATTTTATCCATTACACCACACTGACTCATATGTAACCTTTGCAAGTCCACCAAGGCAATCAGGAAGGAACTTCTGATCAGAAAGAGATAATCATTGTGACCTCAGCTGATACAATTCTAAGCAGAAGCAAAGAAATGTGGTATTTTACTTTGCCTGAACGGCCAGACTATAAGCAAGAAAATTGATATTTTCCACTGAACTTTTTGGAATGTTGAAGATATGTCGGCCAGGTATGTCACGCCTGTAATCCCAGCACTTTGAGAGGCCAAGGCAGGAGGATCACTTGAGCCCAGGAGTTCAACACCAGCCTGGGCAACACAGTGAGACCCCATCTCTATAAAAAAAAGTTAATTAAAAATAAATAAATAATATGTCACAGATTCCCTATGGGTACAGAGCAGAGAAAAGGAATCTACTATACTATATTTTTAAAAAGACTGATTCTCAGCATCTGCACATGTATAATTGGATCCAGACTTAGCTACCTATTAGGTTTGTACTTAGTACTAAAGATACAAAGATGAACAAAAGCAAGACTATCCCCCAGGCTTACAAACAAGAACAGTTAATTGCATTACAGAGTGATGACTGTTGCCATGGAAAAGCACAGGGAATGTAAGAAAATGCATATGAAGAAATATAGCTCAATCAATGGGATCAGAGGTGGCTTTCTGTAATATGTGATCCCTAAAAACAATAACTAAAAGAGCTGCTAAGCCAAAAGAAAGAAAAAGACCTTTCTAGAAGAAAAGCTGCATGCACAAAGTCCCAAAAAGGAGGGAGAAGATGGATAAATTAGAAGACTAGAAGTATGTGAGGCACTACACTAGAGTGAACAGCCAGTGAAATAAGGCTCCATTTCATTCCCAGCAATGCATCCCTAAAACCCAAATTTTCCCAGAACTGTATAAATGTGATAAAATTAGAAAGCTGTCATACCTGATACCTGGTTATGGTATACTCACTTTTTAAACTTAAGTTAATTTGATTACATCTTAATAACATTTGTAACACGAAGGATAAATCCTTGAGGAGATGGATACCTATTCTATATGATGTGATTATTTCATATTTCATGCCTGTATCAAAACATCTCATGTACCCCTTAAATATATATACTAGTATGGAACCAAAAAAGGGCCCACATAGCCAAGACAATTCTAAGCAAAAAGAACAAAGCTGGAGGCCTCATGCTACCTGACTTCAAACTATACTACAAGGCTACAGTAACCAAAACAGCATAGTACTGGTACCAAAACAGATATATAGACCAATGGAACAGAATAGAGGCCTCAGAAATAACACCACACATCTACAACCATCTGATCTTTCACAAACCTGACAAAAACAACCAACAGGGAAAGGATTCCCTATTTAATAAATGGTGTTAGGAAAACTGGCTAGCCATATGCAGAAAACTGAAACTGGATCCCTTCCTTACACTTTATACAAAAATTAACTCAAGATGGATTAAAGACTTAAACATAAGACCTAAAACCATAAAAACCCTAGAAGAAAATCTAGGCAATACCATTCAGGACATAGGCATGGGCAAAGACTTCATGACTTAAACACCAAAAGCAACGGCAATGAAGCCAAAACTGACAAATGGGATCTAATTAAACTAAAGAGCTTCTGCACAGCAAAAGAAACTATCATCAGAGTGAACAGGCAACCTACAGAATGGGAGAAAATTTTTGTAACCTATCCATCTGACAAAGAGCTAATATCCAGAATCTACAAGGAACTTAAACAAATTTCCAAAAAACAAAACAAAACAAAACAAAAAACCATGACCCCATCAAAAAGTGGGCAAAGGATACAAACAGACACTTCTCAAAAGAAGACATTTATGCGACCAACAAACATATTAAAAAAAGCTCATCATCACTGGTCATTAGAGAAATGCAAATCAAAACCACAATGAGATACCATCTCACACCAGTTAGAATGGCGATCATTAAAAAGTCAGGAAACAACAGATGCTGGAGAAGATGTGGAGAAACAGGAACACTTTTACACTGTTGGTGGGAGTGTAAATTAGTTCAGCCATTGTGGAAGACAGTGTAACGATTCCTCAAGGATCTAGAACCAGAAATACCATTTGACCCAGCAATCCCATTACTGGGCATATACCCAAAGCATTATAAATCATTCTACTATAAGAACACATGCACACATATGTTTATTGCAGCACTATTCACAAGTAAAGACTTGGAACCAACCCAAAGGCCCATCAATGATAGACTGGATAAAGAAAATGTGGCACATATACACCATGGAATACCACGCAGCCATAAAAAAGGATGAGTTCATGTTCTTTGCAGGGACATGGCTGAAGCTGGAAACCATCATTCTCAGCAAACTAGCACAAGAACAGAAAACCAAACACCACATGTTCTCACTCATAAGTGGGAGGTGAACAATGAGAACACATGGACACTGAAGGTGGGGGGGCATCACACACTGGGGCCTGTCAGGGGGTGGGGGGCTGGGGGAGGGATAGCATTAGGAGAAATACCTAACGTAGATGATGGGTTGACGGGTGCAGCAAACCACCATGGCACGTGTATACCTATGTAACAAACCTGCACGTTCTGCACATGTACCCCAGAACTCAAAAGTATAAAAAAAAGTATTTAAAAAATCTTAATGGCAAACTGAAAACTGTATAACTAAATCATATAAATGTTAAAAGTGGCCCTCTCCCTGTCCCTCTCCGTCCCCCTCTCCATCCCCCTCTCCCCACAGTCTCCCTCTCCCTCTCTCTCCACGGTCTCCCTCTGATGCCGAGCCCGAAGCTGGACTGTACTGCCACCATCTCGGCTCACTGCAACCTCCCTGCCTGATTGTCCTGCCTCAGCCTGCCGAGTGCCTGGGATTGCAGGCGCGCGCCGCCACGTCTGACTGGTTTTCGTATTTTTTTTGGTGGAGACGGGGTTTCGCTGTGTTGGCCGGGCTGGTCTCCAGCTCCTAACCGCCAGTGATCTGCCAGCCTCGGCCTCCTGAGGTGCTGGGATTGCAGACGGAGTCTCGCTAATTCAGTGCTCAATGTTGCCCAGGCTGGAGTGCAGTGGCGTGATCTCGGCTCGCTACAACCTCCACCTCCCAGCCGCCTGCCCTGGCCTCCCAAAGTGCCGAGATTGCAGCCTCTGCCCGGCCGCCACCCCGTCTGGGAAGTGAAGAGCGTCTCTGCCTGGCCGCCCATCATCTGGGATGTGAGGAGCCCCTCTGCCCTGCCGCCCCCTATGAGAAGTGAAGAGCCCCTCCGCCCAGCAGCCGCCCGTCTGGGAAGTGAGGAGCGTCTCCGCCCGGCAGCCGCCCCGTCCGGGAGGTGGGGGGCGCCTCTGCCCGGCCGCCCTGTCTGGGAAGTGAGGAGCCCCTCTGCCCGGCAGCCACCCCGTCTGGGAGGTGTGCCCAGCAGCTCATTGAGAGCGGGCCATGATGACAATGGCGGTTTTGTGGAGTGGAGAAGGGGGAAATGTGGGGAGGGGATGGAGGGGTCGGATTGTTGCTGTGTCTGTGTAGAGGGAAGTGGACTTAGGAGACTCCATTTTGTTCTGTACTAAGAAAAATCTTCTGCCTTGGGATGCTGTTAATCTATGACCTTACCCCCAACCCCGTGCTCTCTGAAACATGTGCTGTGTCCACTCAGGGTTAAATGGATTAAGGGCGGTGCAAGATGGGCTTTGTTAAACAGATGCTTGAAGGCAGCATGCTCTTTAAGAGTCATCACCACTCCCTAATCTCAAGTACCCAGGGACACAAACACTGCGGAAGGCCACAGGGTCCTCTGCCTAGGAAAACCAGAGACCCTTGTTCACTTGCTTATCTGCTGACCTTCCCTCCACTATTGTCCTATGACCCTGCCAAATCCCCCTCTCTGAGAAACACCCAAGAATGATCAATAAATACTAAAAAAAAAAAAAAAAAGAATGATGCAAATGCCTAGATCTGCACATTTCTAAAAGGGTGACTGCAGGGAGACAAATCCCAGAGGGAAGAGACAAACATGAGAATGTTGTTGTGTTGGAGAGGTGGGATTACGGATGTTTTCTTCTTTTCAAAATTTCCATGACTGTTGTTACATTGCCATTGAATTCAATAATAAAGAGCATTAAAACTCAAAAATAAAAAAATAAAAAAATAAAAGTGATGAAATTCAGTTGTAGAAACGAAACAAAGCAAAAATGCTAATAGAAACAAAATAGGTTTCAGTTACTCATTTTAGAGTAAAATAGGTTTTAATAACTGGACTTCCTTATTATCCAATATTATTTAAACTGTAATTCATATTTTAAGTTCACAGAGAATCAAAAAGCAGAGGTAGATTTACTTTCTATACATATGGAACATTTTAGAACAAATGATAAGATAACCCAATTCTTAACATCTACTGATGAAAAACTTTCTTTCAAAAATAATATTCTTGCCCTTCTAAGAAGTAGTTCTATCCTGAGGTATGATTTTGTAGGCACTTTTAAGACCTCGCACAGGTCTCCGGCACAAATTTACTGTAAAATGTGGACAATCAACATTACCTCACCAGGTCTGTTACCCTTGCTGATAATGAAGAGGCTGGAGTCAATCATCTCAAAGCACTGAAATTCTGAGATGTACATGAGACAGATAGCATATGGAAATCACAGGGGCTTTATAGGATGTCTATTACAAGATGGAGTAATGAGGACCAGCTTTATCCTCCAAGGATGAGACAGAGACAAAATATATGAAACAACAGCATTCCAGACACTGGGCATCTGGCAATAAAGGACTGCAATCCCTGAGAGATGGGAAATAAATGAGGTGATCTCAATGATTACAGCAATTCTGTTTAGAGAGACTCCAGGCACTAGGTCTTCTCTCCCTGAGTTGAGAAGATTGAGCTAGGAGTTTGGGAAGTCCAATGTGGCTAGAGTTCATAGAGCAAATTACTAGAAAGGAGAGAACTACACAGAGAGACAGAGAGCTTGGGAGATCTGCAGATGGTCGCCTCAAGTCTTCAGCTGAATTCTGATCTGTGAGACAGAGACCATCTGAGGCCTGGAAAAGAACCACTCAAAACAATGAGAGGAAACAATCTCCAGAGGTCACACAGGGCCTATAAAACCACAGTTAACTTAGAAGAATTTTGCAGCCAGGTGTGGTGGCTTACGTCTGTCATCCTAAAACTCTGGGAGGCCGAGGTGGCCGGATTGCTTGAGGCCAGGACTTCAAGCCTGGCCTGGGCAACATGGCAAAACCCCATCTCTACAAAAAATACAAAAATTAGCCAGGTGTGGTGGTGTCCACCTGTGGTCCTAATTACTCAGGAGGCTGAGGTGGGAAGATCATTTGAGCCCAGGAGGTCAAGGCTGCAGCGAGCCGTGACTGTACCTTGGCACTCCAGCCTGAGCAACAGAGCAAGATCCTGTCTCAAAAAAAAAAAAAAGAAAAGAAGAGGTTTTGCGCTTCAAGTAGTGCAAAAGAAGAGTTTTTTGCTTCACTAGTGGAGAAAAGTAAGCTGTAGGCTAAATGCTACTCTAATCCTGCCTAACAAAGTATAAGACCTGAAAAAATGGATCCCAGAACAAAGCTCAAAAATATTTAAAGGAATAAAATAATGTTCAGTATCCAATAAAGTGAAATCTATAATGTCTGGCATCCAATTAAAAATTATCAGACATGAAAAGACAAAGGATGGAATATATACAGGATGGAATATATACAGGATGGAATATATACAGGATGGAATATATAATACTGGAGGAAAAAAATCAATCAAAACCAACCTACGAATCACAGAAATAATAGTCCTAGTAAACAAGGATAGTAAGACAATTATAAACATATTATCTGTTGACAAAGCTAGAGGAAAGATTAAGTATGTTAAGAAAGACATGGTAGATACTAAAAAGACCCAAATTCTTTCTTCTTTTTTTTGAGACAGGGTCTTGCTCTGTCACCCAGACTGGAGTGCACTTGTGTGATCATGGCTCCCTGCAACCTCTAACTCCTGCGCTCAAGCAATCCTCCTGCCTCAGCCTCCCAAGTAGCTGGGACTAAAGGCATGCACAACCATGTCTGGCTAATTTTAAATTTTTTGTAGAGATAGGGTCTCCTTATGTGGTCCAGGATGGAAAAAACCCAAATTCTAATCAAACTTCTAGAGACAGAAACTACATGTCTGAGATGAAATATATACTAGGTGGGATTAACATCAGATTATATCTTGCAACGCTCAAAGACAAAGCAATAGATACTATCCAAAATCAAACACAAAGAGAAAATAAAAACTGGAGAAAGAAAGGAAGGAAGGAAGGAAGGAAGAATAGAGCATCAGTGAGCTGTAAAACAATGTCAGTATCCTAATGCATGCGTAATGAAAGTCGCCAAAGGGCCTGTAGAGTCAGAGAAATTAAAAAAAATAATAGTGGCTGGGTATGGTGGCTCACACCTGTAATCCCAGCACTTTGGGAGGCTGAAGCGGGCAGATAAGTTGAGCTCAGGAGTTTGAGACCAGCCTCGACAACATGGCAAAACCCCGTCTCTACTAAAAATACAGAAATTAGCCGAGAGTGGTCGCGGGCACCTGCAGTCCCAGCTACTCGGGAAGCTGAAGCATGAGAATTGTCTGAACTCAGGATGCAGAGGTTGCAGTGAGCCAAGGTCACACCACTGCACTTCAGCCTGGGCAAAACTCTGTCCCCGCCACACCCCCCGAAAAAAAAAGAGAGAGAAAGAAATAATAGCAAAAAAAAAATTTCCAACTGTGATGAAAACTATTTGATTCAAGAAGCTCAACAAACTCCAAACAAAAGAAACATGACATGAACTGTACTATACCCAGGCATATCATAATCAAATTGCTTAAAACCAGTGATAAAGAGAAATCTTAAAAGCAGCTTGAGATAAAAAGACACATTATATACAGAGGAAGATAAAAACGACAGCAGATTTCTCAACAGAAAACTATGGAGCAATATCATTAAAAGACTGGTAGAGGCCATGCACAGTGGCTCACGCCCGCAATCTCAACACTTTAGGAGGCCAAAGCAAAAGGATCACTTGAGCCCAGGAGTTAAAGACTGGCTTGGACAATATAGGGAGGCCCTGTCTCTACAAAAAATTAAAAAATTAGCCGGGCATGGTGACACGTGCTTCTGGTCCCAGCTACTCGAGAGGCTGAGGTGGGAGGATTGCTTGGGTCCAGGAAGTCAAAGCTTCAGTGAGCTGTGATCACACCACTACACTCTAGCCTGGGTGTCAGAGTGAGACCCTGTCTCAAAAAACAAAAAAGTCTCTTGGAAAAAAAAAACTTATTAATCTAGAATTGTATTCCCACAAAAATATCTTTCTGTATTTATTTATTTATTTATTTATTTATTTATTTATTTATTTTTTGAGACAGAGTTTTGCTCTGTTGCTTGCTCAGGCTGGAGTGCAGTGGCACGATCTCAGCTCACTGCAACCTCTGCCTCCTGAGTTCAAGTGATTCTTGTGTCTGAGCCTCTCTAGCAGCTGAGATTACAGGTGTATGCCACCATACCAGCTATTTTTTGTATTTTTAGTAGATCCAGGGTTTCACCATGTTAACCAGGCTGGTCTTGAACTCCTGGCCTCAAGTGATCCTCCAGCCTCAGCCTCCCAAAGTGCTGGGATTACAGGTGTGAGCCACCACGCCTGGCCCAAAAATATCTTTCAAAAATGAAGGTGAAATAAAATATTCATCAGTCATATAAAGGTTTGGCAGTCAGACATACCTAGGTTTAAATCTTGCTCTGTCTCTTATTAGCTGGGTAATATCAAGTTATTATTTTTATTAATATCAATTTTAATTACCAATTATTAAGTGCTTATTATAAATAGGCACGTGTATTATGCCAAGTGCTTTATGTATACAGAACCTCATTTAATTCTCACAACTCAGAAAGATAGTTATTATTATCCCTGTTTTATAAAAATGCTGGAATTTAAATACAGATTGACTGAACCCAAATCTCTTGCTCTTTACCATTGTCTCATACTACTGGGGCCTCAGTCTCTTCTGTGTGTAAAATAAAAAGCATAGTAAGTACTTCCCAGAGTTACTGTGAGGACTAAATGAAACGATACATGTGTATCACCCAGTATAATGCCTGACACACAGCAGTCACTTAAAGAGTGCTATTGCTATTATACAGTCATACTTACCATACATCTCATCTTCCAACCCATGAACAAAAGCTCCACAAGCTCCTGACTCAATCAAGTTCACAGCCCCGGTATCTACTTCTTCCTTGGGAGCATCATCTCCCCACTTTCTGCCACTGGAAAACTCCCCCGAACTGTAAAGTTCCTTGGCACGCTCATGTGCAGTACGTTTCCTCTGCAGAGGACAACAACAATTACCAATTGTAGGAGGTTCATGAAGGAACACTAAGATGAACCCTGAGAACATGGGAAGGCAGAAAATAAAACTGCTCTTTGAGAGTTACGTTTGTAAAAATTATCAGTAGTTCATACAAGAGAAATGCAAATTCAACTTAAAATGAAACCAAAGCCTTGCTGGTCTATAATAGCTGAAAGTACCTAATTAAAGAGGATAAAGATAGCTGAAGAATGTGTTAAGAAAGTCGGTTATGTTTGCTGTGGCAGCAACATAGGAAAGAGAGAGCCAGAGAGGCAAATAATGGCAGTGCCCCTCCAAAAGCCATCTTGGGTAGACAATACGTTGACTCTAAGAAAACAATTATCGGGCAGGGAGCAGGTGGCTCACACCTGTAATCCCAGCACTTTGGGAGGCCAAGGCAGGCTGATCACGAGGTCAGGAGATTGAGACCATCCTGGCCAACATGGTGAAACTCCATCTCTACTATAAGTACAAAAATTAGCTGGGCGTGGTGGCACATGCCTGTAGTCCCAGCTACTCGGGAGGCGGAGGTTGCAGTGAGCCGAGATCATGCCACTGCACTCCAGCCTGGCGACAGAGCGAGACTCCGCCTCAAAAAAAAAATTATCTTCAGTCCCAGTAAAAGTATTTTTCTATTTGGCAACATTGCGTTCTATTTCAGCTACAGTACAGTCACTAAATAATCTAGTAAACTCACTTTACACAGAGATTGCCTAAGGTGGAATATACTGGTTAGTGTATCCAGTCCACTTGACAGTTATGGTTCTCATCACAAATGAATGACCTGGCACTCCGTTTTATATATCAGCCTCTCATTAAACCCCATCTCTAAAAAACTACAAAAAATTAGCCGGGTGTGGTGGTACACACCTGTAGTCCCAGCTACTCAGGAGGCCGAGGTGAGAGGATCACTTGAGCCCGGGAGGCAGAGGTTGCAGTGAACCAAGATCACACCACTGCACTCCAGCCTGGGCGACAGAGCGAGACCCTGTCTCAAACAAAAAAAAAAAACAAAACAAACAAACAAACAAAAAAACCATGCACAAGAAAAAGAGCTGAGAGACATATACCAAAATCACCAAAGTCATTATATTAGGGTAGCAGGCATATGGGTAAATTGTTTTCCTTTCCCTTATCAAAAATTCTACAACTCTATAATACCACTTTTATAATTTCAAAATTGAGGTACTAACAATGAATGTACATATTATTTTCTCAGACTCAAATTTGGTTCTGCAAACCACGTTAGTGAACCATCACAATCAAAGCCTAAGGGCATTTCATAAGAGGCATTTGGGGCCGGGCACAATGGCTCACATCTGTAATCCCAGCACTTTGGGAGGCAGAGGCAAGAAGATTGCCTGGGCTCAGGAGTTCAAGACCAACATGAGGAACACAGCAAGACCTCATTTCTACTAAAGATAAAAAAAAATTAGCTGGGCATGGTGAGGTATGCCTGTAGTCCCAGCTACTCAGGAGGGTGAGGTGGGAGGAATGCTTGAGCCCAAGAGATCAAAGTTGCATTGAGTAATGATTGTGCCACTGCATTTCAGCCTGGGCAATAGAGTGAGACCCTGTTTCAAAAAAAAAGAAGAAAAAATGGCGTGGGGTTGGGGGTATTTTGTTACTGTTTGGAGAAAGGCTTTACTCAGTCTTCCATGGTAACTGCTGCTGAAAAGGAGTCCTAAAATGTCATACCATCTCACAAAATGAGAATGGGCCTTTGTAGTTCCTAACAAATAGAAAATTAATCTTTTGAGGTTTTCTGGGGTTTTTTGGTTGTTGTTTTTTGGGTTTTGTTTTTTGAGACAGAGTCCCACTCTGTTGCCTAGGCTGGAGTGCAGTGGTGCGATCTCGGCTCACTGCAACCTCTGGTCTCCAGGGTTCAAGTGATTCCCTGCCTCAGTCACCCAAGTAGCTAGGACTACAGGCGCATGCCACCACACCTAGCTAATTTTTGTTGTTTAGTTGAGACAGGGTTCATCATGTTGGCCGGGCTGGTCTCAAACTCCTGGCCACAAGTGATCCACCTGCCTCAGCCTCCCAAAGTGCTGGGATTACAGGTGTGAGCCACTGCACCTGGCTTAGAAAATTAATCTTGCCTCTTTTTTGTAAAGCATAACCTGTGCAAAGTATTTCATTACAATAATACAAAATTTAATGAAGTCACTTGTTATTTGCTTCAATTTACTAAGATTTTAAATTAAAATGTAATACAGTTATCATGTTAATTTAACAAATGCTGCTAAGTTAAATCAACACAACTCAGCATACTGCCCCACTACATTGGTTACAGAAACCCACTTTAAACAACAAAGAATAAAAGGTACCCTCAGATCTGACATCAGCTTCTTGTCAAGGGTCTGCTCCAAGAAATGAGAACTGACTTGCTCCATAGAGCCCTATAAAAAGAAAAATCCAGAGCATATAAAACAACTTTTATGATTTGAACATTATCTTAAAATTCAGAGTCTATAGACAATTTAAGTGCATAAAGATAATATTATTCATGACAGTAAAGATGCTATGGGTTCTGAATCAGCAGGAAAATAAAAATATTAGCAGCAGCTAACACCTAAATAGAGCTTAGAATGTGTCACCTACTGTGCTTTTTTTTTTTTTTTCTTTCCTGAGATGGAGTTTTGCTCTTGTCACCCAGGCTGGAGTGCAGTGGCATGATCTCAGCTCATTGCAACCTCTGCCACCCAGGTTCAAGCAATTCTCCTGCCTCAGCCTCCTGAGTAGCTGGGATTACAGGTGCCCGCCACCATGCCCGGCTAATTTTTTGTATTTGTATTTGTAATTGTAATTTTTTGTTTTTGGATTTGTAATTTTTAGTAGAGACGGGGTTTCACCACGTTGGGCAGGCTAGTCTCAAACTCCTGACCTCAGGTGATCTGCCTACCTCGGCCTCCCAAAGTGCTGGGATTACAGGCGTGAGTCACCACGCCCGGCCACTATGTGTCATGTACTATTCTAAGGGCTTTAGACGTATATTAACTCATTTAAATCCTCACTATAACCCTGAGAAGTAAATACTATATTAGTCCCATTTTATATATGGAGAAAAGACACAAAAAGATTAAATAACATATTGACGGTCACAAAGAATAAATTCCAGAGCTAGGAAATAAATCCAGGCTCCAAAATCCTTTCCCTTAACAACTACTCTCCACTCCTTTTCATTCTTCTTTCCATTCATCTGTTCATTCATTCATGCATTCAATTAAACAAATATTTAGCAACCATTCAATTATATGTCTACAGTTACCAGGAACAAGAATACAAAAATAAAAAGACAACAGCTGTACACTCAACAATCTCACAGACTAGTAAGGGAAACTGACAAGAAAAGAGATTACTGCAATATGGTATGAAATGCTGTAATACACATCTAGGAATGATGCCATGGGAACGGAGAGAACAAGCAGTATTAAGGTACAGGCAGGGAGAGGTATACGTGGAGAAATGAAAATCACAGTGCGAATGCCAAGTGGGAAATATTAAGTCGTTTTACAAATGGAACGTAAGATAGGGCTCCTGAAAATGAGGCAGTACAGATAGGATAATAAAGAGCCTTATTTGCCATAGTAAGGGGTTTGCCTTATAAATAATTATTACATAATCCCTGTTAAACATCTAATGAGCTTAACAATGTATAAAATATTTTACTTATATTTTTCCAATTTATTCTTCCCAATAATCCCATATACCTCTCATCCCCATTTTCTAGATGAGAACTGAGGCTGAGATTAGGCAACTTACTCATTTCAAGTAAGGGAGAACATAGATTTATATTTCATAAAGCCCATCTTGCAACAGTATGACTAATGGACCATAAGGAATCAAAATGAAAGCAAAAAGACTAGTTTCAGAGGCTGTTGGAGCAGGTCCTAGACATTAAGAAATTTATCTGAGATCTTCTCTAATTCCTAAGTTAATAAATGTGGAAATGCTTATACAGGCTCAGATCTTTTCTCTAATCAAATTTTTCATAGAAAATTACATGTTCCTGGGGAATGTCCTTACTCAAGTTAACACCTTTCCTATGATTCCACAAAAACAACTGCCATACTATTTTGACTAAAGTAGTTTCAAAACCACTTTTTCTTTTGTTACATAGATCTGAGCCTATGTCATATCTAACATCCATTTAAATCCAAACAACAATTTTATAAATAAGAACTATAAACGCTTAAGACCTCCTAAATCTCTCTCTAGCTTTACCACCAGCATTAGCTGTTGGCTTTTTTCTACTAGAATAAAATTTTCATGACTTCACAGTAAGTTGCTTCATCCATAATTCCCAGTGCCCTCCTCCAATGCCCTCAACTGCGCGCTCGTCCAACACAGCAGCACAGAGGGAGTGCTATGCAAATTTGTGCCCCAAAAAATTAAATATCATTACTTGAAATAAATTTTCAATGTCACCTAAGAATAGGTGAAGCTTTCCATTTTAAGTCCACAAACACAGAGTCCTATAGCATAGTAATCCACTTGAAAAATGGTGAGATGTCTATTACTGCAGGACCAGTGGAAATGGAGAAGGGATGGATTTAGGGGATGTCAAGAAGGAAGAACTGATATGAGTTGTGACTCAATGGATGTGAGACATAGAAAAACTATTCCCAAATTCCTCTGGTTCATGACTTAGCAGATGATAGCATCATTTACGAAAACATAGAGAAACAGATTTGGACCAAAAAGATAATGAGTTCATTATAAAGTGCACCTCACCAATGAGAGAAAAAGCTACATTCTGGTGTACTTTAACCAAGACAAATATGTTTAGATTAAGATGGAATCTCTCCAACTGTACTACTAGCACTACTTAACAACCTAAATTTAGGTAGTTAATGCTATGAAAACCTTACTTAACACTGAGAAAACCATTTCACTTGAGAGCCTTATTAAATGTATGTGAAATTTAGATACAAGATATTTAACAATTATCACACCTGCTTTAAGAACAAAAACTGCTCAACTGGTGTAAATAACATAAGTCTATGCAACTAGGTGATAAGTACATCAGACATAAAACTGCCACTAACTAGGAATATCTGCATTTACCCTGGGAAAGACCAGTCATGGGCAGACTTACAGGCATAAAAGTCTATAACCTAACAGTCTGAAAATGTTGTAATTTTTAAGGTCAATGACTTCTTAAGGCTTATAAAAGTAGTGACTGTATTCTAAATAGTCCCATGAATCTCCTTACTGGGACCTCAAGTTTCTTTGCCCCACAAATAGGGCAGTTATAAATAAGTAAAAGCTAACCTCTTTTACATGGTTTTGAATTTTCTGATGTAACACATATCAGAAAATTTTTCATACTGCTATAAGCCAAAGGGATTGGAAACTATTCACTTTTTAAGCAAGATAGACTCGAGGCTACAAAGCTAAGTTGCTGCAGAACCTGGCTTCTGTTTTCCTCTCCAACTTACCTCGTTACAGATCCCCTATATTGAACATTACCCCCGCAACTAGAAAGCACTAAACTGCTTGTAGTTTAGTATGATATTGCAGCTTAGTATATTGCTATGCATGATAATGTACTGCTTTTATATCCCTGCTCATATTTTCTCTTTCTCTGCATCGCTACCTAGTTACTCATCCTTCAAAACTCAGTTCAGAGATCAGCTCCTCCAAGAAGCCTTCTGTGGTTGTGGTTGGTGCTCTTTCCTACCAGTACCAGGTATTATTATTCACTGATTAGCTATCCCTGGCTACCTGACTATCAACTTCGTTGAAGACAGAAACTGTCCTCGATGTTTGTCGATTTGCTGAACAGGTGATTTAAAGATTATACAGGTTCAACATCCCAATTCCAAAAATCTGAAATCCAAAATGCTCCAAAATCCAAAACTTTTTGAGTACCAACATGATGCTCAAAGGAAATGTTCACTGGAGCACTTCACATTTTGGATTTTGGAGCATATTTCAGATTTGGGATGCCCAACAAGTAAGTATAATACAAATAAACTATTCCAAAATCCAAAAGCAAAACAAAACAAAACAAAATCCAAAACACTTCTGGTCTCAAGCATTTTGGATAGGGGATACTCAATCTGTATGAAGATTTGTTTAAAAAAAAATGGCTCACCAGAGTTACCTGGCACATATCACCCACAACAAAAAGGGACCAAAATAACAAATAACTATATTTCAACTAAAATGACTGTAGATATATGCTGCAGAGCACCAGAGAAAGGGCAAAATCCCTGTGGAGCATGGAAGCCTCAGGATAGCACCACAGGGAAGGGAGTGAGGTTTCCTACCTGCCACACTGTCTCCCTTGCCAAAATCAGCTTAAAATCAGAGGAAATTCTTACAGGGAAAAAGTAAGCTAGAGATACCTATCAGTGGTCCCCACTGCTGCCACAGGCACCAGCAATTCTTGATAAAGGAGAGTCCTTAAGTCCTCAGTGGCCACAAATCCAGTCTGGAGAGTAGCCAAGAGATCATTCAGCTGTACTGCCTCAGAGTGGGAGCCCACCTTGTCCTAAGCTGCTGTAGCATGGCACCAAGTTGAAGCTAGACTCACTACTAGTGTGCATCCTGCCCTGGGGACCAGTAGCAACTGACTCTCTTCATCCTTGAGAACCCGCCATCATTCTACCATGATCACATGATGGCCTGCAGCACCATAACCCCATCCACATAGAGTCTAGGTCAAACAGAGTGACGATGATCTCAGCATCAGACCCCACATAGCGCTACCAACCATCCAGAAAACAGGCAGACATGCACAGCAAGGAAGCCATCAAATAGACAGCTGGCAGCGCTTTACCCAACACCCCTGTTCCATACAACCATCTGGGCTGCCAAGTATGCACACGCCAGTACTCAGCCAAAAAGCCAATCCTGCGGCAGCCCCACTCCCTCACAACCCATCACAGAACCACCTGCCCACGCCCTGCCTGACAGCTGGTAATTCAGTGGTCCTGTCCCCTAAAACTGGCCACGATAGAGTCCCAGAGTCCCACAGTCCCACAGCACACAGTCCAACTGGTCCTGTGGTAGCCCTGGCCCCCTACCATAGACTGCTGCCAAACTGCCCAGCCCCACTGCACAAAAGCATTTGAGCCTAGCCCAAAGCAACAGCCAACCAGGCAGTAGCCCCATTTCCCTACATAGCCACAGAGCTGCCCAGCAGGCCACCGCGGCAAAGGCCTGAGCCCAGCACGACAGCCACCACAGCAGCAACTACTGCCTCCCTGGAAAACCAGATAGACAGCCTGGCAGCCATTTTAGCCTGTACATGTCTTGGCCAGAAATCAGCTCAGTACCCTCATCTACAGCATTGCCATCACAAACTCCCACAGCCTAGGCAACTGAGGCAATTGCAAACATCAATGACTAGGATTATAGCTGAAGATTACAGCTGAAGCTGACAAGGATTATTACACCACCCACTGAGTCCACCCAGAACCAAAGGCAACACACCATACCCAACTAATACCCTAAAACCATCTACAGAAAAAGACTGTTACTATATACTAGCTACTCAATAAAATTGAAAAGAGCAACTACTCTACTAAATGCACAGATATCAACATCCAGTATCTTACACACGATAAATGAAAATCAAGGAAACATGACACCCTCAAAGGAATACAGTAAGTCTCCTGGCTGGGGGCAGTGGCTCACATCTGTAATCCCAGCACTTCGGGAGGCCAAGACAGCCAGAAAGCATGAACTCAGGAGTTCAAGACCATTCTGGGCAACATGGCAAAACCCGTCTCTACAAAATATAAAAAAATTAGTCGGGTGTGGTGGCATGCGCCTGTAGTCCTAGCTACTCAGCAGGCTGAGGTGGGAGGATCACTTAAACCCAGGAGGAGAAGGTTGCAGTGAGCTGAGATCATGCCACTGCACTTCGGCCTGGGTGACAGAGCAAGACCCTGTCTCAAAAAAAAAAAAAAGGAAAAAAGTCTCCAATGACAGACATTAAAGAAAAGGACACTTACAAAATGCCTGAAAAGGAATTCAAAATAGTGATCTAAAGGAAACTCAGTAAGATACAAGAGAATACAGACAAACAATTAAATGAAATCAGGAAAACATTCATGATCCGAATGAGAAATTCAACAGAAATCAATATCATAAAAAAGAACCAAACAGAAATCTTGGAACTGAAGAATTTAATGAAAAAAATAAAAATAGTATACAATTGAGAGCTTCAACAATAGACTAGGATCAAGCAGAAGAAAGAATTTCTGACCTTGAAGACAGGTCTTTCGAAATAACCCATTAAGAGGAAAAAAAAAAAACAAGTAAGAATAAAAAAGAAAGCCTTGGAACATATGGGACATCAACAGGCAAACAAATACTTGCATTGAAGATTGCCTGATGGAGAAGAGAAAGAGAAAGGCACAGAAAACCCATTTGATGAAATGATAGCTGAAAACTTGCCAAGTAGTGGGAGAAATACGGACATCCAGATTCAGGAAGTTCAAAGGTTCACAATTACATTCAACCCAAAAAGATCCTCTCCAAGGTACATTATAATCAAACTATCGAAAGTCAAAGAGTAAGACTTTCAAAGCTGCAAGACAAAATTGTCAAGAGAATCTCCATTACTATCAACAGATTTCTCAGCAGAAACCTCGCAGACCAAGAGAGAATGGGATAGAATTAATATATTCAAGGTATTGAATGCTACAGCTAGAAACAAAAGGACAATAATCACTATCATAAAAACACACAAAAGTATAAAACTCACCAGTAAAGGCAAACTCATAAATCAAACAGATCAAACCCCAGTGATACAATATGTCATATAAAATTTTCAATCTGCTAGTATGAAGGTTAAATTCAAAATGGTCAAAAACTACAACAGCTACAAATAGTAGCTAAGGAACACATAACAGATGAAGAAGAAAATTAAGGCAACAAAAATATAAATTGAAGTGGGGAGGGAAAAAATCTAGGGTCCTTTTATGTAACCAAAGTTGAGTTGCTATCAGCTTAAAACATTCTATTGTAACTGCAAGACTTTTTTTTTCCCCCTTGAGACAGTCTTACTCTGATGCCCATGCTAGAGCATAGTGGCCTGATCACGGCTCACTGCAGCCTCAATCTTCCAGGCTCAAGTGATCCTCCCACCTCAGCCTCCTGGGTAGCTGAGACTACAGATGTGTGCCACCATGCCCAGCTGATTTCTTTTTTCTTTATTTAGTAGAAACGAGGTCTCACTATGTTGCCCAGGCTGGTCTCAAACTCATGAGCTCAAGTGATCTGCCTGCCTCAGCCTCCCAAAGTGCTGGGATAATAGGCAAGAGCCACCACACCAGCCTAACTGAAGACTCTGTAGTAACTATGTAGAAAAAAGTTACAGCAGATACACAAACAAGAAAGAGAATGAAAATAAAGCGTGGCCCCACAGAAAACCACTAAATCAGAGGTAAACAACAAGAAAGGAAGACAAGAACAAAGGATCTCCAAAATTACTTTTTGGTAATTAACAAAATGGCAGGAATAAGATCTTATCTATCAATAACAATCTTGAATATAGCTGGGCGCGGTGGCTTATGCCTGTAATCCCAGCACCTTGGGAGGCCAAGGCAGGCGAATCACTTGAGGCCAGGAGTTTGAGACCAGCATGGCCAACATGTCAAAACCCGTCTCTAATAAAAATGCAAAAAAATTAGTTGGGCATGGTGGCACATGCCTGTAATCCCGGTACTGGGGAGGTTGGGGCACGAGAACCACTTGAACCCAGGAGGTGAAGGTTGCAGTGAGTTGAGATCACACCAGTGCATTCCAGCCTAGGTGACGGAGTGAGACCCTGTCTCAAAGAAACAAAAAAAAAAAAACAAAAAAAAAAAAGAAGAAGAAGAAGAAGGAAAAAATCTTGAATATAAATGGATTAAGTTCTTCAATTAAAAGGTACACTACAGCCTGGGCAACAGAGAGACAGACACCCTGTCTCAAAGAAAGAAAAAAAAAAAAAGGTATACATTGGTTGAATAGATTAAAACACAAAATCTAAGTATACATTGCCTAGAAGAAACACACTTCACAAGCAAGAATTAAAACATATACCAAAACCTACGGTATGCAACAAAAGCAGTTCTAAGAGATAAGTGTACAGCAATAAATGACTACATCAAAAAAGAAGAACAATCTGGTTTTTAGTTTTTTTTAGCGACAGTTTCGCTGTTATCCAGGCTGGAGTCCCCAGGAGTTTGAGGTTGCTGTGAGCTATGACTGTGCAATCGCGGAACCGCACTCCAGCCTAGGCAACAGAGCAAGACCCTGACTTAAAGAAGAAAATAAAAAAAGAATAAAATCTTGTCATTTGCCACATCGATAAACCTGGAGGACATCATGTAAAGTGAAATAAGCCAGACATGGAAAGGCAAATATTGCATGATCTAAGACTTAAACATAAGACCTAAAACCATAAAAACCCTAGAAGAAAACCTAGGCAATACCATTCAGGACATAGGCATGGGCAAAGACTTCATGACTAAAACACCAAAAGCAATGGCAACGAAGCCAAAATTGAGAAATGGGATCTAATTAAACTAAAGAGCTTCTGCACAGCAAAAGAAACTATCATCAGAGTGAACAAGCAACCTACAGAATGGGAGAAAATTTTTGCAATCTATCCATCTGCCAAAGAGCTAATATCCAGAATCTACAAAGAACTTAAACAAATTTACAAAAAAAAAAAAAAAAACCATCAAAAAGTGGGTGAAGGATATGAACAGACACTTCTCAAAAGAAGACATTTATGTGACCAACAAACATATGAAAGAAAGCTCATCATCACTGGTCATTAGAGAAATGCAAATCAAAACCACAATGAGATACCATCTCACACCAGTTAGAATGGCAATCATTAAAAAGTCAGAAAACAACAGGTGCTGGAGAGGATGTGGAGAAACAGGAACACTTTCACACTGTTGGTGGGAGTGTAAATTAGTTCAGCCATTGTGGAAGACAGCATGGCGATTCCTCAAGGATCTAGAACCAGAAATACCATTTGACCCAGCAATCCCATTACTGGGTATATACCCAAAGGATTATAAATCATTCTACTATAAAAACACATGCACACGTATGTTTATTGCAGCACTGTTCACAACAGTAAAGACTTAGAACCAACCCAAAGGCCCATCAATGATAGACTGGACAAAGAAAATGTGGCGCATATACACCATGGAATACCATGCAGCCACAAAAAAGGATGAGTTCATGTTCTGTGCAGGGACATGGATGAAGCTGGAAACCATCATTCTCAGCAAACTAACACAAGAACAGAAAACCAAATACCGCATGTTCTCACTCATAAGTGAGAGTTGAACAATGTGAACACATGGACACAAGGAGGGAAACATCACACACCAGGGACTGTCAGAGGGTGGGGGCTGGGGGAGGGACAGCATTAGGAGAAATACCTAATGTAGATGATAGGTTGACGGGTGCAGCAAACTACCATGGCACATGTATACCTATGTCACAAACCTGCATGTTCTGCACATGTATCCCAGAACTTAAAGTATTAAAAAAAAAATTGATATCATAGAGGCAGAGAGTATAACAGTGGTTAGCAGACACTGGGGAGGGGAGGGAGTAGGAGAGAATGGGAAGAGACTGGACAACAGATACAAAGTCACAATGAAGAGAAATAAATTCTGGTGTTCAACTGCACATAAAGGTGACTATGATTAACAGTAAAATATTGTATATTACAAAATATACAATATTATAGCTGCAAGAGAGGCTGTTGAAAGTTCATGACAAAGAAATGATAAATGTATGAGGTGATAACTATACTAACTATCCTGATTGGATTAATATTCAACATAGATGTGTATCAAAACATCAACTTGTGCCCCATATATACAATGTGTCAATTTTTGTTTGTTTGTTTTATTATACTTTAAGTTTTAGGGTACATGTGCACAACGTGCAGGTTAGTTACATATGTACACATATGCCATGTTGGTGTGCTGTACCCATCAACTGGTCATTTAACATTAGGTATATCTCCTAATGCTATCCCTCCCCCCTCCCCCCACCCCACAACAGGCCCTGGTGTGTGATGTTCCCCTTCCTGTGTCCATGTGTTCTCATTGTTCAATTCCCACCTATGAGTGAGAACAGGCGGTGTTTGGATTTTTTGTCCTTGTGATAGTTTGCTGAGAATGATGGTTTCCAGCTTCATCCATGTCCCTACAAAGGACATGAACTCATCATTTTTTATGGCTGCATAGGATTCCATGGTGTATATGTGCCACATTTTCTTAATCCAGTCTGTCATTGTTGGACATCTGGCTTGGTTCCAAGTCTTTGCTATTGTGAATAGTGCCACAATAAACATACATGTGCTTGTGTCTTTATAGCAGCGTGATTTATAATCCTTTGGGTATAGACCCAGTAATGGGATTGCTGGGTCAAATGGTATTTCTAGTTCAAGATCCCTGAGGAATCGCTACAGGTACCAAAAGAGAGAGATAGACCAATGGAACAGAACAGAACCCTCAGAAATAATGCCGCATATCTACAACCATCTGATCTTTGACAAATCTGACAAAAACAAGAAATGGGGAAAGGATTCTCTATTTAATAAATGGTGCTGGGAAAACTGGCTAGCCATATGTAGAAAGCTGAAACTGGATCCCTTCCTTACACCTTATACAAAAATTAATTCAAGATGGATTAAAGACTTAAATGTTAGACCTAAAACCATAAAAATCCTAGAAGAAAACCTAGGCAATACCATTCAGGACCCAGGCATGGGCAAGGACTTCATGTCAAAAACACCAAAAGCAATGGTAACAAAAGCCAAAATTGACAAATGGGATCTAATTAAACTAAAGAGCTTGTGCACAGCAAAAGAAACTACCATCAGAGTGAACAGGCAACCTACAGAATGGGAGAAAATTTTTGCAATCTACTCATCCGACAAAGGGCTAATATCCCGAATCTACAATGAACTCAAACAAATCTACAAGAAAAAAACAAACAGCCCCATCAAAAAGTGGGCGAAGGATATGAGCAGACACTTCTCAAAAGAAGACATTTATGCAGCCAAAAGACACAGGAAAAAATGCTCATCATCACTGGCCATCAGAGAAATGCAAATCAAAACCATAATGAGATACCATCTCACACCAGTTAGAATGGCAATCATTAAAAAGTCAGGAAACAACAGGTGCTGGAGAGGATGTGGAGAAATAGGAACACTTTTACACTGTTGGTGGGACTGTAAACTAGTTCAACCAATGTGTCAATTTTTTAAAATTAATTAATTTTTAATGAAAGATTGTACACAAATCACTTGATCACAGGTTTATCTACTGGAGAGCTGGAGTAGAGCAGCTTTACCTCTTAGCTTGCACAGAGATACTAATAAAGCAGCAGGGCCTTAACTGGCCAATCCCAATGTGTAACTGGATACTCACCAGGAAAGGATTATACGTGGGCTTTAGATTATGAAGTTTGAAGTCCTCATCTGTCATTTACTATCTGTGTGGTCTCAGACAAATTATACCACATTCCTAAATTTTAATTTTGTTATTTATAAGTAATACATTTACCTCAGAGAGTTTAAAAAGATTAAAAGTTACTTGCAAAAGTATGCAAATGAGTTAGGCATGTGTGCTTGTATATAAAGAAGTGGGTTAATAGTTATGTGTGAATATGTGTGTATTTATGTGTGTATGTATGACTAAAAATGCCTCATTTAGTAGGCCAGGAACTCTATACATAGTAGTAATTATTATTATCAGCAAGATAAGAATGATTATTTTTTCTGAATACAAACATAATTACTTATATAATTTGAAGCTGTTCAGATTTAACATGAAATTGTAACACAAGGCATGTGACTCAAGTTAGAGTCATTCAAGTAGAAATTTCAATGTACCATATGTTATACATACAACTTTATGCAAATAAATTTCAGATCCTATAGAGTACAAAACTGAAAATTTTGAATGATTCTTACTTTAAGGATTACTTTTTAAAACTGCCTATTCAGGTAAAGATATATCATTAATTTACTCCTCTAAAACATCTTTCTCCTCCCCACTCCCACCTAGAGTTCATTGTAGATCCTCTGTAAATGCCGAATGAAAGGATCTGATGAATGATTAGACTGTTCTGAATTTTAAAACATTCATAACCCAAAAGAAAGTTTTAAAATATGAATTCAGAAATAAAATCAGTAACAGCTGGCTTGTTTAACTCTACTATGCACAAGAGTGGAAATACTCCAATCATCCATTACTATATCTCATGAAAGCGCTTCACACAGGTTTCAGCAAATACTCCCATAAATACTGGTCACAGGACTAAAGCTATCACCGGATCAGTGTCCAGTACAGTCAGAAACAAAGCATTCAGCCAACAATCTCACCAAGAGTGGCAGGGCTGGGGGCACTCAAAGGGGAAGTGTCCAAAAAGAATCACAGATTTTCCTGCTGTGACACGTATACAAATTTTTATAGATACTTACACACACATATATTTATATACTATGCCCCCACCCACCCTACATAGTATAGTACTTTTTAGTTTATAAACATTTTCATAGACTGTATCTCATTTGAGCATCATGACAACACTGTCAGGTAAATATGAGAGATATTAGAACCCCACTTAACAGATGAGGAAACTGAGACTAATATCAAGTGACATATACAAGGTAACACAGATATAAAATAAGGGTATTAGGCCAACACTCTATTACAAAACAATTTTATCCCTTAAAAGTTAAACAATTTTTTTTTTTTTTGAGACAGGGTCTCGCTCTTTTGCACAGGCTGGAGTGCAATGGCACAATCTCGGCTCACTGCAACCCCTGCCTCCCAGGTTCAAGTGATCCTCCCACCTCAGCCTCCAGAATAGCTGGGACTACAGGTGTGTGTCATCACACCAGGCTAGTTTTTGTATTTTTAGTAGAGATGGGGTTTCACCATGTTGGCCAGGCTGGTCTCGAACTCCTGACCTCAAGTGATTTGCCCGCTTCGGCCTCCCAAAGTGCTGGGATTATAGGTGTGAGCCACTGCACCTCTGCCTCCCGGGTAACCTCTGCCTCCCGGGTTCAAGCGATTCTCCTGTCTCAGCTTCCCAAGTAGCTAGGACTAGAGGCGTGTGCCACCATGCCCAGCTAATTTTTGTATTTTTAGTAGAGACGGGGTTTCACCATGTTGGCCAGGATGGTCTCGATCTCTTGACCTCGTGATCCGCCCGCCTTGGCCTCCCAAAGTGCTGGGATTATAGGCGTGAGCCACAAAAGTTAAAAATTTTCAATAAATGTGCTGAGTCCTCAAAAAGAAAACAGAAAAGTACCAAGCTAAAAGATGCAAGATCAGGATCTGACCTCACTCTACAATTTTCTGTCTGTATAAGCTGGATAACTTACTTAACTCCTCAGAGCCTCAGTTTTCTCATCTAGAAAATGATAACAGCATTTTAAAAAAAAAATTTTTTTTTAATTTTTTAAAATTTTATTTTTTGAAAAATAGAGATGGGGTCTTGCTGTGTTGCCCAGGCTGGTCTTGAACTCCTGGGCTCAAATGACCTGCCCACCTCAGCCTCCTAAAGTGCTAGGATTATGGGCATGAGCCACCATGCCCCAACTGGATAATGGCATCTATCCTGCAGGGTTACTGTAAAGAGAAAATGAGAAAATATATGTAAGGGGCCTCCTTCAAATTATCTAAGATAGTGGTCCCCCACCTTTTTGGCATCCGGGTTCAGTTTCATGGAAGAAACCAGAAAGAGTGGTGAAGCAGGGTAATTTTAGGATGAAACTGTTCCACCTCAGATCATCAGGAATTAGACTCTCACAAGGAGGATGAAACCTAGATCCCGCACATGCTCAGTTCACAATAGGGTTCACACTCCTATGATAATCTAATGCAGCTGCTGATCTGACAGCAGGCAGAGCTCAGGCAGTAATACTTGCTCATCTACCACTCACCTCCTGTTGTGTGGCCTGGTTCCTAACAAGCCATGGACCAGGACTGGTCCACAGCCTGGGGGTTTGAGCCTCCTGAACTAGGACATAACAAGTGCTTAATAAATGGGAAAAACTTTTTTTTTATTGTTTTCCTTTTTCTCTAGGCTCCGGCTATCTTAATTCCTAGTAGGGTTAATAGAATTATGTTTTAAGATTCTTTCTAGTTCTAAAAGGCTATTTCTCTACAGGAGAGTGAACTATTTCTTTCTATATTAAGAAATTCTGGGGCTGGGAGTAGTGGCTTAAACCTGTAATCCCAACAATTTGGGAGGCCAAGGCAGAAGGATCACTTGAGCCTAGGAATTCAAGACCAGCCTGGGCACAAAGCAAGACCCCATGTCTACAAAAAATACAAATTAGCTAGGCAGGGTGGCACATGCCTGTAGTCCCAGCTACTCAGGAGGCTGAGGTGGAAGGATTGCTTGAGCCCGGCAGGTCAAGGCTGCAGTGAGCCGTGACTGCACTATTGCACTCCTGCCTGAGCAACAGAGGAAGACCCTGTCTCAAGAAAAGAAAAAGGAAAATAAATTCTGGGGTTTTAAATTCAGGTCACACTGCCCCATCTGTAGTTTCTCAAAATGTCTGTAAAAACTTAATGAGAAATGTGCTCATTTAAAAAAAGGATTATTGGCTGGGTGTAGTGGCTCACATCTATAATCCCAGCCTTTTTTTTTTTTTTTTGAGATGAGAGTCTCCCCCTTGTCGCCAGGCTGGAGTGCAGCAGCGTGATCTTGGCTCACTGCAACTTCTGCCTCCCAGGTTCAAGCGATTCTCCTGCCTCAGCCTCCCGAGTAGCTGGGATTACAGGCGTGCGCCACCATGCCCAGCTAATTTTTGTATTTTTAGTAGAGACGGGATTTCACCATGTTGGCCAGGATGGTCTCAATCTCCTGACCTCGTGATCCGCCTGCCTTGGCCTCCCAAAGTGCTGGAATTACAGGTGTGAGTCACCGCACCCAGCCTATAATCCCAGTCTTTTGGGAGGCTGAGGCAGGAGGACTGCTTGAGGCCAAGAGTTTGAGACCAACCTGGGCCACACAGTCCTCATTTCTACAGAAAAGAAAATAAATATATACATGCATACATACATACATAAAAAGTATAACTTACCAACAGTTTTGCTGCCTGAACACGAACCACCCAAGAGCCATCACTGACCATGTGACAAATTTTGCCAAACGCATCATCAACTAAGCGTATTTCTTCATTAGAAGAAGGAATTGGGACAATGCTAAATTAAAAGAAAAGAAATGAAATCACTTAGAACAAAACATGAACCTAAGTCTGCAGGCTCAGGCCAGGCACAGTGGCTCACATCTATAATCCCAACACTTTGGGAGGCCCAGGCAGGTAGATTGCTTGAGCCCAAGAGTTCAAGACCAACCTGAGCAATATGGCAAAACCTCATCTCTACAAAAAAAATACAAAAATTAGCTAGGCGTGGTGGCATGCGCTGATAGTCCCAGCTACTTGGGAGGCTGAAGTGGGAAGATTACTTTAGCTCTGGAGGTGAAGGTTGCAGTGAGCTGAGATCACACCACGGCACTCCAGCCTGGATGACACAGCAAGACCCTGTCTTGAAAAATAAATACAGTCTGGGCGCAATGGCTCACGCCTGTAATGCCAGCACTTTGGGAGGCTGAGGCAGGTGGATAACTTGAGGTCAAGAGTTCGAGACCAGCCTGGCCAACATGGCGAAACCTCCTCTCTACTAAAAATATAAAAATTAGCCAGGCATGGTGACACATGTCTGCAATTCCAGCTACTCAGGAGGCTGAGGCAGGAGAATCGCTTGAACCTGGAATGTGGAGGTTGCAGTGATCCAAGATAGTGCCACTACACTCCAGCCTGGGCAACAGAGCGAGACTCCATCTCAAAAAATAATAATAATAATAATAATAATAATAATAATAATAATAATAATAATAAACAAATAAATACATAAGTAAGTAAGGCTGCAGGCTCAATAAACTGAGAACAGTCAATGAAGACTGACACACACAAAAATGATAATTGAATAGTTCAAATCCTAGAATGATTAAATACAGTTTGGAATAAACAAATCACTCTGGGAGTACAAACCAACTCTTTCAGTTGCATTGCAAATTATGCTTTTTTTTGAGACAGGGTCTCACTTCTGTCGCCCAGGCTGGAGTGCAGTGGCGTGAGCACTGCTCACCACAGTGTCAACTTCCTGGGCTCAGGTGATCCTCCCAGTTCACCCTCCTGAGTAGCCGGGACTACAAAAGCATGCCACCACACCCAGCTAATTTTTTATATTTTTAGTAGAGATGGTTCACCATGTTGCCCAGGCTGATCTCAAACTCCTGAGATCAAGCAATCCACCCGCCTCAGCCTCCCAAAGTGCTAGGATTACAGGGCTGAGTCACTGCAACCAGGTGCAAATTTTCAATGTATTGAATAAAAGTGTGTAACCCACCAAAGGTTCAGCCAGGCGTGTAATCCCAGCACACTGAGATACTGAGGCGGGCAGATTACCTGAAGCCAGGGGTTCAAGACCAGCCTACCCAACATGGCAAAACCTCATCTCTACTAAAAGTACAAAAAATGAGCTGGGTGTGGTGGTGCGCGACTGTAATTCCAGCTACTTGGGAGGCTCAGGCATGAGAATTGCTTCAACCCAGGAGTTGGAGGTTGTAGTAAGCCGAGATCACATCACTGCACTGCAGCCTGGGCCACAGAGCAAGACCCTGCCTTAAAAAAAAAAGTACGTAACCCACCAAAGGTTCAAAGATTTATGAAATTATCAAAAACTAGCTTCCACCGAATATTTCATATCCTTAAGTTTATTATCTTCTGTAACTGAACTTCTTTTTTTTTTTTTTTTTTTTTGAGAGAAAGTGTCTTGCTCTGTGACCCAGGCTGGAGTGCAGTGGTGTGATCTCAGCTCACCACAATCTCCACTTCCCAGGTTCAAGCGATTCTCCTGCCTCAGCCTCCCTAGTAGCTGGGATTACAGGCGTGTGCCACCATGTCCGGCTAATTTTTGTATTTTTAGTAGAGACGAGGTTTCACCATGTTGACCAAGCTGGTCTTGAACTCCTGACCTGAGGTGATCCGCCCACCTCGGCCTCCGAAAGTGCTGGGATTACAGGCACCACCGTGTCCAGACTGAACTTCTATAAATACAGTAAATCTCAGAATAAATCAATATAAAACTTACTTATCAATCCAGTCCTAAAAGAAGACACAATTTCCAGTTAGCCCTTTTCTTTGTATGTGTCTAAGTCCTAAAACACTACAAATGGAGCCTACTCCTACAGGTTTATTAATTCATTCTGGTTTTCAAATTCTGGCAGTTTAATGAACAGGAAAAAACACCCCTTTTTCCTATACAAGGAAAAATAAAATATTCTATAAATATTTATAAATAAAAGATAAATAAACATTTATAAATATAATATTCTATCTTACAAAATATAATAAATAATATTGCCTACCTCCTCAAAGAATCACTGTGGTTAATTTAATTGCTGTGAAAATATTTTTAACCAGGAAAACTACATAAGAGATCATTATTCTCAAACTCATCTGGTATCTTTATCTGGCATTTGGCACAAGCCAAACTAAAATGGGTCCCAAACAATTTTAAAGATTTTTTTGTAAAGTACTGAAAACCATTTAAGAAAGATATTCCAATTTCTTCACTTATGGATGAGAAGGTTAGGATAAAAGAAGTGAAGTATCTTTCCAAAGTGTACAGAAAGTTCCTATCAGAGATGAAAAATGAGGACCAGGCAATCTGATTTTCAGGGCCTGTGCTTTTCCCTTATTCCCCATTGCCTTCCAAAAATGTAACCAACATTTCTTTTCTAGAAGTGGGCTTTTTGCATGGTGAGAGGAGAGGAAAACGGCTTCACAATCAACAAAAGCCAGCTTACACCCACACTGACCTTTCAGGATAGAGCTGACTGACGACCCAGATAAGCTGGACTGCAGCACTGCGCACTTGTTCATAGTCATCAGAGAGTAATTTACAGGCCTGCAAAGAAGAATTCCAAAAGTCTATTAGTTCTGTGTCCTCTCAGGCAATGTTTAAACTATTTTCAAAGTGAAGATAGGGTGGTTGGATAAGGATGCCCAGTAAAACACTTGTGTGTGGTTTTAACTTCTGGAATCTTTGCTTAAAAATGAATCTTGACCTCTGTCAGCTGCTCTGGCTGTATTCTGACTATGCACCCTACCCCATGTCTGAAAGGAGAATCACAGACTGACAGCATAAAAACATCTAGAACAGATCAAACCCAGCAAAGCATGCTGGGAGCAAACAGTACTGTTCTCACAGGTTCAAACACCAATTATGGCTTTTTCCTCCCCCTGTAAAAATCAAAGCACACACTTCTGTTTACCTTGGTCTGAAATCACTGGCCTCTGTTTCAATCCACTCACTCTTTCTGGGTAGCCCCATACTCCCTAAATACTGATGGCTTTGAATACCTACCCTTAGCTCTGATTTCTCCTGATCTCCAGGCCTTTATAACTACTTATGGCTGGAATTCTCTTCATGGATGTCCCATCAAACTTTTATACTCAACACACGCAAACCTGAACTCATTAAGGAAGCAAATTCTACCTTATATCTTAAATTCTACACTATCAGTCCATCCTCACTCCCTTGATGCTGTCATTACTGCTTGCCTAGATTACTAACAGAGTCTTACGCCACCAAACATCTGAATCAGCCAACTAACTTCCCTTCCTCTGAGTCCTTACGATCCAAGTTTCCTTTGAATTATTTGGCTTCCCACATAGTTTTCTTATAGAAAAAGAAGGCGATGGTCACACCACCACAAGCATTCTGGACCCATTCTACTTCATTCAATAGAGGAATAAACTTGGTTTACACATCTGTGATGGGGCTTGGCTAATTATCTTCTTCCCATGAGAGATAAAACCACTCTTGGCAGGCTAACAAAACCTAATCTCTGAACGTGGATTTAGATTCCTTTTACCAGATTCAGTCAATTATCCTCCAAGAGAAATACAGCCTCATAAGGCCTTTTGGTTGGCCATCAATCAGCTTTTCCACAACTTCATTATACCTTTCTTTACCACTACTACTACATGCATGTGACTTTTTTTTTATATGATCCTACGGTCTTGGTCACCCTTCTCCAGACACACTCTAGTTTGTGAAGTGTGGTGCCCAGAAATGAGTTCATGTACGGCCCAACCAAACAGTGATCAGAAAGACTAACACGTTCCTTATTCTAAATGCTACACTTTTCTTCAGGTACTCTCATTCTCATACTGAACTTTGTAAATCCTCCTAAAAGTCCTTTTCACATGTACTAGCGCTATTTAATTACATAACCTCCATTCTCTTCCTGAAAAGTATGTTTTGAATATGACTTCACATCCATCCCAATCAACGCTGCCACTATTAACTAGCGAAGTCCTTACGTTTTCAAATTCTGAGAACCTGTGTGCCGCCCTCCCAGCTTCATGATACCTCCAACCCCTTCCAGACAGTAATCATATAAGGTACCTGATTATAAATTGTTTGGTGTAATTTCAGTCCTCTTTCATGGAGCTGCAACTAGATAATAAATATATAGTTTAAGTGCTTGGGAGGAAAAGAGCAATATTTCCAATGTCTCCCCACAATCTCACATATTTTCCCCTATTGTATCAGGCTAACATGGTTCCTTTTAGCCAAAATTAGTGCTATATAAATAAGAAACCTTGTCGTCTTTCAATAGGAGCATTCAAGCATTTCACAAATCTAACCCATGGACTGTCCCAAGAAGGTATTAGAAAAATATGAAATAATGATATGAAGCCTAAAGAAAAAATGATTAACACCACCTCCCCCTATTATAATATCATACCAAGTCATATGCCTCCAAGTCGAAGGAATTATAACAGGTTCCTATTGTGCTTTCCATGTTTCATAAATACACATGAAAGCTACCAGAGAAAGCCAAAAAAGCACACTTGTATACAGGAATGTGTGTCACTGAGTTCTGCGAGGCCACCACCAATACCCTCCTGAAAGTATATGCTGAAGAATTTACAATGTATCCAAGGCAGCACTAGCTATAAACTTAAAAAACAAAAATGAACACTAGCCCCAACTAGTTTCCATAATCACATTTACCATGGCTTTTATAGCTGCTGTTCTGACACGTGGGTCTTGGTCACTGAAGTAATCCCCTATAATCTTCTGGACATCTCTGGCAGCTAGGCCTTCTGCATCTTTTGTGACACTTTTCTCCAAAGAGCCAAGATTGCCAAGTAACTGCAGGCACTTATTTCTTACACCATGAGACGTATCTGTCAGATGCTATTAAAAAAAAAAAAAAAAAGAAAAAAAGAAAAAGAAAAAAAGGACATGATTAAGATATCTTAACAAACACAGACAAGACCAGAAACAAAAGCATTGCAGCAACCTTAGGGGTGATTTCAAGACCTATATTCTTAGGACAGTCTGTCTAGCATCATGTTACTTGAGTACGGGTCTTCTCAAAAAAAATGAGTCCTTAGAAAATAAAAGTCCTAGTTTTTCATCTTTGTATTCCCAATAGCTTTGGGAATACAAAGGCACTTTGCCTTGTACAGAGTAGGTACTTTAAAATTCGTCCCTGATTGCGTTTTATTTGCTTTCAAATTTTAAAACCAGACAAAAATGTATAAATTTTTAAAACTTTTAATATCCATAGAAATATGCAAAATCTTAAGTGTACAGCTCAATAAATTTTCACAAATACACATATATAACAAGCACCCAGATTAAATAGTATATAACCAACACTCCAGAAATATCCCTCATTCCTCCTCCCAGCAACAACCTCACCACATCACCACCAAAAATAGCTACTATCCTGACTTCTAACACACAGGTTCATTTGTTTATTTTTGTACTTTATGAAATCAAATAGCATCTGGCTTCTGTGGCTTATTATGTTTGTAAGATTTATGCAAGGTATGGCAGATAGCAATGGTTCATTTATTCTTGTTACTTATATAGTATTCATTTGTAAATACATGAAAATCTATTTAGCCTTTCCGTTGATGAATATTTAAGTTATTTCCAGTCTTTGGCTATTTCGAATAATGCTACTGTGATTATTCTTGTATGTGGCTTTTGGTGTACATGTTCACATTTTTGTTGGATATATATGTAGAAGTAGAATTGATAGGTAACAAGACATGCTTCAGCTTAAGAAGATACTGCCAGTTGGGCACAGTAGCTCATGCCTATAATCCCAGCACTTTGGGAGGCCAAGGCAGGAGGATCACTTGAGCCCAGGAGTTCAAGACTGTCCTGGGCAAATGGGACTATAGGCATGTGGTGGCACACACCTATAGTCCCAGCTACCCAGAAGGCTGAGGTAGGAGGATCCTTTGAGCCTCGGAGGTGGAGGCTGCAGTGAGCCATGATCATGCCACTGCACTCCAACCTGGATGACAGAGTGAGATACTGCCTCCAAAAAAGAAGATATTGCCAAATAGTTTTCCATAATGGCTGTACTAATTTACACTTCCACCAGTGCTGCATAAGTGTTCTAGATGTGCCACATCCTTGTTGACATTTAGTACTATCAATATTTTTTATTTTAGCACCTCTCACCACGAATTTTAATAAATTATCAGTTTTCCTCCTGCATTACCCTAGTCCAATGCTACTAAAACAAGCTATTTGCATAACATAGCAACATAAATTAAAAATACTTTGAAGAAATGAGGTAATAAAAATGGTACAAAACTCTGGATTTCAAACTTCTTTTGACTAGCACCCAAAGTAAGAAACACATAATATTGCAAGACAGTACATAAAAACAGACATACAGCAAGTTTAACAAAACAATATTTACCTTATAGCTTGTGATTTACTCTGGTACTTGTATTTTATTTTTTTTCAAAAAAAAAAATTACGTCTCATGAAATTGGTCACATTACCCACTAATGGATAATGATTCTCAAAGTGAGTCACTAGTGCGGAGAAAAGTGAATGGGACTTGGCCAGCTTGGACAACACAGCGAGGCCCCATTTCTTTAAAAAAAAAATTTATAGCCAGGTGTGGTGGCACACACCTGTAATCCCAGCTACTCGGGAGGCTGAGGCCAGAGAATTGCTTGAACCCAGGAAGCGGAGGTTTCAGTGAGCCAAGATCACGCCACTGCACTCCAGCCTGAGCAACAGAGCAAGACTGTCTCAAACCGCGCCCCCTAAAATTCAAAAACAAAACAAATGAACTATTTATATTTAGTATAAAAACATCATTTCTCATGACTAAACTGTTGATTGCACCTCTGTTACAAACACTTTGATTTTCAAGCAATAAACTAAATACTTCTAGCTTCTGTCAACCAGGCAACAATAATGCACAATCAATGTATTACTGCACACTGAATCTTAGCCCAAAAGAGAGTCTCATGCTCTCAGGGAAACAATTACAATTTTATGATGTCCTTCCCTTACAAGTCACTTCTTGCATCAAGGTCATCATCATTAAGAACTGCTTTTCTGGCCGGGCGCAGAACGAGACTCCGTCTCAAAAAAAAAAAAAAAAAAAAAACAAAAAAAACTGCTTTTCTTTATACTGTTGGATAAAAACTTATTAATTAAAAAAAATTGCTAAGTGTCTGCAGATGCTATTTGGGTGTTACACATTTTGTCAGGCCATTGAAGTGCCATAATTTTTATATTAATGGAGCAAGTAAGGAAACCACATCCCCAATAATAAGACCAATTTGTGTCAAAAATAAAAATTAATTTACAATTTTGCTATATATTAAAAAAATAAATGGTTCTGTGTATCAACAAAATCTGAGAATGAAGTTGAATAAGATAAAAATAACATACTGATCCATTCAGCATCGATATGGATTTTTTTTTTCTTTTGAGATAAGGGTCTCGCTCTGTCACCCAGGCTGGAGTGCAGTGTTGCAATCAGCATTCACTGCAACCTTGGCCTGACAAGCTCAAGAGATACTCCCACCTCAGTCTCCTGAGTAGCTGGGGACCACAGGTGTGTGCCATCACACCTGGCTAATTTTTAAAATTTTTGTAGAGATGGGATGTTGCCACATTGCCCAGACTGGTCTCAAACTCTTGGGCTCAGGTGATCCTTGATATGAATAGTTTTTAAGGACAGATAACAATTTGGTGTATTCTGTATGCAGATTCTAATGTATACCCTCTTTTAACAAGAACTTTGGTCTCCCAGAAAAATCTTTACAAATAGGAAAGAAAGCAGAAGACCCTCAATTTCAGTTGTGCAGATGCTACACAAGAAAACTGCATTAATTTCTTGTCAAGTCTTTGAACTACATCTATTCATCTCTCAAATGAGGATTAGCTATCCAATAAGTGAAATGATTAAGGAGAGGATAAATGAGAACTTTGAAAAGAATCCAAAAGCACGACTTTCTTCCTACTGTGATACAAAGAATACAACAGAGTAACATCCTGTATTTAAAAATTATTGGCCGGGTGCAGTGGCTCACACCTGTAATCCTAGCACTTTAGGAGGCCAAGGCGGGTGGATCATGAGGTCAGGAGATCGAGACCATCCTGGCTAACATGGTGAAACCCCATCTCTACTAAAAAAAAAATACAAAAAAAATTAGCCGGGCATGGTCGCGGGCACCTGTAGTCCCAGCTACTCGGGAGGCTGAGGCAGGAGAACGGCGTGAACCCAGGAGGCGGAGCTTGCAGTGAGCCGAGATCGCGCCACTGCACTCCAGCCTGTGTGACAGAGCGAGACTCTTTCTCAAAAATAAAAATAAAAATAAAAAATAAATAAAAATAAAAATTATTATAAAGAGACAATTTAAACTTCAAAAAATAATGATTATACTATTACATAGTAAATAAAGCAGGAGACAAATGGAAGGAAGGAGGAAGGAATGAGGAAGGGCAAGTGGAGGGAGGAAGGGAGGGAAAGCAGGAAGGAAAGAAGAGAGGGAGGGAGGGGAGGCAAGCTCTCTTTATGGTAATAACAAAGTCAGGCAAGATTTAATAACAGTTGCTAAAATGGTGGGTAGTTTGATGAGGAAGAGCATATTTACATAATCTCAAAGTATCTCTCCACAAATTATCTATTTTTGATTTTAATGTTTTATTATAGTCATAGTTATATATATTTTTGGGATACAATGTGATACTTTAATACATGTATGCAATGTGGAATTATTAAATCAAGCTAATTAACATATATCCATCACCTATCATTTTTTGTGGTGAGACATTTGAAATATTCACTTAGGTTTTTGTTTTTTAAGAGACAACATCTTCCTCTGTCACCTAGGCTGGAGTGTAGTGGCATGATCATAGCTCACATAGCCTGGAACTCCTGGGTTCAAGCAATCCTCCTGACTCAGCCTGAGAATACAGGTGCAAGCCACCATGCCCAGCTACTTTTTTTACTTCTGTAGAGACAGAGTCTCACCACATTTGCCCAGGCTGGTCTTGAATTCCTGGACTCAAGCAAACCTCCCACCTCGACCTCACAAAGTGTTAGGATTACAGGTATGAGCCACTGCACCTCCCTACTCTTAGTTATTTTTAAATATACATTATTGTGGACTATAGTCACCTGCTATGTAATAGATCTCAAAACCTATTCCTCCTATTCCTCCTGTTGAGCTGAAACTTTATAACCTTTGATCAGCAACTCCCCCCTCCCTCACTTTACTACCACTCCTAGCCTCTGGTGATCATCACTCTACTCTCTTTGAGTTCAACTTTTTAAAATTACACACACAAATGAGATCATGTGGCATGTGTTTTTCTGTGCTCGGCTTATGTCACTTAGTATGTCTTCAAGGTTCATACATGTTGTCATGAATGACAGGATCTCCTTCATTTACAAGGCTGAATAGTATTCCATTGCATGTTATACACTACATCTTCTTTATCCATTCATCTGCTGATAAACAGGTTGATTCCATACATTGGCTATTGTGAATACTGCTGCAATCAACATTGGAGTGCAAGCATCCCTTCAACATACTGATTTCAATTCCTTTAGACATATACCCGGAAGTGGGATGACTAGATCACATGCTAGTTCTATTTTTAGTTTTTTGAGACCTTCATCTTGTTTTCCATAAATAGTTGTACTAATTTACATCTTCGCCAACAGTGTACGAGGGTTTCCTTGTCTCCCCATACCAACACTTGTTATTGTTCATCTTTTTTATAAAAACCATTCTAATAGATGTGAGGTGACATCTCACTTAATTTGCATTTTCCCGACGCTTAGTGATGTTGTACACTTTTTCATGAACCTGTTGGTCATCTGTAAGAAGTGTCTGTTCTGGTCCTTTGCCCATTTTTTAGCCAGGTTTTGTTGTTGTTGTTGCTACTTAGTTGAATTCCTTATATATTTTGGATATTAGCCCTTGTCAGATATATGGTTTACACATTTTGTTTTTTTACCTCTATGGGTTGTCTCTTCACTTAGTTTCTTTTCTTGTACAGAAACTATTTAGTTTGATACAGTCCCATTTGTCTATTTTTTGTGGTTGGTTGGTTGCCTGCTCTTTTAAAGTCACAACAAAAAATCATTGCCCAGATCAATGCCACAGAGCTTTCCCTGTGTTTTCTTCTAGTAGTTTTACAGTTTCAGGTCGTATGTTTTAAGTCTTTAATCCACTCAGTTCAAGTATGTGTATGACGTAAGGGTCTAATTTCATTCTCCTGCATGTGAATGACCACTTCTCCCAGCATCATCTATTGAATAGATTGTCCTTTACCCAGTGTGTGTTCTTGGCACCACTGTCAAAAATCAGCTGACCATAAATGCATGGGTTTGTTTCTGGGCTTTCTATCCTGTTCCTTTAGTACTGTTTTTATGCCAGTACCATGTTGTTTTGACTACAAATGCTTTATATTTTGAAAATAGGGAATGTAATGCCTCTGGCTTTGTTCTTTTTGTTCAAAATTGTTTTGCTATTAAGTCTTTTGTGGTTTCATACAAACTTTAAAGATTTTTTTTCTATTTCTGTGAAAAATGATATTGGGATTTTGATAGGGATTACACTGAATCTGCAGATCATTTTGGGTAATATGGACGTTTTAACATATTAATTCTTCCAACCCATGAATTTTAGGGAACTGTCATACTGTTTTCCACAATGGCTGCACTATTTTGCACTACTACTACCAATGCACAAGGGTTCCAATCCTTGCCAATACTTTTTTTTTCTTTTTGGCAATAGCTATCCTAATGGGTATGAAGTGGTATCTCACTGTGGTTTTGATTTTCTTTCCCTAATGATTAGTGATTAGTGATATTAAGCATCTTTTCATATTGGATTATTGACCATCTATATGTCTTCTTTGGAAAAATGAGTTTCCTTAAGGAACTCATGACCCAACAGTCATAGTTACAAAAGAAATGCAATACATTATAACTGCATTTGGAGGTGGGGCCTTTCAGTAGGTAATTAAGGTTAAATGAGGTCATAAGGATGGGACTCTAGTGTCCTTATGAGAGCTCTCTCTCATGCACAGGGGAGAGGCCATATGCCCACACAGCCAGTGGTTAGTTGTCTTTAAGCCAGTTAAAGAGCCTTCACTAGGAACTGAATTTGCCAGCACCTTAATCTTAGATTCTAGACTTCAGAAACGTGAGCAATTTCTGTTGTTTAAGCCATCCAGCCTGTGGCATTTTGTTATGGCAGCCCTTACAGAGGTATATCCCGTAAGTGAACTGTTGGATCATATGGCAATTCTATTTTTAATTTTGGGGATCAAATAACTCTATAATCAAAACCTGGCAGACACCACCTAAGCCAAGTATCAAACGCAACATCATGAACAAGTCAAACGTCATCTGTGCCTCATGATGTTATACATTATGAGGGACACAAAATTCTGTTATATTCTTGTCAAAATGCATTGGCTGAATCTAAACTGAAAATATCAGATAAAACCAGATTGCAAGACATTTTACAAAATAAATGCCCTACACTCTTCAAAAATGTCAAGGTAATGAAAGACAAAGAAAGGTTGAGTGACCTTTTCAGATTAAGGAAAACAAAAGAGACATGAAAACTAAATATAGTCATGCATCAATTACCAACAAGGATACATTCTGAGAAATGCATCATTAGGTGATTTCATCATTGTGCAAACATCAGAGTGTACTTACCCAAACCTAGATTGTAAAGCCTACTACACCTAGACTACATGATATAGCCTAATGCTCCTAGGCTATAAACCTGTACAACATGTTACTGTACTGAATATTGTAGGCAACTGTAACATAATGGTAAGTATTTGTGTATCTAAACATATCTACACATAGAAAAAGTACAGTAAAAATATAATATTATAACCTTATGGGACCACTGTTGTATATGCAGTCCATCCTTGACTGAAATGTCATTATTATGTGATGCATGCTGTAATTGATATCCTTAAAAAAATACATATGAAACATTTACTTCAGTGGGAAAATGGCATGATTTCTCCAATTTACTTAAATGGTACATTATTCAGCTGTAAAAAGGAAGAAAATTCTGACACATGTTACAATGTGGATGAACTTTGAGGACATTATGCTAAGAAAAATAAGCTAGGCACAAAAGGACAAATATTGCGTGATTCCACTTACCTGAAGTCCCTACAGTAGTCAAATTTATAAAAACAGAATATAGAATGGTGGTTGTTAGGGACGAGGGGATGGGGACATGGGGAGTTATTGTTTAATGGGTATAGAGTTTCACTTCTGCAAAACAAAAAGAGCTCTGTCAATGAAGGGTGGTGATGATCACACAACTTTGTGAATATACTTAATGCCACTAAACAATATGTTTTAAAATGGTTGACATGGTAAATTTTATGTTAATCTGTATTTTATGACAATTTTATTAAAAACTTAAACACTTAATTACCATATGACCCCAAAATTCCTCTCCTTAGTATACATCCAAGAGAACTGAAAACATGTATTAAGCAAAAATTTGTAAGTGAATATCCTTGGTATATATCCAAGAGAACTGAAAACATATATATATATAAAGCAAAAAACTTGTAAGTGAATATTCATAGCAGCATTATTCAAATTAGCCAAAACGTGGAAAAAATGTAAATGTTGAAAAATTCACCAAAATTCAGTGAAGTATAATTTTTTTCTTATATTTATTTATTTTGAGACAGAGTCTCACTCTGTCGCCCAGGCTGGGGTGCAGTGGTGTGATCTCAGCTCACTGCAGCCTCTGCCTCCCTGGTTCAAGTGATTCTCATGCCTCAGCCATCAGGGTAGCTGGGATTACCACCACACCCGGCTAATTTTTGTATTTTTAGTAGAGACAGGGTTATCACCATGTTGGCCAGGCTGGTCTCAAACTCCTGGCCTCAAGTGATCTGCCTGCTTTGGCCTCCCAGAGTGCTGGGATTACAAGTGTGAGCCACCATGCCAGGCCTGAAGTATAAATTTTTAATAGCTGTGATAAGATATAATACACATACCATGCAATTCTCCCAGAAAACGTACGCAATTCTCCCAGATAACATGTACAAATCAATGGTATGTATGTATAGGCGTATGTATGTATATGTATGTATGTATTTATGAATGAATGAATAAATGACAGGGCCTCGCTCTGTCGCCCAGGGTGGAACGCAGTGATGTCATCATAGCTCATTGCAGCCTTGACCTCCTGGGCTCAAGTAATCCTCTCACCTCAGCCTCCCAAAGTAGCTGGGGCTACAGATGTGCACCATCACACCTGCTAGTTCTTTTGCACAGATGAGGTCTCATTGTGTTGCTCAAGCTGATCTTGAACACCTGCACTCAAGCGAGCTTCCCACCTTGGCCTCCCAAAGCGTTAGGACTACAGGCATGAGCTACTGCACCTGGCCAATTCAATGCTTTTCCGTACTGCACATATATGCACAACCATCACCACAGTCAGTTTTCAAACATTATCATTACAGAAAGATCCCCTCCTGCAAAAAAAAAAAAAAAGCCATTCTGTACCCTTTAGCTATCAACCTCCTATCTCTCTGTTCGCCTAAGCCCTAACCAACCACTAACGTACTTTCTGTCTCTATAGACTTAACCTATTATGGAAATTTAATATAAACTGACTCATGTAATAGGTGGTCTTTCGTGTCTGGCTTCTTTCACTTAGCATAATGTTTTCAAACTCCAACGAAGCTGTAGAGTGTATTGGTATTTTATTCTTTTTAATGGGCAAATAATATTCTAACGTGCATTATTTATCAATTCATCAGCTGATGGTCATTTGACTTGCTCCCACCTTTGACTATTATGAATGCTGCTGCTACAAACAACCATAGGGCCAGGTGCAGTGGCTCATGCCTGTAATCCCAGCACTTTGGGAGGCTGAGGCGGGCAGATCACCTGAGGTCAAGAGCTCGAGACCAGGCTGGCCAACATGGTGAAACCCCATCTCTATTAAAAATACAAAAAAATTAGCCAGGCGTAATGATGGGCACCTGCAGTCCCAGCTACTCAGGAGGCTGAGGCAGGAGAATTGCTTGAACCCAGGAGGCAGAGGTTGCAGTGAGCCAAGATCGCACCACTGCACTCCAGCTTGGGTGACAGAGTGACTCCATCTGGGGAAAAAAAAAATTCATATACAAACTTCTCAGTTAATATGTTTCAGTTTGTTGGTAGATATCTACAAGCAGAACAGCTGGGTCCTATGGTAAGGCTATTTTTAATTTTTTGAGGAACTGCCAGACTGTTTTTGAAAGCAGCTGAGCGAACACCAGGCACAGTGGCTCACTCCTGTAATCCTAGCACTTTGGGAGGCTGAGGCAGGCATATCTCTTGAGCTCAGGAGTTCAAGACCAGCCTGGGTAACATGCCAAAACCCCATCTCTACAAAAAATACAAAAGTTAGCCAGGCATGGTGGCATGCACCTATAGTCCCAGCTACTTGGGAGGCTGAGGCAGGAGGATCACTTGAGCCTGGGAGGCAGTTTTATTACAGCCATCCTAGAAATGTGAGATAGCATCTCATTGTGGGTTTTTTGTTTTTTGTTTTCAGACAAGAGTCTTGCTCTTGTCACCCAGGCTGGAATGCAATGGGAAGATCTTGGCTCACTGCAACCTCCACCTCCCAGGTTCGAGCCTCATGCCTCAGCCTCCCGAGTAGCTGGGATTACAGGCGCCCACCACCATGCCTGGCTAGTTTTTGTATTTTTAGTAGAAACACGGTTTCATCATGTTGGCCAGGCTGGTCTCGAACTCCTGATCTCAAGTGATCCACCCGCCTTGGCCTCCCACAGTGCTGGGATTACAGGCGTGAGCCACAGCACCCAGCTCATTGTGGTTTTGATATGCATTTCCCTAGTGACAGGTGATGTTAAGCTTTTGTGTTGTATGTTTATCTTTTTTCTATATCTATTTGGCACTGGATTATTAGATTTTTTGTAACACCTATTCAGATCTTTTGCCCATGTTAGTTTAATACTTTTTTTTTAATTTGCCACTTTCCCTCCTCTGTCATGTTTTTAATTGGGTTGTTTGTATTTTTATTATTGGGTTGTAAGAGTTCCTTAGATAGTCTAAATACAATTACCAGCTGGGCGAAGTGGCTCACGCTGTAATCCCAGCACTTTGGGAAGCCAAGGTGCATGGATCACTTGAGGTCAGGAGTTTGAGGTCAGCCTGACCAACACAGTGAAACCCCGTCTCTACCAAAAATACAAAAAATCAGCTGGGCACACGCCTGTAATCCCAGCTACTAAGGAGGCTGAAGCAGGAGAACCACTTGAACCTGGGAGGCAGAGGTTGCAGTGAGCCGAGGTCAAGCCACCACTGCACTCCAGCCTGGATGACAAAGTGAGACTCCGACTCAAAAAAACAAAAAAAACAAAAATACAATTACCTCATTATATGTATGATTTACAAATATTTTTTCCCATACTGTGGGTTGTCTTTTCACCTTCTTGGGTCCCCTGAAAAACAAGTTTTCAGTTTTGGTGAAACCCAATTTATTTACTTTTTTCTTTTAGAACGTGTGCTTTTGTTAAATCTAATAATCCACTCCAAAATCCAAAGACACTAAAATATACTACTATATTTTCTTCTAAGGGGTTTATAATTTTAGCTCACATATATTCAGGTCTTTGACTCATTTTGAGTTAATTTTTGCATGGTGTGAGGTAAGTTTCCAACTTTCTTCTTTTACACGTGGATAGACAGTTGTCCCAACACCATGCATTGAAAAGACAATTTTTTTCTCCATTGAATGGTACTGGCATCCATATAGAAAATCAGTTGACCAAAGACACATGAGTTTATTTCTTCTCCTTCTTCTTCTTTTGTTAGAGACAGGGTCTTACTGTGTCACTCAGGCTGGACTGCAGTAGCGCAGTCTCGGCTCACTGGCAGCCTCAACCTCCCAGGCTTAAGCAATCCTCCCATCTCAGCCTCCCAACTAGCTGAGACTACAGGCACACACCACCATTCGTGGCTAGTTTTTATATTTTTTGTAGAGATGGGGTTTTGCCATGTTGCCCAGGCTGGTCTCAAACTCCCGGGCTCAAGTGATCTGCTCACCTCAGCCTCCCAAAGTAGTGGGATTACAGGCATGAGCCACCACACCCGGCCAATTTCTTGACTCTCAATACTTTTTTTTTTATTTTTGAGACAGAGTCTCACTCTGTCGCCCAGGTTGGAGTGTGGTGGTGTGATCACAGCTCACTGCAACCTCCGCCTCCCAGGTTCAAGCGATTTTCCTGCCTCAGCCTCCCCAGTAGCTGGGATTACAGGTGTGTGCCATCACACCTGGCTAATTTTTGTATTTTTAGTAGAGACAGGGTTTCACCATGTTGGCCAGGCTGGTCTCAAACTCCTGACCTCAAGTGATCTGCCTACCACGGCCTCCCAAAGTGCTAGGATTACAGGCGTGAGCCACCATGCCTGGACCTGACTCTCAATTCTATTCCATTTATCTTTACATCTATCTTCATATAGTACCATAGTATCTGGATATTACTGGTGCTTCTTTTGTTAGATTTATTCATAAGTTTTCTTTTGTGGGTTTTTTTTTTTTTTTAATACAGATAGGGTCTCATTCTGCTGCCCAGGCTTAGTGGAGTGGCATAATCAAGGCTCATAAGGCTCACTGCAGCCTTGTCCTCCTAGGTTCAAACAATTCTCTCTCCTCAGCTTCCCAAATAGCGGAGACAACAGGCAAGTGCCACCATACCTGACTAATTTTTTCAATTTTTAGTAGAGATGAGATCTCACTGAGTTGCCCAGGCTGGTCTCCAGTTCCTAAGCTCAAAAGATTCTATTGCCTCAACCTCCCATAGTGCTGGGATTACAGGCAAGAGGCACCACCACACCCAGCCATCAGTATTATTTTTGATGCTACTGTAATTGAATTATTTTCCTAATTTCATTTTCATATTGTTCACTGCAAGTGTATATAAATACAATTTATATTTTGTATGCTGATTTTGTATCCTGCAATCTTGCTAAACTCATTTATTACTTCAAACAGTTTTTTAGTGGATTCCCTAAGATTTTCTACATACAAGGTTATGTCACCTGTGAATACGGGGAGAGAATTTTACTTTTTCTTTTCCAAAATAGAGGACTTTTATTTCTTTTCTATGCCTAATATCCCTGGCAAGAACCTCTAGTACAATGTTAAACAGAAGTGAAGAAAAATATAATGACCTATTTGTTTTGTTTCTCATTTTAGGGGGAAAGCATTCAATCTGTCAAAATTAAGTATGATGTTTCCTGTCAGTTTTGTTTTTTTTTTAGATTCCATTTACAAGGGTCAGGAAGTTCCATCTATTCCTGACCTATTCTATCCTAAAGCCTAAAAATATTACAAGATATTTTATGTGTTCTTATAATACAAGGGTGTTAAGAGTTTGTTAAATGCTTTTTCTTCATTTATTGTTATGATCTTGTTTTTTATCCTCGATAGTGTATTACATTCATTTATTTTCAGATACTAAACCAACCTTGCATTCCTGGAATAAATCCCACTTGATTATGGTATATACTCCTACTTGTATGTTGCTGGAGTTGATTTGCTAGTATTTTGTTAAAGATATTTGGATCCACATTCATAAGTCACTGGTCTGCAGTTTTCGTTTCTTGTGATGTCTTTTGTCTGTTTCTGGTAACTCATAGAATGAGTTTGGAAGTGTTCTCTCCTGTTCTATTTCTTGGGAGAGTTTGTAAAGAATTTGCATTAATTCTTATTTCAATATTTGGTAGAATTCACCAGTGAAGCCATTGAGGCCTGAGCTTTTCTTTGTAGGGATTTGTTTAGTTGGTTTTCTTAATCACTAATTCAATTACTTTACTTGTCATAGATCTATTCAGATTGTCTATTTCTTTAGTCATTTTCAGTAGTTTTTGTCTTTCTAATAATTTGTCCACTTAACTAAGTTATCTAATTTATTGGTATATAATTTTTCTTTTCTTTTTTTTTTTTTTTTTTTTTTGAGATGGAGTCTTGCTCTGTCGCCCAGGCTGGAGTGCAATGGCATGATCTCAGCTCACTGCAACCTCTGCCTCCCAGGTTCAAGTGATTCTCCTGCTTCAGCCTCCTGAGTAGCTGGGATTACAGGCACGCACCACCATACCCGACTAATTTTTGTATTTTTAGTAGAGACGGGGTTTCACCATGTTGGTCAGGCTGGTCTTGAACTCCTGACCTCGTGATCTGCCCACCTCAGCCTCCCAAAGTGCTGGGATTACAGGTGTGAGCCACTGCACCCAGCCTATGATTTTTCATAATATTAACTTATAATCCTTTTTAGTTCTGCCAGGTCTGTAATCATGTCTTTTTTTTTTTTTTTTCTGACCCAAGGTCTTGCTCTGCTACCCACGCTAGAGTGCAGTGGCACAATCACAGCTCCTTACAGTCTCAACCTCCCAGGCACAGCGATCCTCCCATCTCAGCCTCCCAGGTAGCTGGACTACAGGTACAAGCCACCAGACCCGGCTAATTTTTTTGTTTTATGTAGATATGGGGTCTTCCTATGTGACCCAGGCTGGTCTTGAACTCCTGGGCTCAAGTGATCCTCCTGCCTTGACCTCTCCAACTGTGGGATTACAGACATAAGCCACCGCCCTCGACAGTATCCTCACTTTTCCTTTTTTTTCCTAATATGTCCATCTTCTGGTCTTCTCATTTCTGAGTCTAGTAATTTGAGTCTTCTCTCTCTTTCTTGGTCAATATAACTAAAGGTTTGTCAATTTTGTTGATCTTTTCAGAGAAGTAAATTTGGTTTTGTTGATTATCTGTTGTTTTTCTATTCTGTTTAATTAATTTCTATTCTAATCTTTAGTATTCCCTTCCTTCACATGCTTTAAGTTTAATGGGTGCTTCTTTTTCCAGCATCTTAAGTTGGAAGGTTAGGTTACTGATTTTAGATCCTTATTCTTGTTTTTTTTTTATGATGGGCACTTAAAACTATAAACTTCTATAAGCACTGCTTTAGCTGCATCATTTTCTATTTTATTCATCTCAAAGTATTTTCTAATTTCCCTTTTGATTTCTTCGTTGACTCATTAGTTACATAGAAGTATGTTGTTTAATTTCCACATTTGTGGGTTTACTAAATTTCTTCCTGTTAACTAATTTATAATTTCATCCCACTGTGGTCAGAAAACATACTTTGTATCTTTTCCATCAAGAGTAAATATTTGTATATAAATTATATCTCAATTACAAAAAAAAAAAACTTTTAGGCACATTGTATGATAGTCATAAACCAAAATGGCATTTGGCAATAGAAACAGCGGTTGTAGTTATGAATCACAGATAGCCTTCATTACTGTAGTCTGAAAAAGCTTGTGACAGATCTGCCATTGACAAACAGTTGCAATTTTTACCCTATTAAGAACCTCTACAGGCCGGGTGCAGTGGCTCACACCTGTAATCCCAGCACTTTGGGAGGCCGAGGCGGGCGGATCATGAGGTCAGGAGATCGAGACCATCCTGGCTAACATGGTGAAACCCCGTCTCTACTAAAAATACAAAAATTAGCTGGGCGTGGTGGCACGCACCTGTAGTCCCAGCTACTCGGGAGGCTGAGGCAGGAGAATTGCCTGAACCCGGGAGGCAGAGGTGTCAGTGAGCCGAGATCACGTCACTGCACTCCAGCCTGGGTGACAGAGCGAGACTCTATCTCAAAAAAAAAAAAGGAACCTCCACAAACGATTTAAAAAAAACACACACACACAAACTCCATATGCTTAACTGGCAAAGGACATAAAAAGTTCATTCACATGAGAGGAAATACAAATAAAGGAAAAACATATGAAAAAGAAACCTCATTAGTCTTTTCAAAAAAGAGATTTTTTAAAAATGAAGTATCATTTTCCACATACCAAATTAACAGGTTTATCTTTGATTTTTAAACATTAATATCTAATGCTAGAATAATGCAGTGAAACTAGGAACTCTCATATACTGCTTGTGGGCATATAAACTGGAACACTTTGGAAAGCAATTTGACAAAAAGTATTAAGAGCCTTAGCTGGGCACAGTAGTTCACACACGTAATCTCGGGCAACATAGCAAGACCTTCGTCTTTTTTTCAAAAAAATAAACAACACAGCCTTTAAAAAAGTCTAGGCCAGGCACTGTGGCTCATGCCTGTGATCCCAGCACTTCAGGAGGTCAAAGTTGGAGGAACACTTGAGCCCAGGAGTTCGAGACCAGCCTAGGCAACACAATGAGACCCTGACTCTATTCTTCTCAGGGATCTAGAACTAGAAATACCATTTGACCCAGCAATCCCATTACTGGGTATATACCCAAAGGATTATAAATCATGATGCTATAAAGACACATGCACATGTATGTTTATTGTGGCACTATTCACAATAGCAAAGACTTGGAACCAACCCAAATGTCCAACAATGATAGACTGGATTAAGAAAATATGGCACATATACACCATGGAATCCTATGCAGCCATAAAAAATGATGAGTTCATGTCCTTTGTAGGGACATGGATGAAGCTGGAAACCATCATTCTCAGCAAACTATTGCAAGGACAAAAAACCAAACACCACATGTTCTCACTCATAGGTGGGACCTGAACAATGAGAACACATGGACACAGGAAGGGGAACATCACACACCAGGGCCTGTTGTGGGGTGGGGGAAGGGGGGAGGGATAGCATTTGGAGATATACCTAATGTTAAATTACGAGTTGATGGGTACAGCACACCAACATGGCACATGTATACATATGTAACTAACCTGCACGTTGTGCACATGTACCCTAAAACTTAAAGTATAATAAAAAAGAAATAAAAAGAATAAAATAAAATAAAAATAAAAATAAATAAATTCTAAATGTTTTCAATTAGTAATTTAGTAATTCTATTTTGATAGTCTGTGTTTCAGAAATAATTTTAAATACGGAAAATATTTTAGACTAACAATATGCCCTGCAGTATTATTTCCAATTAAATAAATGGCTACAATGTAAATTCAGTAATAGGTGAATAGTTAGGTAAAAAGTATGGTTTAATTATTGGACACAATATCACACAGCTATTACAAATTATATTTATAAAACACATACAAGAAAAATACTTATGTTAGCAAAAAAGGAGCAAAATTATATCACAATATCACACAGCCATTACAAATTATGTTTATAAAACACATACAAGAAAAATACTTATGTTAGCAAAAAAGGAGCAAAATTATATGATTACAGCAATGTATTTAAAGAAAAAAAATGGCAAATGATTTGCATACAGAAAAAAAATCAGAAAGCCATATATCAAAAGACAAATAATGATTCCCTTTGGGTACTGAATTATGAATGCATTTTTCTTTACAGTTTTCAGTATCTTTCCGAATTTTCTATGAGTACAAATTATTATAATAAAAAATATATTTAAGTATATAATATAAAATCTTATAGTTAAAAATATATTTAAAGCAGATTTAAGAAACAGTTACTGCAGATATCACAACCCATTCATTATGACAACTCTCAGAAGCAAACTTCACAGATATATATTTCCTCTCACAGGGGAGACGTACTTACTCTCCCACACACATAATCCCTAGTTTTTTCCATTTAAGCTGTTTTTTTTGTTTTTTTGTTTTTTTTTTTAAAGACAGAGTCTCACTCTATCACCCAGACTGGAGTGCAGTGGCTCAATCTCCACTCACATAACCTCCGTCTTGCAGGTTCAAGCGATTCTCCTGCCTCAGCCTCCCTAGTAGCTGGGATTACAGGCAGGCATCACCGTGCCCGGCTAATTTTTTTTGTATTTTTAGTAGAGATGGGGTTTCACCATGTTGGTCAGGCTGGTTTCAAACTCCTGATGTCAAATGATCCGCCCACCTCTGCCTCCCAAAGTGCTGGGATTATAGGTGTGAGCCACCGCACCTGGCCCTATTTAAGCTTTTAGTATTGTACTTGTCAAAGTGTTTTTGGTTTTATGTATGCCTGTTGTTTTAAGATAAATCAAGTAATCTTTCCTGCATCTCTGAGATAGCTTTCTAATTTCAAGAATATAATACTCTAACACAATTCAAATGCATTTGACTTTTTTATATTCTCAAAGTTATCAAAAAGATCCAAAGTAAAATCAATTCTACAGGGTTCTAGGGGTTGCTGTGTATACACAAAGAGGCTAATTAACCTCCAAATTAAATCAAAAGGCACAATTAATGTATTAATACATGTATTTAAAAATCAGAAAAAAAGAACGTACAAAACTTTTCCCATACATTTACTTGTGTATAGTTGGTCTGTTTATTGAAGCAACAAGGCATAATAAAAACAAAACAAGTTTGGGGTCAGAAAAAATACAGTTTATACCCTGGTACTGCAACCTCCTAGCTGTGCAAACTTAGACAAATCAGACTCCATAAATCTTAATTTTCACCTTTGTAAAAGAGAAATAACGGTACTTACTTGAAGGATTGTGAGGACCAAATGAAAAACTGAATACAAAGCACCATAACAAGCAGAGTGCATTATTAGGCACAATATACACAGTAACTATGTACTGTAATTATTTTCATTTGTTTTGAAAGGATGACGAAATACACTTTATAACAAGTGTACTTAACTTTATTCCTAATCCAACACCAAGAGATGAAAAAAATAAGGCAGCTCCTAAAACCATTAATGGTCCTTAGCAGTCCTCAGTTACCAGTTTAGGATGGATCTGAATAGATTTTATACTCTTACCTTGCAGGCCACATCAACTAATCGCATTTGGATAGCTTGATTCTCTGGTAGCTTAGTGCCAATTGCAAGCAAAGTATCCAGCAGTTGAGCTAGGACTTGATGAGACTCTAGAGAGGGAGATAGAAAGTTGGCTTGTAGAATTTCGAAAGGGGTAACTATATAAACTAATTTACTTGGGTAAAGAATGTAGATTGGCTAGGCGCAGTGACTCACAACTGTAATCCCAGCACTTTGAGAAGCCTAGGCAGGAGAATCCCTTGAGCCCAGGAGTTCAAGACGAGCCTGGGCAACATAGGGAGACTCCGTTTCTACAAAAATAAATCTGAAAAAATGAGTCAGCCAGGTGGTGTGCGCCCAGAGTCTCAGCTACTTAGGAGGCCGAGGTAGGAGGACTGCTTGAGCCTCAGAGATCAAGGCAGCAGTGAGCCGTAATCGCGCCACAGCACTCCAGCCTGGGCAACAGAGCGAGACCCAGTCCTAAAAAAACAGAAAAAAAAACAGACTTTTGTCAACTGGGTTCTACTGTGTGATCCTTCATGCCCTCAACTAAAAGCTAAGTTCCTAAAGGGATCATGTTTAAATGTCTGAGTCCTCCACGGGATAGAGTACAGTTCTATATACATAGTGTGCTCCAAAAATGTTTAGTGCTTGACTGATTCAAGAGTTTTTTCACACTAAGAAACAGAAAAAAAAAAAAAAGGCCAGGCACGGTGGTGGCTTATGCCTGTAATCCCAGCACTTTGGGAGGCTGAGGCGGGCAGATCATGAGGTCAGGAATTCGAGACCAGCCTGACCAACATGGTGAAACACCATCTCTACTAAAAACACAAAAAATAGCCAGGCATGGTGGCACGTGCCTGTAATCCCAGCTACTCAGGAGGCTGAGGCAGGAGAATCGCTTGAACCCGGGAGGCGGAGGTTGCAGTGAGCCGAGATCGCTCCACTGCACTCCAGCCTAGGCGACAGAGCAAGACTCCATCTCAAAAAAAAAAAAAAAAAGAAGAAACAGAAAAAAAAAAAAGTTTTCCATTGCCTTCAAGATAAAGTCCAAATATCCTAGAAGGCATATAATACATACATACCAGGCCTTCCATGTTGTCTACCCTTGCCTATCTTTCTAGCTTCATCTTTTTCAGGTCTCCTTTAACACTCTTTTTTCCAACTACTTATAATTACATGCCCCCTATCTTTGCTCAGGCTAACTTCTCTAAGTAGAATGCCTTCCCCCACACCTGACTCCATTCTTGACCCCACTCCCCACTGAACACCTAGTTATCCTTAAAATGTCACCTCTCATGTAGCTACCATAAGAATTTTCCATGGGAAAAAATGATACTTCTGTACTGAAGCAATGCTATTGTTTTGGTGCTTGTATTTATTTTTTTATTTTAATTTATTTTTTGAGACAGCGTCTCGCTCTGTCACCCAGGCTGAAATGCAGTGGCATGATCATGGCTCACTGCAGCCTCAATCTCCTAGGCCCAAGAAGTCCTCACATTTTAGCCTCCCAAGCAGCTGGGATAAAGGTGTGAGCAACCATGTTTGGCTAATTTTTTAATATTTTGTAGAGACAAGATCTAATTATGTTGCCCAGACTGGTCTCAAATTCCTGGGCTCAAGGGATCCTCCCACCTCGACCTCCCAAAGTTTTGGTATTACAGGCCTAGCCTAACCTGTGCCTAGCCTGTTTTAGTGCTTTTAAAAATGTGTCTTGGCCGGGCACAGTGGCTCACGCCTGTAATTCCAGCACTTTGGGAGGCTGAAGTGGGTGGATCACAAGGTCAGGAGATCAAGACCATCATGGCTAACATGGTGAAACCCTGTCTCTACTAAAAATACAAAAAAAATCAGCCAGGGCGTGGTGGCAGGCACCTGTAGTCCCAGCTACTTGGGAGGCTGAGGCAGGAGAATGACGTGAACCCGGGAGGCAGAGCTTGCAGTGAGCCGAGATCGTGCCACTGCACTCCAGCCTGGGAGACAGAGCGAGACTCCGTTAAAAAAAAAAAAAGTTTCTTGATGGAACGAGTACTGTATGTTCAGTTACAGGTTTCAGTGTAAGCTGAAATAATCCTTTTAGAAAGCAATAGGGTAATATATAGCAAGGGTCATTAACATGTTTGGACTTCTGGACTCCAGCCTGGAGTCAGGCTGCTCAATATATCAAGGCCCTGCCTCAAAACAAAAAACAAACAAGCAAAAAAAAAAAAAAAAAAAGGGACAATAATGTCTATATCATATGTAAACTACCTCAAATATATGGTAGGTACCTGGCCAATAAATGACAGCTATTAAGAGATAAAACTGTATTTCTACTCTAATGTAAATATGTATATATGGTTTCATTAAATTATCCTCAAATTCCTCTTCAATAACAATCAACACAACAAAATTTTGTCCTAAATTCTATACAAAAAGAACTAAATATTTCTGCTCTGACTATAGAGCTTTTAAATTGCAACTTACTTTCATTCTGCAGGATGTTGATGGCATCATCCATAATGCAGTCTGGTGAAAATCCTGCTGTCTTTGATAATAAACCCAACAATGATGCAATTTTCAGTCTCACAGATGGATCATTCTCCTGGAAAAAAAGAAGCAATTGTCACTTTGATGCTTTACACTTAGCTAACCAACAAACAGGAACATGGAAAACTAACATCCCAAAAGAGATTCAATGATCCAAGTATTCTATGGCATCATTTCTGAAAAATTAATTTTATATACTTCTGGAGAGACAGCTTTCTTTTATTTATTTATTTATTTATTTATTTATTTATTTATTTTTGAGATGGAGTTTTAATCTGTTGCCCAGCCTGGAGTGCAGTGCGTGATCTTGGCTCAATGCAACCTCTGCCGGGGAGACAGCTTTCTCAGTTGATACATTACATCCAAATACTGCAAAGTGAATGAGAACTTTTCTATGCCATTCTGATGTCATTATCTTCTAATAAAAAACGTGCCACTGGCATTAAAAGCACCTGACCTCCACTGAGTAGTCATGTTAGACACAAGTCAGAGCAACTTGCACCAACAACTGGGTATACAACATTGCTGCCAGTACCACTGCTTTTGGAGTCCCTGGAAAGTGAGTGTTGCAGCTACCACTGCTATCACCAGAAAGAATCTTTCATTCTACCTGTCTTTTTTTTTTTTTTTTTTTGAAACAGGGTCTCACTGTCTCCCAGGTCAGAGTGCAGTGGCGCCATCATGGCTAACTAGAGCCTTGACCTCCTGAGCTCAAGTGAACCTCCAACCTCAGCCTCCCAAGTAGCTGGGACTACAGATACATGCTACCACACCTGGCTACTTTTTTTTAATTTTTAGTAGAGATGAGCTTTTGCTTTGTTGCCCAAGTTGGTCTCAAACTCCTGAGCTCAAGCAATCCTCCTGCCTTGGCTTCCCAAAATGCTGGAATTACAGGTGTGAGCCACCACGCTCAGCCCTACCTGCTTTTTTGAATCACCAGATCCTGATTAGAAGTCTGGAGGAGGCAAGTGTGACTGTCTGAGTGTAAGTCTTGTGCCTGGGCCCCAGCTGCAGGGGAGACTGACAAAGAAATAGTCTGGCTGTTTTAGCTTAGAGAGAGGGAGGTGGTCTCTAATGGGCACCAAAATTCCTGTGGTGAGAAATTTCCTCCAAAGACAAACAGGAATGCTCTCTTGTTCACTGCCATATCTCAAGAATATAGCACAATACCTGACACTGAAAAGATCAATAAATATATGTGAAATGAGAGGAAAAAAAGTACCTAACCAGTGCTGAGAATAGATCATCTTTCTATACTAAAGACAAAATTACTTAAGTGTATGCTCAAAGGATAAGGTGCTTTTCAAATAAGACCAACTCCCTGCCTCCTATATTCAGTTTCTAAGGAGGTCACCAGGCACAATAAGGAGGCCTAAAGCAGGAGAAGGGGCAATAGATACAGCGTTGGAAGATCTAAAATCCTGGCATGCTATGCCACTTATTATGCACATAACTTTAGAAAAGTCACTTTCTTGGGAACTTACCTTAAGGTGTGAAGTGAAGCAGAAAGAGAAAGGGCTTTGAAATTAGCCAGATGTAGGTGTGAAGCCTGGATTCACTACACAACAGCTGTATGTCTTAAACAATTAACCTCTCTGAGCCTTATCTGTGAAATGGGGGTAATAACCTCAGAGGGCTACTGAGAGGAAAATTACTAGCACAAAAATGGGCATATAGTAAGCAGTCAAATAACAGTTCCTTGATCTTTATTATTTTCTTCCTTCTACTAAGTTTGGGTTTAGTTTGCTGTTTTTCTAGTTTTGTTTTGTTAAATAATAGAGACAGGGTCTCACTATGTTGCCGGTTTGGTTTTGAACTCCTGGGCTCCTGCCTAGGCCTCCCAAAGTGCTGGGATTACACGTGTGAGTCACCATGCCCCAGTCTTCTTCTAGTTCTTTAAGTTGTAAAGTTAGATTCTTGATTTGAAATTAGTAACAGAATATATTAACAATTCCAAAACTGAACAAGAGAAACAACCCAAATCAAAACTGGGCAAAGAACTTGAATAGACATTTCTCCAAAGAAGATATACAAATGGCCAAATAAACACATGAAAAGAGGCTCAACATCACTAATCATTACAGAAATGCAAATCAAAACTACAATGAGACACCATCTCATACTCGTTAAGATGGCTACTATCAAAAAACAGAAAACAAGTGTTGGCGAGGATGTAGAGAAATTAGAATCTTTGTGACCTGCTGGTGGGGATGTAAAACAGCAAAGCCACTGTGGAAAACAGTATGATGGAAATCGCTTCTGGGCCTTTTGGCTAAGATCAAGTGTAGGAAAACAGTATGGTGGCTCCTCAAAAAATTAATAATAGAATTACATATGATCCAGCAATTCCACTTTTGGGTATATACTCAAAAAAATTTAAAGCAGGGTCTTGAAGAAATATTTGGACAAATATGTTCATAGCAGCATTATTCACAACAGCTAAAATGTGGAAGCAATGCAAGTATCCATTGGCAAATGAAAAGATAAGCAAAATATGGTATATACACATAATGGAATATTATTTAGCCTTAAAAAAGAAGGAAATTCTGACATAGCCTAACACATGGATAAACCTAGAGGATATTATGCTAAGTGAAAAAAGCCAGGCACAAAAAGACAAATACTTTATAATTCCACTTATATGAGGTACTTAGAGCAGTTGAAATCACGGAGACAAAATGTAGAATGAGACCGGGCACAGTGGCTCACATCTGTAATCCCAACACCTTGGGAGGCCAAGGCAGGCAGATCACCCTACGTCAGGAAGTTTGAGACCAGACTGACCAACATGGCAAAACCCTGTCTCTACCAAAAATACAAAAATTAGGCAGGCATGGTGGTGCACGCCTATAGTCCCAGCTACTCGGGAGGCCGAGGCAGGAGAATCACTTGAACACAGGAGGCAGAAGTTGCAGTGAGCTGAGATCACGCCACTGCACTCCAGCCTGGGTGACAGAGTGAGACTCTGTGTCAAAAAATGAAAAAAAAAAAAAGGTAGATGGTGGTTGCCAGGGGCTGGAGGTGGGGGTGATGGAGGATTACTGTTTAATGGGGAAAGAGTTTCAGTTTTACAAGATGAAAAGAGTTCTGGAGATGGATGGTGGTGATGGCTGCATAACAATATGAATGTACTTAACACACATGAACTGCACACTTAAAATGGTTAAGATAATAAATTTTAATTGTTACCACAATTAAGAAATGATTAGCCAGGCATGGTGGCACATGCCTATAGTTCCAGCTACTTAGGAGGCTGAGGTGAGAGGATTGCATAAGCCTGGGAGGTGGAGGTTTCAGTGAACCATGATAGCACCACTGCACTCCAGCCTGGAGTGAGACCTTGTTAGGAAAAAAAAGGGAAAAAAGGGGGGGAAAAGAAAATAAATGTAAATGAAAAAAAAAAAAAAGCAGATAAGAGAGCATCTGACCTAGTGACATTCCTTATCCATTTGGATACTTTACTCAAGTTCTTTTACTTTCTGAAATAATCCCTTAGCACTCCTTCTACTATGACACATAAATGATCTCCTTCACACCTGAGCTAAAAACAGAATTACCTCCAGGGAAGCCTTCTCTAATAATTGTTTCTTCTGACCATTAAAACTGTCTTGGTTCAGGCTTTCATCACCTTTCCCCAAACTTACAGTCTTCTAATTGGTCACTCTAACTCCAGTCCATCCAATTCCTTTATCCTCCATACTTCCCCTCAGAGTGACATTTCTAAAACAAAAACTGACAAGGTAGAATACAAGGCCCTTTAGAATCAGATGCCTTCCAAATCTTCTGGTCTTATCTCTTGATGAGCTCCCAACCTAAAATCTGCACCAGCCAAACTAGCTGCATTTCTTCTAATGTGATAGCCTGTCTCACATCTCCATGCCCATGTTCACGGTTGCTCACAACTAAAATGTCTTTCCCCCTGTCTTCCAACTGGCCAAAATCTATTTCTAGGACTTTTCTCAAGCATCGCTACCACTCTATAATGCATTTCTGGATCCCTGCTTCCAATAATTAATCGCCCCCTTCTTTGAGGCCATATCATAACCTACCCCAGATTTCATAAGACCTGAAACACTGTATTGTTATTAATTCATTTCTTATTTACTCAAGACTCAGATCAGGGATTACATCATCTACATCTCTATTACCAACATGAAGCACAAAGCCTGGCACAGAGTAAGTATTCAGACATGCTGAGCAAATGAAAAAATAAGCAAATGGAAAACTTTAGCACTTACTATCTACATACTACATATATGGTCTGCCGACTACACTGCTAGCCCCTAAAGGACAAAGAACATATCTCACAGCTCTGCATCCTCCATAGCTACTAGCACAGTAGCATAAGTGAAGAATCAATCATGTGAAATAAGTTCAGATACTAATGCCTGATCACAAAAAAAAAGTAGGAAAAAGCAGAAGCCAGAGTAGTTTTATCCACTAAAATATTAACATAAAATACCACATTTCTGGATAGAACAGAAGAAAGGGTAAAAAACACTATGGTCAACAATCTAGAACTGGGTCCATCTGGCATCCCTCCTCATTTCCTTAGGAGCTAGGGTCCACTTGATTAATGCATGCAGCATGGACTGGTTAAAGTGCTTGAGATCTGACATCAGAACACCTGAGTTAAATTTTGCTTTTAGACATGACAAAAGATTATGTTTTTTAAGAGTCTTCGCCACATTTATGCAGCCAACAGACACATGAAAAAATGCTCACCATCACTGGTCATCAGAGAAATGCAAATCAAAACCACAATGAGATACCATCTCACATCAGTTAGAATGGCAATCATTAAAAAGTCAGGCAACAACAGATGCTGGAGAGGATGTGGAGAAATAGGAACACTTTTACACTGTTGGGAGTGTAAATTAGTTCAACCATTGTGGAAGAGAGTGCGGCAATTCCTCAAGGATCTAGAACTAGAAATACCATTTGACCCAGCAATCCCATTACTGGGTATATACCCAAAGGATTATAAATCATGCTACTATAAAGATACATGTGCACGTATGTTTATTGCGGCACTATTCACAAGAGCAAAGACTTGGAAGTAACCCAAATGTCCACCAACGATAGACTGGATTAAGAAAATGTGGCACATATACACCATGGAATACTATGCAGCCATAAAAAAGGATGCGTTCATGTCCTTCGCAGGGAAATGGATGAAGCTGAAAACCATCCTTCTCAGCAAACTATCACAAGGACAGAAAACCAAACACCGCATGTTCTCACTCATAGGTGGGAATTGAACAGTGAGAACACTTGGACACAGGGCGGGAAACATCACACACCGGGGCCTGTTGGGGAGTGGGGGGCTGGGGGAGGGATAGCATTAGGAGAAATACCTAAAGTAAATGATGAGTTAATGGGTGCAGCAAGCCAACATGGCACATGTATACACATGTAACAAACCTGCACGTTGTGCACATGTGCCCTAGAACCTAAAGTATAATAATAAAAAAAGAGTCTTCACCACTTAAAGATATAAATCAAAATTTATGATTAAAATAATATGATGCCAGGAATTTATTTTCATAAGAATCTGGTGGAGAAGGTGAGGGTAAAGAAGTAGAAGTGGATTGGGGAAGAGGGAAAATGAAACAAGTTTGGCCACAAAATGATAATTTTTGAAGCCAGGTAATGGGTACATGGGAATTAATTAAACTATTCTCTTTACTTACATAGTATATATCTGAAATGTTCCATAACAAAAGGTTTTTTAAAAAAAAAACCCAAGTTCAAATCCATACCTTCCATTTACTAGCTGGGTGACCTTGGATACTAAACAGCTCTAAGCTTAGTTCCATATCTGGAATTTAGAGATAACAATGGTGCTGTCACCAGGATTAAATAAAATATTACATATGGAAAGTGCTTTCAAACTCTAACAAGCAATATAATGTTAACTGCTCTAAGAAGTATTATTATAGATGATTATTGGTAACAGATCTTTAATATAATAATAATGGTAGATATTGCTAAGAAAAAGACTAACGGAAAATAGATCACTGAGAGATCGAAAACTTCTTGAGAACAGAAATCCTGATTTTGGTCAGATGTGGTAGCTCACGTCTGTAATCCCAATCCTTTGGGAGGGCCAAGCAGGAGGGTTGCTTGAGCTCAGGAATTCGCGACCAGCCTGGGCAACACAGAGAGACTCCATCTCTACAAAAAAAATTAAAAAGAAAAAATTAGCCGGGAGTGGTGGCATGTGCCTGTGGTCCCAGCTCCTCAGGAGGCTGAGGTGGGAGGATGGCTTGAGCCTGGGAGTCCAGACTTCAGTGGGCAGTGATCACGCCATTGCACTCTAGATTGGGCAACAGAGCAACACTCAAAAAGATGCCAGGCACAGTGGTTCATGCCTGTAATCCCAGCACTTTGGGAGGCTGAGGTAGGTGAATCGCTTGAGCCCAGGAGTTTGAGACCAACCTTGGTAACATGGTGAAACCTCATCTCTATCAAAAATATAAAAATTAGCCAGTCTCATAACCCAGTCTCTAGATAGATAGATACGATTTTTTAAAAAATTTTTTAAAGAAAAGAACAACAAAAAAAGAAAGCCTGATTTTATTCACGTAAAACATAAGTGAAACATTTATAATGTCCCTTCAATGTTCCTAGGAACCTGCCAGGCACTGGGATAGAGACTAATGGATCTGCAGCCTCTGAATTTACGGAGCTCAAAGTCTGAAGGAGATAGACACATATGGCAAACAATTGCAACGCATAAGACTTAACAATTGTGCTAATGGACACCGTCCAGTGCCCAGAACAAAGTCTGATATATATTTGTTGAGTAAAATGTATCACAAAAGCATCAATTAATTCATTTATTCATTCAACAAATATTTATTTTACCAGGCACTGTTCTTGATTCTGTAGAAACAACAATTAAAAAACATAAAAATCCCTGCTCAAGGGAAGCTTATGTTCCTGCATGGGGAAATGGACAAGGAACATAATTAACAAGAAATTATACAGAATATTAGAAGATGGTAATTACTATGGAGAAAACAAAATCAAGGAAGGGGACTAGGAAGTGCGGGGTGGGGATAGGCAGTTTCGATATGAAACAGAAGGGTAAAGGAAGACCTCAATGTAACGGTGACATTTGCATGCTGATAGCTGCAATATGAAGTACAAGTCACCATTTATAACATAGTCTTAAAATTGTCAAAAATATGCTTAACTTAAATCTAACAAAGCCTATAGATCTAACTTTCAGTTCATAGTAAATACAGAGAACAGAGGAACAAGTTAATCCTTAAAGAAGTAAATGAATTCAGAAAACAAGACATTTTACAAAAGAACTGTCTCAGTTTCTTCATCAAATCAATGTCACCAAAATAGTAACTGTTGTAGATTTTTGAAAAGACTGAATGCCATGTGGGGACCTGGTTTGCATTTTGATTTGAATACATCAACTATAAAAAGGTACTGGGAGAACAACTACAGAAATCTAAATATCAACTAATTCTTAGATGACATTAAAGAATTACTTAACTTTATTCATTAGGGTTAGGTGGCTATGTTAAAAAATAAAAAGTCCCTCTACTTTCTCATAGCAGTGAGAAAAAAAAAGAAAACAACAAAAAGGTATCCCTTTTTAATAGATATGTAATGAAATAATTAGAAAAAAATGACATATCTTTTTAAAAATTCAACAAAACAAGGCTGGGCGCGGTGGCTCACACCTGTAATCCCAGCACTTTGGGAGGCCGAGGCAGGTGGATCACCCGAGGTCTGGAATTCGAGACTAGCCTGGCCAACATGGTGAAACCCCATCTCTACTAAAAATACAGAATTAGCTGAGCGTGATGGCGCACTCCTGTAGTCCCAGCTACTTGGGAGGCTGAGGCAGGAGAACTGCTTGAACCCAGGAGTGCTATTACACTCCAGCCTGGGCAACAGAGTGAGACTCATCTCAAAAAAAATAATAACAAAATAAAATAAAATTCAGCGAAAAAATAGAGCAAATTTGGCAAAATACTAATAACTGTTAAATTCTAGGAATGGATATTTGGTAGGTCACTATAGTATTTTATCTACTTTTCCATAAGCTTAACAATTTGGGGGCTGAGTGTGGTGGTTCACACCTGTAATCTCAGCAATTTGGAAGCCCAAGGAGGGTGGATTGCTTGAGCCCAGGAATTCGAGATCAGCCTGTGCAACATAGCAAAGCCCTGTCTCTACAAAAAAAAAAAAAAAATACAAAAATTAGCCAGGCATGCTGCACATGCCTGTAGTCCCAGCTACTCAGAAGGCTGAGGCAGGAGGATCAATTGAGCCTCGGAGGTCGAGGGTACAGTGAGCCGTGATAGCACCACTGCACTCCCGCCTGGGCGAGAAAGCAAGACCCCATCTCAAAAATAATAATAGTAATAATAATAATGATTTTTGGGCTGGGAATGGTAGCTCACGCTTGCAATCCCAGCACTTTGGGAGGCCAGGGTGCATGGATCACTTGAGGTCAGGAGTACAAGACCAGCCTGGCCAACACAGCAAAACCCCACCTCTACTAAAAATACAAAAAAAATTAGCTGGGTGTGGTGTCACACACCTGCGGTCCTAGCCACTCTGGAGGCTGACGCAGGAGAATCACTTAAACCAAAGAGACGGAGGTTGCAGTGAGCCAAGATTGTGCCACCACTATACTCCAGGCTGAGTGACAGACCAAGTCTCAAAAAAAAAAAAAAAAAAAATGCAAAACTTAGCCTGGAGTAGTGGCACGTCTGCAGTCCCACCTACGTGGAAGGCTGAGCCAGGAGAATCACTTAAGCCCAGGAGTTCCAGGCTACAGTGACCTATGATGATGCCACTAAACTCTAGGCTGGGTGACAGTGAGCCTCTGTCTCAAAAACAGTTTTTTTGGCCAGACGCAGTGGCTCACGCCTGTAATCCTAACACTTTGGGAGGCCAAGGTGGCTGCATCACTTAAAGTCAGGAGTTCGAGACCAGCCTGGCCAACATGGCAAAACCCCGTCTCTACTAAAAATACAAAAATTAGCAGGGTGTGGTGGCACGTGCCTGTAATCCCAGCTACTAAGGAGGCTGAGGCAGGAGAATCGCTTGAACCCAGGAGGCAGAGGTTGCAGCGAGCCAAGATTGCACTACTGCACTCCAGCATGGGCAACAGAGCGAGACTCTGTCTCCAAAAAAAAAAAAAAAAAAATGTATTTTTAATTAAAAAAGAGGGCCACTGCAATTAGATATGAGGGCCATGAATTAGGAAAGGAACAGCAGGACCACATTCCAGAGATGAATGGGTCATGATTGATATTTACTCCTCTTTTGTGCTTCCACTGTACTCTGCACATACTGCACTCACAGTAACTTCAGCAGTATGATGCACCTTATCATTGACATGTCTTGTTTCCATCTACTATACACAGTATAACTTTCTGAGGTCAAGATCTGTATCTTTTTTATCTCGGTATCCATAGTACCTAGCACTTGGAAGACACTCAATAAAAGCTTCCTAATGAATACCCTATTTATTTGTAATATTAACCATTCTGCAGACATGATACAACTCCCATGATATACTCCCATCAGATCCTCAAGATTTTCTTACCTTGTAATAATGTTCCAAGAGAATCCTGACTACTCCCTCTACGCTTTCCGCCTCGACAGGCTTCCTGGCAAACTGGAGCAAGTATTGCAAAGCATCTGCTGGGGAGGTAGCTTTACACAGATCTATGTGGAGTGCTGCAGATTTACTTGGTTTTGTTAGTCGGAGTTTCTTAGTAGCAATTTCCTCCTGTGGCTGCAAGGGGTAGAGAAAATCGAAAACACAGAATCTGCAAATTTAACTTTGCCTCATTTGGTGGAAATGATTTTCCATTATACCAAATAATATATTTAGCTGATGGACTTAGGAAAATACAGTATTATAAACCAGAAAGAGTACCGGGTTGGTGACAAGGCCATGAGTCTCAATTTTGCCTTTACCAGTTCCTATGACTTTAGGCAAGTCATTTAATTTCTCCGAGTCTCAGTTTATGTCTCTGTAAAATAGGTATACTTTTTTTTTTTCTTAGAGATGGAGTCTCTCTATGTTGCCCAGGCTGGTCTTAACTCCTGGGCTCAAGCAATCCTGGCACCTCAGCCTCCCAAAGTGCTGGGATTACAAGCATGAGCCACGGTGCCCAGCCTTACACTAACATTTTGCTCTACCTATCTCTGAGGATTGTGGTAGCCTTTGGGTTTAGAGGTCACACAAAGGATCTACTCCATTTTTTTGAGACAGAGCAAGACACTGTCGCCCAGGCAGGAGTGCAATGGTGCAATCTTGGCTTGCTGCAATCTCCACCTCCTAGGTTCAAATGATTCTCTGACTGACACCCAACATGCTGGGATTATAGGTGTGTGCCACCTCCACCTACTACGTTCAAGCGATTCACCTCCCTGACTCCCAACTAGCTGGAATTACAGGTGTGTGCCACCACACATGGCTAATTTTTGTATTTCTAGTAGAGACAGGTTTTGCCATGTTACCCAGGCTGGTTTCGAACTTCTGGCCTCAAGTGATCCCTCTGCTTCAGTCTCCCAAAGTCCATTCTTTATTAGAAAACAAATATCAGACATGGCATGGTGGCTCATGCCTGTAATCCCAGCACTTTGAGAGGCTTAGGCAGGCGGATCACTTGAGGCCAGGAGTTCAAGACCAGCCTGGCCAACATGGCAAAACCCCATCTCTACTAAAAACACAAAAATTAGCTGGGGGTGGTGGTGTATGCCTGCAGTCCCAGCTATGCAGGAGGCTGAGGATTGCGTGAACCCAGGAGGCAGAAGTTGCAGTGAGCTAGGATTGCGCAACTGCACACCAGTTTGGGCGAAAAGAGCGAAACTCCATCTCAAAACAGAAGAAAAGGAAACAAATATCCGATGGGCGTAGTGGCTTACACCTGAAATCCTAGCACTTTGGGAGGCTGAGGCAGGAGGATCCCTTGAGCCCAGGAGTTCGAGACCAGCCTGGGCAACATGGTGAAATCCTGTCTCTGTTAAAAAATAATAATAAAATAAAATAAATTTCCTTACCACCTAATGGTGCGTTTTTATGTACTGAGCAATCACCTCCTTACAAATTCACATTTCTATAGAAAAGAGAGTAGAATTATTCTAGACAAGAACACAGTATGACATGATAAAAAGAATAAGGACTTTGGAGTCAGAGGAATTTGTATTCAATTACAACTTACTAGCTGGGGAAGGCCTTCTTCTATAGGAGGGCATACCAATACTTTATTATCACAGAGCTAGTCGATAAATCTGTTATTAAACATAACTTTATTATACGTATATGTAAGTGCTAGGCACATATCAGTTCTCCCTCCTCATCTTTTCAGCGGAGAAAAAAGAACAGAAGCACTAAGATCTCATTTAATCACTTTATGTTAACAACTGATGAAAAATTAAGTGAAGAAATTAGCTCTTCCCTTAAAATTCTTAGCCATTTCTATCCTAGTCCTCTCAAACTCAGTTTTCAGTCTTATCGAAGCTGTAGTTAGGTCAAAAGCTAGGAATTTTTTCCCTAAGTATTATATAAGGGAGAGGACAAGCAATATCAACTGTCATTCAACCACCAATAACACTTTAGTGAGCCAGGCCCTATTGTCCATCTCCAGGACACGGAGATGAGCCAGGCATTAGCTCTGCCATCAAGGACCTCCGACTGGTGGGAAGATAGGTACACCGGTAATGACAGCAGCACTGAACAAAAAGTACAAATAGATTAGTACCACAGAATGCTACAGAAACAGGTGAAGAAGAGACTAAGCTCTCGCTGAGGTTTCATTTGGGTCTTGAAGCACAAATGTTAAGTCCACTGGGTGGAGAACAAAAAGAAAGGGAAGAATGGCATGTATTCTGTGAGAAGAGACAACCAGTGCAAGAGTTTTGAGATATGCAAACACAAGAACACATGGCATATCTGGTCATGTGAGGATGGGTGGAAGAGGGCTGAGCAGTCTTGGGAAATGGGAACAACAGAATGTTGGGAAGAGAGGAAATCACATTGTGCAACAGTGCTAATGTTCTTAATGCCACTGAACTTTATACTTAAAATTGTTAAAATTGTAAATTTTATATTATGTATTGACATATTTTGTATTTGTATTAACATATTTTAATGCTGGATGAATGAATCCATGTAATGTTTAAGGATCAGTATCCTGCTGGATGCTCTAAGCCTTGCCACTCTACAAGTCTAAGGATCTAAGAATGCAACCAATGCACTGGTGTAAATTTGGGGGCATGTCAGGAATGCAGAATCTTGCCTCACCTCCTCTGCTTGACTTATCAAATAGAATCGACATTTGAACAACGTCCCCAGGTAATTTGTATACACATTAATATCTGAGAAATAGGACATCAGGATGATTTAGGATCAACCCTAGCAACATCTACGTGGAGACACATGGAGCATCACTGACTCCCGACAGGGACTCTGCCCACCTGTCACAACTTCATGGTGAGGAAGGTACTGCCCTCCTTCCTAGGTGAGCTGTTCTACCAATAGAGAGCTCTTCCCCTATGAAGTCTGTGACCCCCGCCTGCTTAGACTGCGCCTGAAGGAATTCTATAGACCCTTCTTTCAGCCCCTTAGAACCTTGTGTATATTCCAACTGGTCCCTGGGAGGTTTTTTTTTGGAACGGGGGTGCGGGGAGGCTAGAAGGGGCTCTGCTGCTAACTGGCTGTATCCTCGTACCCCTCCGGAAGGCTCAATGTCCACATCTGGAAAACGAGGATGCTAATGTAACGCGATGGAGCAAAGTTGTGTGAGAGAATAAAATGAAATAACGGATAAGACAGTTTCGTAAATTAAAAAACACTGTTTCTCCTAATAATTTTTTTAAAATCCTGTCAGACTTCACATATTAATGACAACAGCGGCTGCAAACTAACACGCCCACTAACTTGCAATATCAGAGATTATCAACAAGTCAGCACTTAACACGGGCGTATGGAGCCTCTTCTGTTCCGGCAAAGTGCCTGGGATTTGGATAATCTACCCTGGTCCGGATCGGTTCTGGATCTTTCCCGCCAGAGCTTACCTGAACCACTTTCGTGAATTCCTCATAAACCCGCTTCTTAAGGTGCGCCGCCATGCCTACCCGCGGGCCCTCTCAGCTTCCGTACACTAGGAGGGAGGCGGGGGTGGACGGATCCGGAAAACTTGCGTAGGCGCGGGGGGTGGGTGGATGACTTGCCGAGATCCCACAAGGCAGTGGGATTTGGGGAAAGAGCGACCGCTTCCTGTTGCTCGACTGCCTCGCCACTGTACGGACTGATTTGGCGGCCTACGCCGGAAGAACGGAAATAAGAGCTTCGCTTGTGGGAGGCGGGGCCTCTGGCGGGAGGAGCTGAGACTGAAAGGGTGGGCAACCCAATGGGAGCTTTGGGAGGCTGGTTGGTGGCCTCGGAGTGGCTAAGAGACTAGCGCGGCGCGGCGCGAAGGGAGGGAGGGAGGAAGTACAGGTTAAAGGGCAGAGGCGGGGTGCTCCAGAGCTAGAGGCAAAACCCGGAGCTCTGTAAGGGGTTTACGACTCGTGAAAAAACTCAGAGGCTCGGCTGACTTTCCCATCATCCTTTGCTGTACACGATGCTGTTTGTAGGTTTCCTGAGCACTGCCTTTGTTCAAGCTGTGCGCCACCTCTCTTGTTTTGGGGTGCCTTTCCATACTTCCTTATTCCAGTTTTGCAAAAGCTGCCATCCTTTAAGGCATCAATCCCTGCTCTGATAGCTATAGTACAGTAGAAGACTTCTGAGACCAAGGATAAAGCAACAAAGCTACAGACTACAGCTCTGGTTCTTGAGCAAATGGCTCAACTACAAATGCATTTATAATAACTAACCTGACAAAGATGTGACAATGGAGTGAAATAATGCAGGAACATTTTACGGACTGTAAGGTGTAGTGCACATGTTAGTGTCAGTAAATCCAAGGTCAAGTTTTACAACCTACATGAAACTAGCTGTTCATTATTTTGGTCTTTCAAAAGAATGTGGGCCAGGCGCGGTGGCTCATGCCTGTAATCCCAATACTTTGGCAGGCCGAGGCGGATGGATCACTTGAGGTCAGGAGTTCGAGACCAGCCTGGCCAACATGGGGAAACCCCGTCTCTACTAAAAATACAAAAATTAGTCGGGGCATGGTGGCACACGCCTGTAATCCCAGTTTCTTGGGAGGTTGAGGCAGAAGAATCACTTGAACATGGGAAGCGGAGGTTGCAGTGAGCCGAGATCGCGCCACTGCACTCCAGCCTGGGCGACTGAGCGAGACTCCGTTATCAAAAAAAAAAAAAAAGAATTAATGTGGGATAGTTTAAAAAAAAAAAAGCAGGAGGCTGAGGTGGATACAGAGGACCCAAAAATAAACAAAAGATAGTATTTATCCTCAAGGTCCTACAATCTGAGAAGACAGACACCCAAACTGATGGTGACAGTGCAACTGAAATGTGCTGGGTAACGGGAATGAATGTGGTTCAAACAGACCTAATTTCTTCAGAGTGCCTCAGGGAAGGCTTTCCTAAAATTAGAGGAAACTGGGAGTGGTGGCTCACGCCTATAATCCCAGCACTTTGAGAGGCCGAGGCGGGCAGATCACCTAGTTCAGAAGTTTTGAGACCAGCCTGGGCAACATGGCGAAATCTACTTTAAAAATACAAAATTTAGCTGGGCATGATGGTGGCCCACGCCTGAAGTCCCAGCTACTCTGGAGGCTGAGGCGGGAAAATCGCTTGGGCCTGGGATGTGGAGGTTGCAGTGAGCCGAGATCCAGCCACTGCACTCCAGCCTGGGCAACGGAGTGAGACCCTGTCTCCAAAAAAAAAAAAAAAAAAAAAAAAGGCTGGGCGCGGTGGCTCACCCCTATAATCCCAACACTTTGGGAGGCCGAGGCAGGCGGATCACCTGAGGTCGGGAGTTCGAGACCAGCCTGGCCAACATGGTGAAACCCCGTCTCTCCTAAAAATACAAAAACTAGCCGGGCGTCGGGGTGGGTGACTGTAATCCTAGCTACACGGGAGGCTGAAGCAGGAGAATCGTTTGAACCCAGGTGGCAGCGGCTGCAGTGCGCCGAGATCGGGCCTCTGTACTCCAGCCTGAGCAACAGAGCGAGACTCTGTCTCAAGAAAAAAAAAAGAAAAAAAAAGGAAACTATTTCTAATGCAGCTTTAAAAGAATGAGTTTTTCCAGAAACAAAGGCATCCCAGACCGCCGAGATAAGATATACAAATATGTCAAGGGAAATGAAAAACATTTAGCAAACAGTACCTTTAATAAAGCTTAGCTGCTATTATTACCATTATCATATTCTATCAAATCTAAGCTGCCAGCAATTGTAAAATCAATATTTTATTTATTATGTTAAGAAAAGAAATGCTGAAATTAAATACAATGGTTTCTAATTGCTTAGATTTGTTATGTATACTTACAGAAACAGCTCTTTTTAACTTATTTAGACATAGATTTGTATCTTACCTCGCACTGCTGTTTCCATGTCTTCCTGTGCACATAAGAACTTTTTAATGCCAAATTATAGGGTAATCTATTTGGAGATATATTTAATAGTAATTTAAAATAACACATGTAATTCCAAAATTGCACAGAGCTCAGTCGAAGCGATGACACCATGAACTGCTACGACTCAGTATACATATGAGCGATTGGCCAACATCTCCTGATTTCGGAGACATTAAATGTGCATCATAGCATCAATGATACAGAGTATTATCATCGTTATTAAATACATGGCGGCCAGGTGCGGTGGCTCACACCTGTAATCCCAGCACTTTGGAAGACCAAGGTGAGAGGATAGCTTGAGCTCAGGAGTTGGAGACCAGCCTGGGCAACATGGTGAAAACCTATCTCTACCAAAAATACAAAAAATTAGCTGGGCGTGGTGGCATATGCCTGTAGTGCCAGCTACTCGGGAGGCTGAGGTAGGAAGATTGCTTGAGCCCGCTTGGCAGAGATTGCAGTAGCTGAGATCGCACCACTGCACTCCAGCCTGGGTGACAGAATGAGACCCTGTCTCAAAATAATAAATAAATAAATAAATAAATAAATAAATGGCTTTAGGAAGGAGTTTGGTGCATTCCGAAAACCAAAGGAACTTCAGTTCATGTTGAAAGTTAAGTGCATGCAGGGAACAGAAGAAGCAATAAAAATAAAGTTGAGGCCAGGCATGGTGCCTCATGCCTGTAATCCCAGTACTTTGGGAGGTGGTAGGTGGGAGGATCCCTTGAGCTCAGGAGTTCCAGACCAGTCAGTGCAACAGAAAGAGACCCTGTCTCTATATTTTAAAAAAAAAAAATTTATATGGAGTTTATCTCTGTCACCCAGGCTGCAGTGCAGTGGCACAATCGTGGCTCCCTGTAGCCTCGATCTCTGAGGTTCAAGCGATTCTCCTGCCTCAGCCTCATGAGTAGCTGAGATTACAGGCATGCGCCACCACACCCAGCTAATCTTTTTGCATTTTTAGTAGAGACAGGGTCTCACCATGTTGCCGAGGCTGGTCTCAAACTCCTGACCTCAAGTGATCTGCCCACCTCGGCCTCCCAAAGTGCTGGGATTACAGGCATGAGCCACCACGCCTGGCTATATAAATTTTTTTTAAATTATAAATAAATAAATTTGAGAAGTTGGTATAGCCAACTTCTCAATGAGCCAGATTGGTATAGAAACAAGAACACACATTCTTTAATGTTGAATTGAAAAACCGTCTTTATTGTATTGATGCCATTTTCCTTTGACTTTTATTATTACTTATGAAAATACATTAAGGTTCACCTGTGAATGAATCCGTGAGGCTTCAGTCTTCTCTCTCTCTTGCATAACAGCAGCCCAACTTAGTAACTTCTTCTCTACCTGCTGGTTCAGAACAAGAGCCCCAGTGGTCTGGGGACAGTCTCATTACATGTCCAATGTAATGAACAATGACTATGTTCTCTAGGGCAACTGTTCCTCCCTTGGGGAGTAAGTCTTCCAAACCTACTGAGCCCAAGAATTCATAAATGAATTATTAGGTGTAAAAGAGAGAGGAACTGCTCCTATCTCCACCCTTTGATAACCAGACCCATGTTCTAACTGTGGGAGAAGCAGTACTATATTTTAGCTGTTGGTATAAGGCATATGCCACAAACAGCGGCCCAAACTCACAATGTGTTGGCTCTTGACTAGCGCTATAACTGAATCTCCAAAAGGTTATTATTCTGCTTTATTATAGCACCTACATCTGAATGATGGGGTTCCTGGCAAGACCAAGAAGTTTCTTCACTACAATTTTCTCAGCATAAAATAAGCTCCTTAATCAGAAGCAATGTGTGGAGTACTATGATAATGAATGAGGCATCCATAGATGATGGAGCTGGCAGAAATATTGCAGGCAGGGAAGTCAAATCTGAATTTGGAATATGAATCTATTCCTGTGAGGACAAATCACTGCTCCTTCCATGATGGAAAGGATCCAGTGTGTAGTTGAATGATTGCAAAAAAAGCCCCAAATCTCCCCCTCTCGGTATGTATACCCCTTGAAGTGTGACTTTGAAGGTGCTTTTATTAAGAGATGAAATCTATATTATCACCCTTTGAATTTGTGCTGGCCTTGTGACAGGCCAATACAATGTGGTAGAAGTGACAGCGTGCTAATTTTGAGTCTAAGCCTCAAGGTCCACCCACATACAATTTCCCAGACCTTTTGTTTGATTTTGGACCCCCACCATTGCCATGACAGCAAATCCAACCTGGCCTGCTGAAGAGTGAGTGACCACATGGAACACAGGCAAATTGACCCACCTGAAGCCATCTGAGACCGGCTCCGCCCCAGCTAATCCACCAGCTGACTACAGATGTATGCGTGATCTCAGCTGAGACCAGAACTGCCCAATCTGTAGGCCTGTGAGAAATAATTAATAGCTGTAGTCTTAAGTCATTACATTTGGGGGTAGGAAATTGTCACACAGTCAGGCACTCCCTAAGCGCTAAGTTAAGTTGCCACACTTCATCTGGTAAGGAGACAACAAGCCCAAATGATTTAGGCAGTTGATTATTCACAGCATAGCAGGTGGCATGAACTCCAAATTTGTTTCAGTTCTCCTTGCCAACCAAGCACCATGGCAGTTATACAGGTGAATGCCATGCACACAATAGATCTGTAACAGCTGAGAACACTGAGCTTAGGAACTTCCCATTCTTGAAAGAGGACTGCTGAGAAACTTGTCCTCTGGAGGCAGACTTTATTATACTGGTCAGGAAACAAATCTGCCTTCCACCCCATGGGGGACATTTTTTTTTATCACTCTGAAATGTTTCCAGGATTTGAGGACCATATTAGCTTTATTACCCTGGAATATAAGTAAATCTGCTCCCTGCTCCTAAGCAGCTTTGCAAACATCCTCAAACAAAGCTGTTGATGCCATTTGCTCAGAAACACCAGAATTTTTCCCAGCAGTTTGCTAACTGATTTGCAGTGCAATAAACCTCCCACCAAGAAGTGCCTGGTACCCTCTGAGAATAATACCATATCAGGGGCTTAGTGTTGGTCTCTCTCTACTATTGGCAGGTTGGACATACATCAGTGGCTAGATTAGCTTTGGTGAGAGGAAGTCTGTACTGTGCAGCCCATGAATAGCCTCTATCCCTGCCATTATGGCAGGGATTTTTGTTCATGTCTCCATCGAGCAAGCACTGAGCTGCTGGGGAAAGAGGCTGGCTGACATCCACAGGTTGGATCATTGTGCCCTTGATTTTTGAGACCCTCTTCTAGAATGGGTGCCCTCTGGTGGACATTCACAAGGAGCACAGACATTTACACCTATACCAGTTTCCCAGGCTTTCTTATCACCCATCTTCCACTCTTGAACTTGCCAAGTCTCTGGCCAACCAGGAATGGGCCCTGGGTATGCAGAAGGACCTAACAATCAGCCTCCCAGGACACTAAGCACAGCAGTAAAGAGCAGATAATGAGTGGGGGTTGGGAGAAGGCAGCAGAAGATGAGGGAAATAAGTAGAGAATTAAAAACAAACAAATAACAACAACAACAAAAACAGGTACCCTAAGAGAAAAAAATGTAGAACTGAAAACCTGATGCAGTGCTATGAACTGGGATATCTTCATGAGGGTAATCTACAAAGGTTTACATCTTTCTTTGTGTTTTTCCTTTAGATTATGTTGACAGTTACGTTTAGCATACGGTTTTAAGATTTTCTCTTCTGACTCTATAATTTTCTTTGGTTAGTCCCAACAGATCTAAGAAGTTTCATATATTCATACAAATGAAGCAGAGATTGCCTTTTGAACATGATTACTATCATTGCTATTTTGGGTTTTGTTGTTGTTGTTGTTGTTGTTGTTGTTTGAGACAGAGTCTTGCTCTTGTTGCCCTGGCTGGAGTGCAATGGTGCAATCTCAGCCACTGCAACCTCCGCCTCCCGGGTTCAAGAGATTCCCCTACCTCAGCCTCCAGAGTAGCTGGGATTACAGATGCCTGCCACCACACCTGGCTAATGTTTGTATTTTTAGTAGAGACAAGATTTCACTATGTTGGCCAGGCTGGTCTCAAAACTCCTGACTTCAAGTGATCCACCCGCTTCGGCCTCCGAAAGTGCTGGGATTACAGGCGTGAGCCATTGCACCTGGCCTGCTATTTTGGCCTTTCTGTTAGGAAAGAGGAAGGGAGGAGATAGTATTAATGAGTAGGCAACCAACAATGTTCTTGTAATTCATGTACTTGTAATTTTTGTGTATATGAGACAGGGTCTCGCTCTGTTGCCCAGGCTGGAGTGCAGTGACATGATCATGGCTTGCTGCAGTCTTGACCTTCCAGGCTCAAGTGATCCTCCCACCTCAGCATCCTGAAAAGCTAGGACAGCAGGCTTGTGCCACCACACCCGGCTAATTGTTTTATTTGTTTGTTTGTTTGTTTGTTTTTTGTAGAGGCAGGGTCTCACCATGTTGCCCAGGTTGGTTTTAAACTCCTGCCCTCAAGTGATCCTCCTGCCTTGGCCTCCCAAAGTGCTAGGATTACAGGTGTGAGCCACTGTGCCTAATTTATATCTTTTTTTTTTTTTTTTCGAGATGGAGCTTCGCTCTTGTCACTCAGGCTGGCGTGCAATAGCACCATCTCTGCTCACTGCAACCTCCACCTCCCGGGTTCAAGCTATTCTGCCTCAGCCTCCCAAATAGCTGGGATTACAGGCACCTGCCACCATGCCCGGCTAATTTTGTATTTTTAGCAGAGATGGGGTTTCACCATGTTGGCCAGGCTGGTCACAAACTCCTGACCTCAGGTGATCCGCCCGCCATGGCCTCGAAAAGTGCTGGGATTATAAGCATTAGCCACCGTGCCTGGCCTTATGTTTATATCTTTTTGGATATTTCTTTTTTGTACAGTCTTGTAAGTCCCACTACCTTAAATCTTTTTTGGAGCAAATATTTAATTAAATTACATTGAATTAAATGAGCATTCTCCTCACCTTAATTTTAAGCCATCCATAAATGTAATTTTAATAGCAGCAAAACATTACATTATACAGACATAATATAATGACTTAAAACTATTTATTGCTTCTCAGAATAGGGTATTAAAAGAAAAAATACTGCTTATTTCCAAAAGTTTTGCTATCGTGAGATAAAAATGTTTTGTTTTTTGTTTTGTTTTGTTTTGTTTTTTGAGACAGAGTCTTGCTCTGTCGCTCAGGATGGAGTGGCATGGTGCAATCTTGGCTCACTGTAACCTCTGCCTCCCTGTAACCTCTGCCTCCTAGGTTCATGGAATTCTCCTGCCTCAGCCTAACAAGTAACTGAGATTACAGGTGTGCACCCCCATGCCCGACTAATTTTTGTATTTTTAGTAGAGACAGGGTTTCACCATGTTGGCCAGGCTGGTCAAATGAACTTGTAACCTCAGGTGATCCACCTGTCTTGGCCTCATAAAGTGCTGGGATTACATAGGTGTGAGCACAGCGCCCAGTCAATAGTACGTTATCTTAACTGTATTATGGATTGAGAGTTGGGGAGGTATTGGAATTGCCTTTGTTTAATAAAATAGTTTGGAAGTTGCTTAGGAGGAGAGTCATTATCTTAAGAACATGCATGCAATCTAGAACCAAGCAACAAAGGAGGTAGCTAAACTGGAGCATGGTCTTCTCTTTGCAAATAGAAGGAACACGAGAGGGCTCATGGAGAATTGTCGTGTTTCTAAAGCCTTGGTTTGGAACTGGCACACTGTCATTTCCACACATATTCCATTGGCTGGCATAAGTTAGTGAGGCAGGGAAGAATAGTCCCACCCACGGTGGAGCATGGCAAGAAAATGGAAAGAAGAGAGAATAGTTAACAAATACAATCTACTAGTAAAAAGTCCCCAGTGATGGGATGATTTGCACACTATTAAGAATAAATATGTCCAATAGTCAATTGGGAGTTGTGGTTCTGTATTATAAATCCTCTCGCCTTAATTGCCTATATTTTCCACCATCAGCTGTGTGCACAAATAGGTTAGGGAGTGGCATTTATAAAAAAAAAATTAAAGACCTGTATGTTAAATCTGGTGAACATTGTGTAGAACAGCAACAATGGGTTTAAGACACACAGATGAGGAGAAGAAGTGGAAGACCAGAACAGACCTTGAGAACACAAGCACTCCAGGAATGTGCAGAAAACTTAGGGAGGACATTACCTTTCCTCAACTCATGAAACTGAGATGTTAAGCAATCCTGTTTAGATCTTAAGGAGCAGGATGTCTCCAGTGAAAATGCAGGTGACAAAAATATCTGAATCTCTTAAGTACTGCCTTGAAATCTAATCTCATAGGAGTAATTACTGATCAAAGTATGGACTCTTTTCCCCAGGCTCTTGATAATGTTGAATTTCTTCATGATGAAAAGATTAAGTAGACATTCAAGAATGTCCACCCTAAATTGTCAGCCATATTAAAACCAAGAAAGGAAACCATAGACCAACCTTGAAAATAAGAAAAAAATATACAAACAGATGTGATTCCTGAATTATAATGCTCTTTGAAAATGACTGTTCTGAACAATTTTGTGGTTGAATTTAAAACTCCATACGTATTAATTCCTTAAACTTCAAAAGTTAACAATACTGTAAATAGGTAAACAGTTGTCTCTGATGTCAAGTCAAACAATATTTTAAGTCTGACAAGAAAGATAGGTAACTGCCAAAGTAAATATCTCAAGCAGCTATGGATCATGACAGGCTTTATTATATATACAGTACTTATAAAATCACAAGCTGTGGCCAGGCACGGTGGCTCACACCTGTAATCCCAGCACTTGGGGAGGCCAAGGCGGGAGGAGTGCTTGAGGCTGGGAGTTCGAGACCAGCTTGAGCAACATGGTGAAACCACTTCTCTACAAAATATATAAAAATTAGCCAGGTGTGGTGGCGTATACCTGTGGTCCTGGCTACTTGGGCTGCTGAGGCAGAAAAATCACCTTGAGCCCAGGGAGGTTGAGGCTTTGGTGAGCCATGATCGCACCGCTGTACTTCATCCTAGGTGACAGAGTGAGACTCTGTCTCAAAAGAAAACAAGCTAAAAAAACCAAAAAACAGAAAACTAAACCTTTGGACCTCATAGTAAAATGAAAAATTGAAAAAGAAATTCTGAAACAGTCACAAGGGAACTTTTTTTTTTTCTGAGACAGAGTCTAGCTCTGTCGCCTAGGTTGGAGTGCAATGGCATGATCTCGGCTCACTGAAACCTCTGCCTCCTGGGTTCAAGCAATTCTCCTGCCTCAGCCTCCTGAGTAGCTGGGATTACAGGCACGCACCACCACACCCAGCTAATTTTTGTATTTTTAGTAGAGATGGGGTTTCACTGTGTTTCCCAGGCTGGTCTCGAACTCCTGACCTCGTGATCCACCTGCCTCGGCCTCCCAAAGTACTGGGATTACAAGCGTGAGCCACCATGCCCGGCACAAGGGAACTTTATGTATGCTATCATCCATCTCACGTGGCTTCAGTTTAAACATTTGCTCTACAAAAAGATGGGCATAGTGGCTGCTCTCTCTGTTTAAAGATGTGAAGGATGTACAGCCCTGATACTTCCCAGAAGGGTCTGTAAGAGACACCGTGACTTTGGCCTTGCCCTTGCCCTACATTGCTTTTAGCCTTGAAATTTTGACTCAGCAATATCAGAGCCCTAAAATGTGCTGGATATTTTCAAATATGTTACTTGATTTTACTCTCTGTATTAGTTTCCTGAGGCTGCCAACCACAAACTTGGTAGCTTAAAACAGCAAACATTTATTGTCTCACAGTTCTGGAGGCTAGAAGTCCAAAATTCACTTATTGGCAGAACTGTCCTCTCTCTGGAGGCACTAGGAGAGAATCTGTACCTTGCCTCTTCCAGCTTCTGGCTGCTGCCACAGCATTCCTGAGCTTGTGGTCATTTTTATTTATTTAATTTTTTAATTTTTTGAGGCAGGGTCTCACTCTATCTCCCAGCCTGAGTGCAGTGTGATCATGGCTCACTGCAGCCTCGAACTTCCAGGCTAATGCAATCCTCCCACCTCAGCCTGCCAAGTAGCTGGGACTACAGCTGTGCGCCACCATGCCTTGCTATTTATTTATTAATAGAGATGGGATCTCGCTATGTTGCTTAGGCTGGTCTCGAATTCCTGGATGCAAGTGATCCTCCCCCTCAGCCTCCCACAGTGTTGGGATACAGGTGTGAGCCACTGTACCTGGCCTCTTATAAGGATTTATAAGGAAAGATTGTCTCTGGATTTAGGATCCACCCAGATAATACAGGAGAATCTCCTCATCTTCAAATCTTTAACTTAATTACGTCTGCAAAAATTCTTTTTCCAAATAAGGTAACATCTATAGATTCTGGGGATTATGAGGTGGACATAGCATTTGGGGGACCACCATTCAACCCACTGCACTCTCACAACCTTGTGGAGCAGATCCCCTTTCAAGAACTCCCCCAGAGTTTCTTGCTTAAGAACACTGTAATAGATGAGCTGCCATTCAAAGTAAGGTCTCGGACAGTCGCAGTGGCTCACACCTGTAATCCCGGCACTTTGGGAGGCTGAGGCAGGTGGATCACTTGAGGTCAGGAGTTCGAGACCAGCCTGGCGAACACGGTGAAACCCGTCTCTACTAAAAATACAAAAAAAAAAAAAAAAAAATTAGCCGGGCATGGTGACAAGCGCCTGTAATCCCAGCTACTCGGGAGGCTGAGGCATGAGAATCGCTTGAATCTGAGAGGTGGAAGTTGCAGTGAGCGGAGATCGTGCCACTGCACTCCAGCCTGAGTGACAGAGCGAGACTCCGTCTCACAAAAAAACAAAGTAGGGTCTCTGGTCGAATTCCAGTGCTCCTTCAATTATGCCACACCTTGTTGACATCGCCATAGAACAGTAATAATACGGACATACCTCATTTTATTGCATTTGCTTTATTGTGCTTCACAGATATTGCCTATTTTATAAATGGAAAGTTTGTGGCAACTGTGTTTTGAGCAAGTCTACAGGTGCCGTTGTTCCAGTAGCATATGCTCGCTTGAAGTCTCTGTGTCACATTTTGGTAGTTTTCACAATATTTCAACCCTTTTCATTATTTTATATCTGTTATGGTGATCCGTGATCAGTGATTTTTGATGTCCCTATTCTAATTATTTGGGGCCACCACAAACAACATCCATATAAGACGGAAAACACAATAAATAAATGTGTGTGTTCTGACTGTCCCACTGACTGGCAATGCCCTGTCTCCCTCCCTCTCTTCAGGCCTCCCTATTCCTTGAGATACAACAATATTGAAATTCCCTGACACAAAATAATATTGAACAGTTAATAGCCCTACATAATGGCCTCTAAGTGCTCAAGTGAAAGGAAGAGTCCCAGGCCAGGCATGGTAGCTTGCGCCTGTAATATCAGCAATTTGGGAGGCTAAGACTGGAGGATTGCTTGAGCTCAGGAGTTTGGACCAGCCTGGGCAACATAGTGAGACAAAAAATAAAATTAGCTGGGCGTGGTGGCACATGCCTGTGGTCCCAGCTACTTGGGAGGTTGAGGTGGGTGGGTCATGTGAGCCCAAGAAGTTGAGGCTACAGTGAGCTGAGATTGTGCCATTGCACTACAGCCTGGGCAACACAGCAGATCCCCATCTCCAAAAAAATAAAAATAAACAAAGGAAGAGTCCCACATCTCCTACTTTAAATCAAAAGTTGGAAATGATTGGCTGGACGCGGTGGCTCATGCCTATCATCCCAACATTTTGGGAGGCCAAGGTGGGAGGCCTGCTTGAGCCCAGGAGTTGGAGACCAGCCTGGGAAACAAGGCAAGACCCCATCTCTACAAAATTTTAAAAATTAGTTGGGTGTGGTGGCACACACCTGTGGTCCCAGCTACTCAGGAGGTTGAAATGGGAGGATTGCTTGAGCCCAGGAGGTCGAGGCTGCAGTGAGCCATGATTGCGCCACTGCACTCCAGCCTGAGCAACAGGGCAAGACCCTGTCTCAAAAAATATGTAAAAATGAAAGAAAGAAAGGAAGAATCAATTGATGTGGCAAACTTCTCTGTTGTTTTATTTTATAAAATTGCCACAGTCACTCCAACCTTCAGCAACCACCATCCTGATCAGTCAGCAGCCATCAACATGGAGGAAGAGCCTCCACCAGCAAGAAGATTATGATTCAGTGAAGGTTCAGATGATGGTTGGCATTTTTAACAATAAAGTATTCTTAAATTAAGGTATATGCATTGTTTTTTAGACATAATGCCACTGTGTACTTAATAGATTATAGTATAGGCTGGGTCCAGTGGCCTGTAATCCCAACACTTTGGGAGGCCAAGGCAGGAAGGTTGCTTGAACCCAGGAGCTCAAGACCAGCCTGGGCATCATAATGAGACCTCGTCTCTCCGAAGATCAGAAAACTAGCTGGTCATGGTGGCTTGCATCTGTAGTGCCAGCTACTGGGGGCACTGAGGTGGGAGAATCACCTGAGCCCAGGAGGTCAAGGCTGCAGTGAGCCATGAACCCCAAGCCACTACACTTCAGCTTCAGTGAGTATAGTATAGTGCAAACATAACTTTTGTACGCAATAGGAAACCAAAAAATTCATGTGCCTTACTTTATTGTGATATTCGCTTTATCGTGATGGTCTAAAACTGAACTCACAGTATCTGTGAGATATGCCTGGACTAATATCCAATGTTGATTGAGCTTTTTCTAAGTCCCAGGTGCTGCCACAAGTACTTTTTATTCCATTTTATTTATTTATTTATTTATTTATTTATTTATTTTTGAGACTGAGTCTCGCTTTGTTGCCCAGGGTGGAGTGCAGTGGCACAATCTCGTCTCACAGCATCCTCTGCCTCCCAAGTGATTCTCCTGCCTTAGCTTCCTGAGTAGCTGGTATTACAGGTGCCTGACACCACATCCAGCTAATTTTTTTTGTATTTTTTGTAGAGACAGGTTTCTTTGCCATGTTGCCTGGGCTGGTCTCAAACTCCTGGCCTCAAGTGATCCACCCGCCTTGGCCTCCCAAAGTGCTGGGATTACAGGCATGAGCCACCACACCTGGCCTTTTTTCTTTTTTTTTTTTTTGAGACAGTGTCTCACTTTGTTGCATAGGCTGGAGTACAGTGGTGTGATCACAGCTCACTGCAGCCTCAACCTGCGCTCAAGTCATCCTCTCATCTCAGTCCCCCGAGTAGCTGGGACTACAGGCCGGTACAACCATGCCTGGCTAATTTAAAATTTTTTGTTGAGACAAGGTCTTATTATGTTGCCCAGGCAACATAATAATAGTGAATTTGAGCTCAAGTGAGCTCAAGTGATCTGCCCACCTAGGCCTCCCAAAGCACTGGGATTACACGCATGAGCCACCGTGCCCAGCCAGGTCTTTTTAAAATATCTCCATGTCTCTGTTCCATATATTCAATCTTTCCACTAGCTTCTTTAACACATACAATAGGGTTACAACCACTGTTTTAAGTCTTTGCCTACTATTTCTACCATCTCTGGTTTTGTTTATCATCTATCATCATAATTTCTGGATCAGTTTCTACCGATTAATTATTTTCCTCCTGTGGGCTGTATTTTTCCACTTTTTTTGCAAGCATTATAGTCCTAGACAAACTCCTCAGCTTTTTTTATAGGCATGGTTAAGTAACTTGAAAAGTTTGATTCTTTCACTGCTTGCTTCTTTTTTTTTTTCTTTTTCTTTTTTTTTTTTTTTTTTGAGACAGAGTCTCACTCTGTCGCCCAGGCTGGAGTGCAGTGGTGTGATTTCAGCTCACTGCAACCTCTGCCGCCTGGGTTCAAATGACTCTCCTGCCTCAGCCTGCCAGGTAACAGAGGTTACAGGCATGGGCCACCACTCCTGGCTAATTTTTTGTATTTTTATTAGAGATAGGGTTTCACTATGTAGGCCAGGCTGGTCTCAAACTCCTGACCTCAAATGATCCGCCCACCTCAGCCTCCCAACGTGCTGGGATTACAGGTGTGAGCCACCGCGCCCGGCCCTGCTTGCTTTTAAGCTTTAAGTAGAACCAGAACAGTATTTAATTTAGGGTAAATTTTCTCCACTGCTAATGCAAGACCTTTTTACTCTGAGTCCCTGTGAATTATAAGGTCTTTCTCTCTGGCTGTTGGGAATATGCACTTTTCCTGGTCCTGATCTCTGGACACTGTTCCTACTAATCTTTTCTCTACCCAGCTTTGGGTGGTTTCCTCGCATATGTGCACTGATGAGTACGGCACTGAATACTCAAGAGGGACCTCATGCAGATCTCCAGAGTCTTCTCTCTGTGGAGTCCTCTCTTCTCTGATACTCTGCCTTGAAACTCTTGTTGTTTGGCTTCCTGGGATTCCCAGATCTTTCTCTTCAATTCAAGGTAACTCCCAGTCTCTGCCTGGGTTCCCCTCCCTGCACCAGGCCTTGAATATCTTCTCCAGTCAGCAAGCTGGAGTAATCATAGGACCTATCTCATTTGCTCCCTGTCTCTGAGTTCCTTGTCCTTAGTTGCCTAATGTACAATGTGTTGAGATCTGTTGTTTCACATATTTTGTCCAGTTTTTCGTTGTTTCAGGTAGAAGGGTAAATCCAGTGTCTGTTACTCCATTTTGCCCAAAAAGGGACATCTCTAGGGATATTTATCACAATTGCTTTGAAGTTCTGCTCTCCATATCCTCTTTCCTCCAAGAAACATTCTGTTATTTTTGTTTCTTCCTATTATTTAATTTAATTAATTAATCTATTTATTTATTTATTTATTTATTTATTTTTGAGACAGGATCTCACTCTGTCACCCAAGCTGGAGTGCAGTGGTGTGATCTCAGCTCACTGCAGCCTCCACCTCCTGGGCTCAAGCAATCCTCGTGGCTCAGGCTCCCCAGTAGCTGGGACCACAGGCACATGCCACCGTGCCTGGCCATTTGTTTGTTCCTAATTTTAACATTATAAGCTTTCTTCAAATGTCTGTCTCTTGGCTGCGCACAGTGGCTCATGCCTATAATCCCAGCCCTTTGGGAGGCTGATGCGGCAGATCACTTGAGCCCAGGAGTTCAAGACCAGCCTAGGCAACATGGCGAAACCCCATTTCTACTAAAAATAGAAAAATTAGCTAGGCGTAGTGGCACACACCTGTAGTCCCAGCCACTTGGGAGGCTGAGGTGGGAGGATCACCTGAGTCCAGGAGGCAGAGGTTGCAGTGAACCAAGATCATGCCACTGCACTTCAGCCTGGGTGACAGAGTAAGATCCTGTCTCAAAAAAAAAAAAAAAGTAAGTTACTGAAAACAGCAAAAGAGCTGATTTGAACCTCTGTATAGGTATAGCAGAGCTTGCCGGTTACATCTCTAATATTCACTTTCTCCCTCTCTCTTAAAGAACACAATTGTGTGGAGATGGTATTATGCCCAGCACACACACACACAAACAAACACAAAAGCAATTACATTTTCCAGTCTCTCTTGTATACTGTGTAGAGGTGTGGCCATATGTCACAATTCTAGCCAACAAAATGTAAACAGATGTCATTGGTTGGGACTTCTGGGGAAGTCCCTTAAAATGAAGTGTATCTATTTTCTATTAGTGAATGACAAACCACTCCAAAACATAGAGGGGTTTTATTTATTTATTTTTCATTTTTCTATTTCAAACTACAATCATCAATAGAACAGAGAGGTTTAAAACATCATTATTTACTCATGATTCTGCAATTCGGGCAGGTCTCCACTGAGCAATCCTGGGGTCACTCACTCGGCTGGGTCATCTGGTAGTTCATTTGGGGCTTGATAGCCTCCTCTATTCCCCCTCTCATAACCTCTCCAGTGGAATTGCCTGGTTTTCTTTTATGGCAGTGGAAGCATTCCAAGAGAGCAAGGCCCATGCACAAATGCTTATGAAGCCTTGGCTTGTGTCATATTTGTTGATGTCCCATTGGCAAACAAGTCACATCACCAAGCCCAAAGTCAAAGTCGCAGAGGGCTATGCGGTTCTATCATTGAGCAGTGAAGCAGCCTACAGCTACTCTGGGAAGCATTCGTGTCGCCAGATGTGGAGGCAACCCTGGAGTTGGTGAAGGAGGCAGTTTTTTGGTAAGCCTGGAAGTAGTTGTAACACCACTTGCTCGATATGGGACCCTCTTAGGACATACCAAAGGTCTTGTGCTCAGAACAATCACATAGAATAGCAAGTTGGGAACTTTTCTATATATAATCCTCAAGCCTTTAGTTAAATGTTGATGCATATTATCCCTGGCATTAGCATGGTGTGTCCATGCTCAGACCAAAGTAATAAAGAGGAAAAAAAATCCCACCAGTAACGTCCATTGATGGTAGTTCTACATAGACCCTAGGAAAATCATGATCCGGGAAATGCAGCAATTTGAACAATGGGCCAAGTGGTACTGATTAGCCTGGAGCAAGGTAATGATTTAAAAAAAAAAAAAGGCTGGAACAAAGAATGATTCACACTACAAGTACACCACCACCAATCCCAAGGACTCCCAGAAGCAGCTGAAAAAGACTTTGATGGAGAGGGAAGTCAAAGTTCTTAGGCCAAGTAGATATGGACTTAGTGCATCAAGTAAGTTTGGATCAATATCAAAGTAAAAAAGGGAGACTGTTGTAGACTAAGAGACTAAAGCTGTTTTTCTCAAATTTTGATGAATTTTAGAAATGCCTGAGGAAGATTTTTAAAACCCAATGGTCAGACCACACCCAAAACAGTTAAATTAAGGTCTCTAGGGATGGAGCCCATATTTCTTAAGGCTACTTGACTGATTGATTCCAAAATGTGACCAAGGTGAGAATCTCTGAACTGAAGAAAACCTAACAACCAAGTGTAATGCATGAACTTTGATTGGACTTTTTAAAAAGACCATAAAATACATTTGTGGAACAATTGTCAAAATAGATAATACATTACATGTAATATTTTAGATTTGTTAATTTTTTTTCTTTTTTTGAGACAGAGCCTCTCTCTGTTGCCCAGGCTGGAGTGCAATGGCACGATCTTGGCTCACTGCAACCTCCACCTCCCAGGTTCAAGCAATTCTCCTGCCTCAGCCTCCCAGGTAGAGGGCACTACAGGCACACACCACCATGCCTGGCTAATTTTTGTATTTTTAGTAGAGATGGGGTTTCACTATATGGCCAGGCTGGTCTCAAATTCCTGACCTCAAGTGATCCACAAGCCTCGGCCTCCCAAAGTGCTGGGATTACAGGCGTGAGCCACCATGCCCAGCCTAGATTTGTTAATTTTTAAAGAAGTGATAATGTGGGCTGAGTGTGGTGGCTCACACTTGTCATCCCAACACTGGAAGGCCGAGGTGGGAGGATCACTTGAGCCCAGGAGTTGGAGACCATCCTGGGCAACATAAGGAGACCCCATCTCTACAAAAAATTTTAAAAATCAGCCAGGCATGGTGGTACACACCTGTAGTCCCAGCTACTGGGGAGGCTGAGGTGGGAGGATTGCTTGAGCTCAGGAGGTCAAAGCTGGAGTGAGCTGTGATTGTCCTACTGCACTCCAGTCTGGGTGACAGAGTAAGACCCTGACTCAAAAAAAAAAAAAAAAAAAAAAAAAGAAAAAAGAAAGGAAGGAAAGAAGGAAGGAAGGAGAGAGAAAAAAGAAATAATGGTAATCGTGTTATTCTTAGGAGATGTAAACTGAAGTATTTAGGTGGAGGGATGTTAATATCTGCAACTTACCTTCAAATTGTTCAGCGAACGATTATAAATGTATATATGCATGTGTATAGAGAAAGATCGCATAAATGTGTCAAAATAGTAATAACTGGAGGAGCTAGGTACAAAGTTCAATGTGGGCCAGATGCAGTGGCTCATGCCTGTAATCCCAGGATTTTGAGATGCCAAGGTGGGCAGCTCACCTAAGGTCAGGAGTTCAAGACCAGACTGGCCTACATGGTGAAACCCCATCTTTACTAAAAATTTAAAAATTAGCTCGGCGTGGTGGCACACGCTTCTAGTTCCACCTATCCGGGAGGCCAAGGCAGGAGAATCACTTCAACCCAAGAGGCGGAGGTTGCAGTGAGCCGAGATGGTGCCACTGCACTCCAGCCTGGGCAACACAGTGAGAACCTGTCTCAAAAAAGAAAAAAATTAAATATACTACTCTTTTACCTTTTCTGTGTATATGAAAACTTTCCAAATAAAAAGTTTGGGAAAAGTTATTTGGGGAATTAACATATGAACACCTGTACTCATAAGCAGATGAAATATCCCTCTTGGAGTACCATCTGAGATTTTTTTTTTTTTGAAACAAAGTCTCACTCTGTTGCCCAGGCTGGAGTGCAGTGGGATGATCTCAGCTCACTGTAACCTCCATCTCCTGGGTTCAAGTGATTATCCTGCCTCAGCCTCCAAAGTAGCTGGGATTACAGGCATGTACCACCACACCTGGCTAATTTTTTTGTATTTTCAGTAGAGTATTTTAGTAGAAAATTTAGTTTCACCATGTTGGCCAGGTGGGTCTTGAACTCCTGACCTCAAGTGATCCACCTGCCTCGGCCTCCCAAAGTGCTGGGATTACAGGCGTTAGCCACTGCACCCTTCCCCATCTGAGTTTATTAAAACTCATGTAATCACGTATATCTGCACCAGGGCAAGACTAAAGTGAGGTCAGCGAGAAGCCTAGTCCTGGCCCTGATACACACCATAGATTAGAACAAGTTGGTAATTAGAATGGGGTCCATACCAATGAAGAGGAGTGGTCACCCCTGGTTTGGGTCGACCAGTGAACTGCTATTGGCCTGAAGTTAATGAGACTCTACAGCAGTTGTCAGCCTTAACTGCACAATGAAGTCATCTGAAGGAGCTTTAAAAAATATTCTTTCCTGGGCCCCACCTCTAGAGATTCTGATTTGTTTCAGGTGTTGCCTGGGTATGCCCTACATTGGAGGGTTTTAACTTATCCCAGGTGATTCTAATTAATGTGCAGCCAAAGTTGAGAACCATTGCTCTTCATACTGCCTTATACAACCTGGACAACTATAAAGGGATTGGTAAGGTTCTCAGGGAGAACAGGTGTGTGGTTTTACCAGAGTTGGAAGAGACTTTTTTATTATCATTTGAGACTCAGAGAGATTCTAGCAATAGGAGGAGCCAGAAAGTTCTTTTATTTTTTTAATTTTAAAATTTAAAAATAGAGACAGAGTCTCACTATGTTGCTCAGGCTGGTCTTGAACTCCTGGGCTCAAGCAATCCTCCTGCCTCACCCTCCCAAAGTGCTAGGATTACAGGTGTGAGCCACCATGCCTGGCCTAGAAAGTTCTCATACCATGGAGACTAGACCTTTTTTCTCAAGGGCAAGGGACAATATATTTAAAATACTTGGGCATAGGAGCAACCCCACAGGCCCAAACCCGGAGCTCTCAAAGGGATGGGATGAATTACTGTTGTCAGTTGTAAGTATTAGAGACAGCTGCTCAGCCTTTTGAAGAAATGGCAAGGAACAGAAAACTGAAAGTATCCTCAAGGAGTCAGATTCTAACCCAAAAGAAAAGTTTCTGGACATTGGTTGAAATATACATGACACTGCAGGAGGGGAAGGTATCACAAAGTGAAAAATTCAGTGGTTTGTGAAAGGTCTGGCTAGACACAGTGGTTATCCCATTAGGAGGCAAAGCCAGGTTCTTATAGGTACACATGGTCTCTCTTGAGTAGGAGGTCACTTCCAGATCTGTCACCACAGAAGAGGTGTCCCAAAGGGAAAAGAAATAAAGCGAGAGAGGATTGGGTAGGCAGTACTCATTCTAGCTTGCCTGGGACTTCCAAGTTGGTTTTATTTATTTATTTATTTATTTTTTGAGACAGGGTCTCCCTGTGTCACTTAGGCTGGAGTGCAGTGGCGAGATCTTGGCTCACTGCAACCTTTGCCTCCCAGATTCAAGCGATTCTCATGCCTCAGCCTCCAAGTAGCTGGGACTACAGGCATGTGCCACCACACCTGGCTAACTATTTTTTTATTTTTAGTAGAGACAGTGATATGGTTTGGCTGTCTCCCCACCCAGATCTCATCTTGAATTCCCACATGTTGTGGGAGGGACCTTGTGGGAGGTAATTGAATCATGGGGGCAGGTCTTTCCCGTGTTGTTCTCGTGATAGTGAATAAGTCTCATGAGATCTGATGGTTTTAAAAAGGGGAGTTTCCCTGCACTTGCTCTCTCTTGTCTGTTGTCATGTGAGATATGCCTTTCACCTTCCACCATGATTGTGAGGCTTCCCCAGCCACGTGGAACTGTAAGTCCATTAAAACTCTCTCTTTTGTAAATTGCCCAGTCTCAGGCATGTCTTTATCAGCAGCGTGAAAACAGACTAATACAGATGGGGTTTCACCATGTTGGCCAGGCTGGTCTTGAACCCCTGACCTCAAGTTCTCTGCCTGCCTCAGCCTCCCAAAGTGCTGTGATTACAGGCGTGAGCCACTGCACCCGATGAGACTTCCAAGTTTTCATACTGGAAGTCCTGTATCCCAAGAAACCCTTTGGTCCCAAGAAAGAAACCCTATGTCCCAAGAAGGTCCCAGACAACCCACATAGCTGATCAAGCTACTATGCAGGGAAGGGGGTCATATAATTCAGACCTGGACTTGGAGAAGAATGAATGTCTACATGTATCCTCCTTTAGAGGACAAGTCCTGTATTAGGGTGAGAAGCAGAACCAAAACTGAGACTCTCGTGCAAGTGGTTTATTGATGGAGTGCTCTTAGGAGAAGGGGAGTGAGGGAAGCAGCGTAGGACAGAGGAAAAAAACTGAGTAAGAATGTGCTCTCAGAAGAAGACTGACTTCAGCTTGATTCCATGAGGAGCTCTGGGAAAGGAAGTTCCTTGATGTAAGAGGTCAGTCTTTTGTACCTCCATACAAGAGGTAGCAATTCTTTTCTAGAGATGGTCTCAAAATTAGAATACATCAAAATCACTTGGAGGGTTTGGTAAATCAGAATGCTGTGCCAACCCCCAGAGATTCTGATTCAGTAGGTCTGAGGTGGGGCCTGAGGATTTGTATTTCCAGCAAGTTCACAGGTAATGCTGATGATGCACTTTGAAAACCTCCACTCTAGAGAAGAGGACAGCTCTGAGGTGTTAGCACCCACAGCATCTCGCAAAGGGGATCAGGAAAGCACCTACTACATGAAGGCACATGCCAGGGACAGATGGATTGGACCCCAAGCTGGGGCTATGTAGACTACATCTTTAGGTCAGAACATCTAGATTCACAGTATCTTGTATGTTCCTGTTGTCATCTCACATCTCTTGCCAACGCATTGTTGAAACATTCTTACTTGGTCTTGTTATTGGACTTCAAGAGAAGGGTCTGGGAGATACATGAGGCTTTGAAAAGGAAGTAGCTGCAAGTTGCTAGGCAAATATAGTGGCATCAGTTGCAATGGAGTGGAAAGTCCTTAAACGAGTGATCAATATTTAGTGGCAAGACTCTAGACCAACCCTGGAAATTGCCTGATGTTTGTGAAATTAAAAGAAAATGGCTTTGATGGCAACTTTTAATTTCATAAGCCACGCCAGAATTCATAACAGTCTCTGCTCCTGAGGATCACCACCAGGTGAAGGTGAATGAATAAATGTTAAAATGGAATTCGTTTCTTTTGGTGGGGTACGTCAGGTAGAACTTGGAGAATACCTTGTACCCCTGGGCCTTAATGTCCATCTCCAGGCAGTGCATGAGGTCGCTGTTGTCTAGGACCGCCTTCCAGGGCCCAAACTTGACAACAGACTTGAACATCTTCTTATCCTGCAGAAAACACAGGACCTCTGAATAATATGCATCCTGCTCCTCAGTTTCCACCAGGCACACAAGCACGCTGGACTTCCGTGCTGTTATGGCTTCTGCACGTGCCAGGCGCACCATGAGCTCCAGGTTCTCGCTGTAGCCCGGCACTTGCAGCAAAAACTGCTTCCGAGACACCTGCTCACCAAAGATCTGTGGCATGTCCTCCAGCAGCTTGACCAAAGGCTTGATTTCGTAGAACTGAGCCTCACGGTACACTTCAGGGATGTGCTGTGTGGGCACTTGCCCAGTGCGCAGGTAGTCCAGGATGGGTCTGAAATAGGTGCTGGGGCGGTCGATGAAGAAGCGGCCCTCCGCGTCCGTGGAGGCCTTGGCTAAGCTAGAGAACATCTCTGCCAGCTTTGAGCCCGGAAACTTCCTCAGGGTACCCAGGGTGGTGGTGTGGAACTCACCCCCGACGTTCAGCTCCACAACAGTAGACATCTGGGGGCACAAGAGGCAGAGTAAACCAACACGCCATCTCCCCTGAGCGCATTACTTATTTTTATCCAAAGGATAACTGGATAAAAAACTTAGGGGAGCCATAATGATTGGCTTCAGCTAGTGAAAGGCCCATCTTACTAAAGAGGGTTATATTTATGCTGTGTTGCTCCAGGGGGTGGGCTTTTTTTTTTTTTTTCGACGGAGTCTCGCTCTGTCACCCAGGCTAGGGTGCAGTGGTGCAATCTCGGCTCACTGCAACTTCCACCTCGATTAAAGCAACTCTCCTGCCTCAGCCTCCCTAATCGCTGGGACTGCAGGCGCCTGCCATCATGCCCAACTAATTTTTGTATTTTTAGTAAAGACGAGGTTTCGCCATGTTTGCTAGTCTGGTCTCAAACTCCTGACCTCACGTGATCCGCCTGCCTCAGCCTCCCACAGTGCCCGGCCGAGGGTGGGCATTTTAAAGAGGAAGAAAGATTTCTGTTTGAAAAAAGAATACCCATTCAAGCATCTTAATTTTAGGTCATAGAATGTTATGGGAGGAGGCCAGGCACGGTGGCTCACGCCTGTAATCCCAGCACTTTGGGAGGATGAGGCAGGCAGATCACCTGAGGTCAGGAGTTCAAGACAAGCCTGGCCAACTTGGCAAAACCCTGTTTCTACTAAAAATACAAAAATTAGCCAGGTGTGATGGCACGCGCCTGTAATCCCAGCTACTCAGGAGGCTGAGGCACAAGAATCACCTGAACCTAGGAGGTGGAGGCTGCAGTGAGCCAAGATCACCCCACTGCACTCCAGCCTGGGTGACAGAGTAAGACTCTGTCTCAAAAAACCAACAATAACAACAACAACAATAACAGAAGAACGTTATGGGAAGAGGCTGCCATGGAAGGAAGTCTCAGCAATGATACTTCCAAAGTCTGTGGCCTTTGGCAAGCCTTTTTCCCTCTTACAGCCTCAGTTTCCTCATCTATAAAATGAGGATATTGGCCGGGCATAGTGGCTCATGCCTGTAATCCCAACACTTTGGGAGGCCAAGGCAGGAGGATCACTTGTGGCCAGGAGTTGGAGACCAGCCTAGGCAACATAGCAAGACCCCATCTCTGTTGTTTTTTAAATAGATTTAAGGAAAAAAAATTTTTTTTTTAAGTAAAGGCCGGGCATGGTGCCTCACGCCTATAATCCCAGCACTTTGGGAGACCGAGGTGAGTGGATCACTTGAGACCAGGAGTTCGAAACCAGCCTGGCCAACATGGTGAAACCCCATCTCTACTAAAAATACAGTAATTAGCCAGGCATGGTGGCACGTGCCTATAGTCCCAGCTGCTCGGGAGGCTGAGGCAGGAGAATCGCTTGAACCCAGGAGGCAGAGGTTACAATGAGCTGAGATCATGCCACCGCACTCCAGCCTGCGCGACAGAATGAGAGTCCAACTCAAAAAAAAAAATAAGAAGAAGAAAGTAAAATGGGGACGTGGAGTTGTTATGAAGTCAAGAGTTTCCAACCTGGGATGCTCAACTCTGATCTAAGATATAATAAAAGCTGGGGGTGAAGTAGGAGGGACAATTCCAACATTTCAGAAAGACTAAAGAAACCATACATGTGTTCATTCAGGAAGAATTTCTTGGGTATTTACTATGTATCCACATCCTGTGCTGGGAGTTGGGGACAAACATTCTTATTTCATATAGATTAGAAGTTCTGGTTAACAGTTCACATGCCCTTGATTGATTTAAAAATGGAATTTTTTCTTTTCTTTTTTTTTTTTTTTGAGACAGAGTCTCGCTCAGTCGCCCAGGCTAGAGTGCAGTGATGTGATCTTGGTTCACTACAACTTCAGCCTCCCAGGCTCAAGCGATTATCGTGCCTCAGCCTCCCAAGTACAGATGTGCACCACCATGCCTGGCTAATTTTTGTATTTTTAGCACAGACTGGGTTTCACCATGTTGGCCAGGCTGGTCTCGAGCTCCTGACCTCAAGTGATCTGCCCACCTCGGCCTCCCAAAGTGTTGGGATTACAGGCGTGAGCCACAGCCCCGGCCAGAAATGAATTTTTTTTTAAGAGATGCGGTCTTGCTCTGTTGTTGCCCAGACTGGGTGTGCAGTGGCATGATCATAACTCACTGCAGCCTTGAACTTGGGCTCAAGTCATCCTCCTGCCTCAGCCTCCCAAGTAGATGGGACTACAGGACATTCAACACTGCATCTGGTTATGTAAAAAAATTTTTTTAGAGACGGGTCTTACTATGTTGCCCAGGCTGGTCTTGAACTCCTGGCTTCAAGGCTTCCTCCTGCCTGAGCCTCCCAAGCAGGTGGGATTACAGATGCAAGCCACCACGCCCAGCAAAAATGAAATTTGTTTGATGAATGTTTTTCAAAATATAGGCCCATGAGACTTAAATAATAACGGGAACATTCTTCGTAATGAAAAGGCCGGTAACTCTACATATTGTGGGTGTAAAACTGCTTCACAAACTGCGAAGTGCAGTGCAAATGCAAGTTAAGTTTGGTTGTTCAACAAAACTTTTAGAGGCCACCTCTCTGTGCCAGACCCTGGGCTGAGCACTAAGACTGGTTATTAAGTGATGATGTCAGAATCTGAACTCAGGTCCGTTTTACTCCAAGCTTGAGCTCTTAGTCATTACATAAATTACCTTCAGTCTTCCAATACCTTCACTCTTCATTCCCTTAGTGACTCATTCATTCAACAAAATGTATGTTGGGCCTATTACATGCAAACCTTGTGCCAAACAGAAGAACAGGACACAGTCCCTGCTTTCAAGGAACTCACAGTGGAGACAGCGAAATAGACGGCTTAAGCATGTAGGTGCTGAGAGGGAAGACTGAAAGGTAGGAGGGGTCAGGTCTTTTTGTGGATGTGGGTTGGAGGCTGTCAGAGAAGGTTTCCTAAGGGATGTGATGGCCGCTGCTGCTGAGGAATAGATGCATAGTGTTAGAGGAAAGATTTAACCACAAGAGTGGGGATGGGGACAGGGCTCAGGAATGTCCCTCAGTCTGATTTAGGTGTGTCCTCATTCTCAACTGGTCTGTGGGCTCTCCTAAGATTAAAGTACTGGAGTTAATAGAGCCAAAGTCAACCGAACTGCTGGAGAAATCTGATTGCCATGACAACATCTCCTACCAGGGGACAGTTCTGCTGACTGGAAGGGAGAAGGCAGAGGAGAGGACGCATCTTGACAGCAGCCAAACAATAGAGCTGAGAAAAATAAGCCCAGAACCTCTGATTCTTTCTCCCATAAACCTCAAGGCCCCTTGGCAGGGCTGTTTGGTTAACCCTGAAGTCACCTCTGTAAAGCTCGCAGTTAAATGCAAAGCTGCAGAGTTTAACCCTTGAATGGACCAATATGTTCTCATTACTCCTACACCACTGAAAGCTCTCAGGTCCTCCTAATGTCCCCATGTTACAGGCAAGGAAAGCTCAGACAGAAGTCACACAGCTAGGATGTGATGAAGTTGGAGCTGAGATGATACCTGTATTAGCATGACTCCAACACAGTAAGGGTGCCTCACCGCCATCCTTCCCAACATCCTGCCCCCCTACTGCCAATACTTTGATATGTGCCCAGGGCCCTTTGCTTTCCGTCTCTGGAACTAAGCTTAGTCATCTGTGAAATAGGGAGGCAAAATGGACCAAAAGAATGCTAAGCTTCCCCAGCTCTGAAAGTCTAACAGATCCAATCACATCAAATATCCTTTCTGAAGCTAATTTCCAGATGCTTCAAAAAAACAGGCTGGGTGCAGTGGCTTACGCCTGTAATCCCAGCACTTTGGGAGGCCAAGGTGGGAGGATCACTTGAGGCCAGGAGTTCAAGACTAGCCTGGACAACATGGCAAAACCCTATCTCTACTAAAAATACAAAAAATTAGCTGGGCCCTGGTGGTGCATGCCTGTAATCCCAGCTACTTGGGAGGCTGAGAATTGCTTGAACCCGGAAGGCAGAGGTTGCAGTGAGCCAAGATTGCACTACTGCACTCCAGCCTAGGTGACAGAGGGAGACCCTGTCTCAAAAAAAAAAAAAAAAAAAAAAAAAAAAAAAAGTTTCCTGCACTGACATCTTCAGCTCCATTTCTTTATCAAACAAGACCTCAGCCGTGTTCCTAAGCTTCTTTTTGTTTTTTGTTTTTGTTTGCTTGTTTTTTGTTTTGAGACAAGGTCTCACTCTGTTGCCCAGGCTGGAGTGCAGTGGTACAATCTCGGCTCACTGCAACCCCCACCTCTTAGGCTCAAGCGATTCTCCTGCCTCAGCCTCCAGAGTGGCTGGGACTACAGGTGTGTGCCACCATGTCCAGCTAATTTCTCTATTTTTTATACAGACAGGGTTTTGCCATGTTGGCCAGGCTGGCCTCGAACGCCTGAGGTAGGTGGTCCACCCACCTCTGCCTCCCAAAGTGCTGGAACTACAGGCATGAGCTACCACGCCTGGCTGAGAGTACGTTTTCTGAAGTACAAATCTGATCCTGTCACTCCCTGCATTAAACACTTGAGTAACTTTTCATTCCCTTCCAGATAAACAGCAGACTCCATAACAAGGTTTAGAGGCCCTTTGCAACTAGGCTGCTACTTCACCCCTCGCAATCAACTACCAGAACTGCCTGCTGCTCCCCACTCCTCCAATCCAGAGCTGGGCAAGCCCCCTCACCTCCAGAAGCTCACTCACTTGGCCATCCGCACTCCTTTCTCTGACCCCACTCATCCTTCAGATGAATTCCTCTGGGAGTCCTTCGGGGTGGGTTGTCTCACTGTGATCCCAGAAAGTCCTACACTACTATACTTCCACTGGCCTGGCAGTTCTTCCCTTGCAATTCCCTGTTTCTTCATTGACTGTGAGGTTCCTGGCCAAGTGCTGTGTTTCATGCCTGTAATCCCAGCACTTTGGGAGGCTGAGGTAGGAGGATTGCCTGAGCCTAAGAGTTTGAGACCAGCCTGGGTCTCACCAACATGGCGAGACCCCATCTCTATTTTAACAAACAAACAAACAAACAAAAACTCTGTGAGGCTCCTAAGGGAGGGGAATATCCTCTGATTTACAGGAGCATCTAGTATTCTGTTCAAGGCCAATCTTGCCCTACCTGGCATCATGCACAGTGCCTTACACTTCCCCAGTAATTCATTCAGGCATTTATGGAACACCTAGGGTGGTCCTGGCACTAGGCATGTGGCTTTGTCAATAGCCAACAACAATGACGTGATCATGGCCCTATTAGAGAGAGCCACGCTGCCCTGCTGCTGGATCTGCTTTCTCTTCCTCCAGGTCTTCAGGATGACTCTCAGTGCAGGAGAGAACCCGAATGTTCTGCTCCCAGAGTGCACGCAGCCTTTTCCCCATCCTCCTCCCCAACTCCCCTCACCCAAGCTGGGGACCAGGCAGGCAAGCAGAGGGATTTGGGACCCAGCCAGAGGGCAGGGGCAGGCTGAAGACCCAGCCAAGGGGCAGGGGCAGGCTGGAGAGGGCTGCAGGTGAGGGAAAGATCCTCTGGCCGAGCTGGTTGGATGGGCTTCTCCCACCGGGAGCAAGGGAGAAGGTGGGGCAGAGGAGGAGTCGTGGGCTAGGACAAGCCGGTGGGGAAGAGACAAGGGAAAGGAACTAAAGACCCAATGTAGAGGGAGGAAGCAAAAGGGCAAAGAGGAAAGGCTGGACAGAGCCAAACCAGAAAGGGACACCGAGGCGCGAAAGGAGAGTGATCCCAGCAGGAGGGACGGCAAAGATTGAAGAGAGCGACCAGCCCGAGGTGAAGGGGGACAGCGCGCCAGAAGCAGGGGGCTCGGGCGTCTGGGAGGGACGGGCAGGAGAAACTGGAAGGGAGGGAAGAGGCGGAGGGAAGAGGCGGAGGACAGAGGCGCGGGGACGCAGCTAGCCTCGCACTTACCGTTGGCCGCCTGGGCCGGGGGGACTGGGGCAGAGGGGTCTGGCTCGTCATCCTGCCCACTGGCCGCTCCACTGCGCAGCCCTGCCACATGCAGATCACTTGGGCCAGCGGAAGTGCCCCTGGCTGCCCGCCCCTAGGTGGGAACACCGAGGCTCAAGGCGGGACGGGGCTGAGCCAGGCGTGGCTTGCAGTGAGACTGGGCCAAGTGCAGAAAGAAATGGACAGTCTGTCTATTTGGGGCTTCTAAAAGTTGTTAGGCCCTGAGAAGGGCTGACTTTGGAGACCGAGAAATGGAGCAGACCCCTTAAGGACTGACCTTTTGATATAGATTAATTTCCTTCCTTTTCTTTCTTTCTTTCTTTTTTTTTTTTCAGAGACAGGGTCTCACTCTATCGCTCAGGCTGAAGTGCAGTGGCGGATCAGGCTCACTGCAACCTCAACCTCCTGGGCTCAAGTGATCCTCCCACCTCAGCCTCCCAAAGTGGTGGGATTACAGGCCTGAGCCACGGCAACTTGCCTCTTCCTATATTTTCTTTTACGCTTAAATAAATTACTTAAACATATTGCTTGAATCCCGTTATTAAAGTTGACATTAGTTAATGCCCCTCTCTGGGCCTCGGAGTTCCCAGTAGTGAAATGGGGGAGGCAGAAGGAATTGACATTGACTGACATTGACAACCAGAGACTTTCTATTCCCTACAGTCCTAGGGAGTGAAAGATCCGCAACACCCATTTTACAGATCAGAAAACTGGCGCTCTAGGAGGTAGGGTGGTGTTAAAATGTAAAGTCTGAGGATCAACAAAACTTTTTTAAGAGTATACTTGAGTAACAGGCAATTCTTGAATCGGGGAACACCAGATGGAAAGAGGTTGAGTGTTCCCATGACAATGCATCAGAGGCAAATATTTATGGGGAGAATATGGAAGCAAGATATTTTGTTGGGGACAGGCATGGTGGCTCACGCCTGTAATCCTAGCACTTTGGGAGGCCAAAGCGGACAGATCATTTGAGGTCAGAAGTTCGAGACCAGCCTGACCAAAATGGTGAAACCCCGTCTCTACTGAAAATACAAAAATTAGCTGGGTGTGATGGCATGTGCCTGTAATCCCAGATACTGTGGACGCTGAGGCAGGAGAATCGCTGGAACCCGGGAGGCAGAGATTGTAGTGAGCTAAGATTGCACCACTGAACTCCAGCCTGGGCAACAAAGATTCCCTCTCAAAAAAAAAAAAAAAAAATATATATATATATACACACACACACACACACACACACACACACACACATATATATATATATACATATATATATATAAAATTGGTTACAGTTAAAAAATCTCCTTTTTTGGTTTCCTTTGTTGAAAAGTCCACAGCTACTTAATTGTATGTTAGTTGGCTGCTTGTGGTTGGCTAATGTTAAGTTTCGTTTCTGTCTAACATTAGCATTTACCAGAAATGACTCTATTAGTCAGGGTTCTACAGAGGGACAGAACTAACGGAATAGGGTTGGACACGGTTGCTCACGCCTGTAATCTCAGCACTTTGGGAGGCCATGGCAGGTGGATCACCTGAGGTTAGGAGTTCGAGACCAGCCTGACTAACATGGCGAAACCCCATCTCTACAAAATACAAAAAATTAGCTGGGCGTGGTGGTGGGCACCTGTAATCCCAGCTACTTGGGAGGCTGAGGCAGAAGAATCGCTTGAACCTAGGAGACGGAGGTTGCAGTGAGCTGAGATCAAGCCATTGCACTCCAGCCTGGGCAACAAGAGTGTAATCCCATCTCAAAAAACAATAATAATAAAATAAAACTAATGGTATATATACATACACATATATTTGTATATATATATTCCATTACTTTTTTAACTCCCCGTTATATATATACATATGTGTGTATATATACACACACACATATATACACACGTGTGTGTGTGTGTGTGTGTGTGTGTGTGTGTGTATATATATATATATATATATATATATATATATATATAAAGGGGAGTTTATTAAGTATTAACTCACACAATCACAAGGTCCCATAACAGGCCATTGGCAGGCTGAGAAGCAAGGAGAGCCAGTCCGAGTTCCAAAAATGAAGAACTTGGAGTCTGATGTTTGAAGGCAGGAAGCATCCAGCACGGGAAAAAGATGTAGGCTGGGAGGCTAGGCCAGTCTCTCTTTTCACATTTTTCTGCCTGCTTTATGTTCTAGCCATGCTGGCAGCTGATTA